>NC_000008.11:19557072-19860102 GCF_000001405.40 Homo sapiens | reverse complement strand
ATATAAAATATTCAGAATAAGCAAGTCGTGAAGACAGCAGACTGGTGATTGCCAAGGTATGGGGCAGGGGTCAAATGGGAAATGCCTGATTAATGGGTATGGGGATTGTTTAATGGGCATAAGCATTTCTTTTTGAGGTGAAGAAAGTGCCTTGGGATTAGATGGTGGTGATAGTTGCACAACTTTGTGAATAGACAAAAAAAATCACTGAACTGTACACTTTTTAAAGGATGAATTTTTATGGTATGCAGATTATATGCTAATTTTTAAAATGGTGTGATGGAAAAAATAGGGACATAAGGGAGACAGAGAAAGAGTTAACGTAGGGCATGGTTATGATTCTGACTGCTTTATTTGCTTTCCCTACTACTAACTGATACAGGCAGGAGGCAGACAAATTCCTAGGCAGTAAAACGTCCTCAGTGAATCCCAACCTTCAAGCTAAAAGACAACCTGAAGCCTGAAAACCAGGCTGCCAGTTTCAGGTAGAGTCCACAACCTAGAGTGAGAATGTCCTTGGTGTCTTTTAGCCAATCAAATGGTGCTTTTTTCTATTTTTTTTTCTTTTTTTAAATATATATATACTTTTATTATACTTTAAGTTCTAAGGTACATGTGTACAACTTGCAGGTTCGTTACATATGTATAAATGTGCCATGTTGGTGTGCTGCACCCATTAACTCGTCATTTACATTAGGTATTTCTTCTAATGCTATCCCTCCCCCATCCCGCCACCCCATGACAGGCCCCGGTGTGTGATGTTCCCCACCCTGTGTCTAAGTGTTCTCATTGTTAAATTCCCACCTGTGAGTGAGAACATGCAGTGTTTGGTTTTCTGTCCTTGCGATAGTTTGCTGAGAATGATGGTTTCCAGCTTCATCCATGTCTCTACAAAGGACATGAACTCATCATTTTTTATGGCTGCATAGTATTCCATGGTGTATATGTGCCACATTTTCTTAATCCAGTCTATCTTTGATGGACATTTGGGTTGGCTCTAAGTCTTTGCTATTGTGAATAGTGCCGCAATAAACATACGTGTGCATGTGTCTTTATAGTAGCATGATTTATAATCCTTTGGGTATATACCCAGTAATGGGATCACTGGGTCAAATGATATTTCTAGTTCTAGATCCTTGAGGAATCGCCACACTGTCTTCCACAATGGTTGAACTAGTTTACAGTCCCACCAATAGTGTAAAAGTGTTCCTATTTCTCCACATCCTCTGCAGCACCTATTGTTTCCTGACTTTTTAATGATCGCCATTCTAACTGGTGTGAGATGGTATCTCATTGTGGTTTTGATTTGTATTTCTCTGATGGCCAGTGATGATGAGCATTTTTTCATGTGTCTGTTGGCTGCATAAATGTCTTCTTTTGAGATGTGTCTGTTCATATCCTTCACCCACTTTTTGATGGGGTTGTTTGATTTTTTTCTTGTAAATTTGTTTAAGTTCTTTGTAGATTCTGGATATTAGCCCTTCGTCAGATGCGTGGATTGCAAAATTTTTCTCCCCAAATGGTGCTTTTTTCAGGCCTGCCCATGGACCAATTAGTATGCACTCCCCGATTCTGAGCCTATAAAACCCTCAGACTCAGCCACACACTGGGACTATCTGCCTTCAGGCTCCCTCTCACACAGACGGCTACCCACCTTGGGTCCCCTCTTGTTTTGAGAGCTTTTCTGTCACTCAAGACAATTCTTCCCAATCTTGCCCACTCTCTGGTGTCTGTATAGCTCATTTCTCTTGGATGCAGGACAAGGACATGGAGCCCACTGAATGGCAGGTGTGAAAAGAGCTGTAGCACTGTAGTCCTCCCACCCTCCACTGGTGCCAGATGGCTGCCCCATGTGACAGGAAGCGGTGACAGCAGAACTTGATCAGCCAAGGAGCCACAGGCCTGGGCAGGGCGGCAGGACCAAACAAGCTGGGACATGACCTGATTCGCCGAAGCTTGCAGATGATGGGAATGAATGAGCTGTAACGCAAATGAGCTGTAATGCTTCCTGAGGGCTCAAAGGAGACTTTGAGCCTAAAGTCCTAGCACTTTAGGAATCCCTGAGGAAAAGGCTGTAACACCCCTTGGGGCTCCGTGGTTGCTGGCATCTTCAAGCTTTCAGGCACTGCTGCATCCCCCTTATCCAGACATTGGCACCCAAGGCAGAAGCCGTTCAAGGCAGCCTGCAGACCAGTTGCAGGCTGAGTGAAGAGCTGGTGGGCATGGGATCCAGGCCAGGAGCACAAGCCGAATACAGCCTGCCAGGACAAGTGGGTGGAGGAAGCCAGGTGGTGAACCCAGAGCTGAGCAAGATCCCTGCATTGCCAGTCACAGAGGTTTCTGGCTGACACAGAGGCACCAAAAGGCTCCTGTGTCATAACCTTTGTGGAGATAAAGATCACCCACATGAGAACAACATTTATTAATCGAGAGCTCGCTCTCTATTGTAAGAGGCAGCCACCACAACAGCTTGTGCTTGGCAGAGACTCAAAGGCAGGCAGAGGAGTAGGAAAGCTTTATGGTAGGAAAAGAGGAGGGTGCATCCTGCTGGGAGCGGGCTGATCTGGGAATGGCTGGAAGCAGACTGACAAGAAGAGGTGCGTTCCACATGATCCATGAGGGTCAGTGTATTTGGCTTCCCCTGTTGACCCTAACTTGGAAGTGGGTGTCAAAAATGAGGGAGGGTCTGGATTCAGTCCTGAGCATTTGGAGCAGATCACTGTGGAGATGTGGATAGGCTCTCCAGGCTGGTGGCTGCTCACGGCCTTCCTGTGCTCACCAGTGAATTGAGACAATTCATTGGCCTGGAAACCCTCTTTATCATCTCTGGTCAACTGAATACCTTTCCTAGACAGAGAAACTTTATTCAGTATTTCTATAACAACTCCTATTGGTAATCATAGTAATAATTACAGTAACGATAAATAGCAATGACAATAATTACTTTTATATACTTATTAATATTTATAAAATTCTTATAATCTATACTTTAATTTACATTTCAGAATTTATATGACATACAGGGCGGGGCACAGTGGCTCACACCTGTATTCCTAGCCCTTTAGGAGGCTGAGGCGGGCAGATCACTTGAGGTCAGGAGTTTGATACCAGCCTGGCCAACATGGCAAAATCCCGCCTCCACTAAAAATACCAACATTAGCTGGGTGTGGTAGCATGTGCCTGTGGTCCCAGCTACTTGAGAGGCTGAGACAGGGGAATCACTTGAACCCAGGAGGCAGAGGTTGTAGTGAGCCGAGACTATGCCACTGAACTCCAGCTTGGGTGACAGAGCAAGACTCTCCCAAAAACAAAAACAAAATTTATATAACATATTTATGTATTATATAATTTATAGATAAATATTTTGTATTTTATATATAGTTTATGTATAATAAAGTTATATATTTATAGTACTTATATAATTATATATGTATTAATTACAATTGTTTATAAATAACAAAAATATTCTCATTACTATAAACCTCGTGAGTCACTCTCACACCTGACTCTGCATCCTGCACCTTCCAGCTGAGGACTCAGTCTCAGTTTTTAACCCTCTAGCTGCCCTTTCGCACCAACCCCGGCCCATTCCCACCCCCATTTCACCAGGCTCAGGTCTGGCCATCTGGGTGACCTTCATGGATTACATAAAAGCAGCCACCAGCTTGTTCCTGGCAAGGGATGCGAAAGTCTGTGTCCACAGAAGCCATCACAGGTGGTGAGGATACCCGGCCTTGGCTCCACTCACGTTGGGTCACATTTCTTGGCCCAAGGCTGGCGGAGAGTGCCCAGCGTGTGCCTGGCCTCCACCTTGGAGCTCCCTGGTTGGAATGGGTTGGAGGGGGCCGACCCCCACAGTCCAGGAGGCCTTGACTTTTTTTTTTTTCCAGAGGGCCCTGGGCCAGGGCCAGCTATGGGTGGGGGACAGTGGTGCCCTGCAAGATTGGACATTCTGAGCCCTGAACACTTCCTCCGTTGCCTCCCATTGGTGGAACCCTTTTGTGGACAGAGAGCTGTACTCAGCGTGTTTATTGCTCTAGCTACGACAACGAATAATCATAACAGCGATAGTTACAATCATGATGAGTGACAGTGACAAAAATAACTTCAGGCCTGGCATAGTGGCCCACACCTATAATCCTAGCACTTTAAGAGGTAGAGGTGGCCAGTTCTCTTGAATCCAGGAGTTGGAGACCAGCCTGGGCAACATGGTGAAACCCTGTCTCTATAAAACATTTTAAAATCAGTCGGGCATAATGGCATGTGCCAGTGGTCCCAGCTACTCAGAAGCTGAGGCAGGAGGATCGCTTAAGCCCAGGAGGCTGCCATGAGCCATGGTCGCGGCACTGCACTCCAGGGTGACTGTTACTCTGGGTGACAGAGCAAGACCCTGTCTCTAAAAAAATAAAAATAACTGTTCACGTTTATTTGTTTTTCACATGGATTTATCATTTATAACCCCTACAATTTATATTTAATGTTATAGAAGACTGTATTACAATTTCTGTGATTTCATATTTACAGATAAATATTTCTAATAACAATAACATTTTTCCCATAAACCTTGGGCCCCACCCCACCTGAGGAATGATTCTCTGTTTTACCCCCGCTGCCAGTCTGGGTCCCCGTGGGCCCCTCTCTAGGTTGGCCCTAGCCTCTCGTCTAAGGTGGCAGCCGGACAACTGGTCTCGACCCAGCAGCTCGAGGCCTTGAGCTAGTCCACTGTCTCAATGGGCTGTCCCTTGGCTACAGTCTAATGGGGACCCCTGGCCTAAGGCAGGCAGGGGCCTATCGATGTGAGTCTTTGGAGGTTGATGGACTGCAGAAGAGAGACCGAGCCTGGCAGACTGCTGGTCAACCCTGAGGATGCAGGGGGCTACCCATCCATCTCTGCTATCCCCACCGCTCCCCAACTTTGTCCCAGCCCAGGGTGCATCCTGGCAGGGTGGCGAGGAGGCGGGGCATTGAGTCGGGTTGCCAGGAGGGTACCTGATCACTGCCGCCCCACAGTGTGGCTCCGGGTCCGAAGTCCTAGGGATCGAGAGGGATGGATGCATAGATGCTTGGAGCCTCCATATGGGTGGACAAACCCTGGTGTCCAGGACTGACTTTCAATGGATTGCAGCGAGGGAGCTGTTCTGCTGCTTAGGAAACCCAGAGGCAGGTCTTACTAGCATCATTTTCCCCAGGAACCTGCATTTGGTGACGAGTGAGGGGCAGGTGTCTCTTTCTGGCAGTTCCCCTTTTCCCAGGAGGGACTCTACATCCAGATGGACCTAAGCGTAGGAGGAGGATGCTGTGCACGCAGGGTGCACCCCGCTGCCAGGTGAGGGGAATGTCTGGGACGAGATATCCAAGGTCAGTCAAGCCTCCTATGCACCGCTGTATCTTCTGCCTGCCTTAAGGTCATCCCGATGGTAGCTTTGCCTCATTCGTTACTCAGACAAGCAGACACCAAAAGCCTGAGCCTGCAGTTCCTTTGTTAGGGAGCAGGATTGCCATGGCAACAGTACATCTCCTGTAGGAGTCTAAATGTTACAGTGGTCCAAACCCAGCTCAAATGTTCCCTGTCACAGGGACTGGGAGCAAGAGTTGATTCCCTGAATGGATTTCAAAAAGCCAGCTCTTGGGTTCTTGAGAAAACAGCTCTGGGGGGTCACTTTGCATCTCAAAGGGCAAAGGATGTGTAATTGCAACCTTTTTAAAGTAACTATTCTAAGCGAGAGTCCAGGGGCCTATCTGCCTATCACCTGGTTTGGTCTGGAATAAATTTTGGTAGCATGGAGCTTTCTCAGGCAGGCATTTTAAGCGGGACTGGGGTCATGGCCTTAAGCTGCTGGTAGCCAAGCTAGAGTTTGGTCAGGTCTCTTAGTGCAGCGATTTGGATGGAGCCATTATGTGCTGAGAGGTCTGCAGTTTTCTCCCAGCTCCTTCTTTTTCTGCAAATTCAGTCTGAGTTTCCATTTTATTCTGTGGCCCTTTCCCTGCAGCCTCTTCACAGAGAAGTGGCACCACTGAATTTTAAAAAAGATGGTTAATCCTCTTTTAGCTAGTACCTACATTTTGGGGTATTAGAAAGTCTTGTTGTGATGTGCACTGCTCCTGAAACACTGAGCTGAGGAAGCTGTTCGTGATGGTTAATATTAGGTGTCAACTTGATTGCATTGAAGGATGCCTAGATAGCTGGTATTGTTTCTGGGTGTGTCTGTGAGGCTTTTGCCAGAGGAGATTAACATTTGAGTCAATGGATCGGGAGAGAAAGACCCACCCTCAAGCTGGGTAGACACCAGCGAGGGTAGAACAAAGTAGGCGGAAGGTGGGATAAGCTGACTTGCTGAGTCTTCTGGCTTTCATCTTTCTCCCGTGCTGGATGCTTCCTGCCTTTGGACATCAGACTCCAGGTTCTTTGGCCTTTGGACTCTTGGACTTACACCAGTGGTTGGTCATGGGCTCTCGGGCCTTTGGCCACAGACTGAAGGATGCACTGTTGGCCTCCCTGCTTTTGAGGCTTTTGGACTTGGACTGAGCCACTGTGGGCTTCCTTCTTCCTTGGCTCGCAGACGGCCTGCTGTGGAGCTTCACCTTCTGATCATGTCAGCTAATTCTCCTTAACAAACTCCCTTTCATATATACATCTATCCAATAGTTCGGTCCCTCTGAAGAACCCTAATAGTGTTAGAAAACCTAAAGGTGAGAGTGTTTAATTTGGGAGCTTTTAGGTGGCAGCACATCCCATCACTAAAAAAAGGATAGCTTATATATTTGTAATAAACTCATATTACACTAATAAACACTGCAAAACAAGCTAGTTGATATTTTTGAGATCAGATGTCTCTTATTTAAACCATCTTATTGATTTTAATATAGCTATAAAAAGGATCTTTATTTAGAAAAGATTTCTAAGACCTTTTATGCAGAGTAACTGCAAAACTTCTTAGCTCTTTCATTCTTAAATACTCCCTTGAAACAAATTTTATTGATGTTTGTCTTCTGTATAATTTCATGAAGAGCAAAAGGAAAATAAAATTAGCCTAATTAAAAAAAAAAATTAGCCTAATAGCTAATGTTGGCCAGCACTAACTACACTCAAGGCCCTCTCCCAAGCATTTCACGTGGAGCAACATTTCATCCTCCCAATAACCAGCAAGGGGAGGACCACTCAGCTCCGTTTTCAGACAAAGAGCTTGAGGCACACAGAAGTTACCTTGTCCACGGTCACATAGCAAGTAAGGGCAGGGCAAAGCCAGGATGCAAAGCCACACAAGGCCACCTGGCTCCAAAGCCCCTGGGTAGAAACCACTGGGCCACCCTGGCACAGCAGCAGGGACTTCCTGGAGCCAGACAGCAATGGGGAGGCTGCTCTGCCACACCTTGCCTCTCACCTCCACTTCCTGTCCTGGGCTTTTCAGCAGCCCTGAGCACCTCTCCTTCAGGGGACCATCAGTGGGAGAGGTCAGGCTCAAATTCATTTTTACATAAATGTTTTTGGTGTTAAAACTTCCCGAATGAGGCCAGGTATGGTGGCTCATGCCTGTTATACCAACACTTTGGGAGGCTGAGGTGGGATTGCTGGAGGCCAGATGTTTGAGACCCACCTGAGTAACATAGTGAGACCCTGTCTCTACATAAAATTAAAAAAAAATAGCTGAGCATGGTGGTGTATACTTGTAGTCCCAGCTACTTGGGAGGTTGGAGGCAGGAGGATTGCTTGAGGCCAGGAGTTTGAGGCTGCAGTGAGTTATGATCGTGCCACTGCACTCTAACCTGGGTGTAGAGTGAGACCTTGTTTCTAAAAAAGAGATCACCTGAATGAAAACGTCTAATATTATGTTGATATGCAATACCGACCAAAGCCTAACTATGGAAAATAAAATCTTAAGGTCATGGAAGACATATGTCTTTTAAGTAAGTATCTATATTAGTAAAATTCATTACTCAATTCAATTATGCTGGATTTTCCCCCTTGCTATATGCTTAGAAAAGAAGAAAAATGCACCCCTGTTCAAAAACTCATAAGAATTAAATTTTTAAAAACTTCAAATTTTAGGATGATTTTTATTTACAAAACAGATTGGTACTTTTGTTTTACAAAAATTACAAAAAATGACTCTTAAAAATAGAAATAGCTTCTCAGACTCTTGGGAACTACTTTTAAGCAACCAAGGAGTTAGAACTCAGATGGTTTTCTTCTTTGTAACAGCAACAATGACCACGGCTCTGTGCCATGGCAATCACTGCTGAGTGTCTTCTCCTACAATTACACAGGCCCGAGCTGTGTCTGGTGGAAAGGTCTCCACTCAGGTCAGAGTCTGAAGGAGCAAGATCTTCTCATTAATGCAGAACCTGTGCAGAACCACCATCAGATTCTCTCCACAGCGGGAGACCTGGCGCTCCATGGCCAGGCGAAAGTCCTCCTTCACGCCTTTGGTGATGCCTCGAGTTACAGTGTGGTGCCTGAGGTCAGCAATAGGGAAACAGACAAAGACCAGGGGTTAGCACCAGCATCGCTGATCGCTGCTACTTGGGTAGGAATAAAGCCTGCCCCATATCTAAGTATAATTTCAGATATTTTAAAAAGAACACAAGAATAGCTGCAACCAACCAAACATTCCAGCCCATTTCTCTTCAGAAAGACTTAAAACTAGACAGACATCTTTCTCACTCTATAAAAGGTTACTTCAAACATTTAATTGTTCAGTAAAATGCCACCTGCTTTGCCTTTGAATCAATGAAGCTCTGGTGTTATGCATCCCTACTGCTGACTGGTACACAATTCAGTTACTTAGGGCCAAATGGGTCCAGTCCACACTGGCTACAAAGAGCTCATGTCCAGCCCGGCCAGCAGACCCTCCAGAGGCAGCAGCAAGGAGGGAGGAGACCTGAATGAGCCAATCACCCAAGTGAGCTCCCACCATGGCCCCCGCAGCTGGTGCTCCCAGAAAGGTTCAGGGCTCCTGCACAGCCGGGGTCACAAGCACGTCTCTCTCCCCAGGACACCAGAATAGGGCAGCTCCTCTAAATGCTGTGCCCATCTAGACTCTCATATGTTGAAGAAAACGCAGCGGGAGGTGGGGTCCTGACACAAGAATGTGGCACAGGTCAGGAGAGAGAGGCAGAATCTCTGAGGGGCAGAGGGAGTGGACTGCGTGGTCCTGCGCTGTCTGGGCACTCAGGGGAGACCTGCACATGTGTGGAAGGGGTGGTGGGGACACAGGGAAAAATGTCTCTTAACTACACCCCAAAGGTTGTGCTTTAGAAAAAGAAATCACACATGAAATCCCAGGAAACGGAAGAAACAAAATGAAGAAACGAAAAGAAAAATCTAGCAAAAATCAGTCAGCTCAGTTAAGAGGAAGGGAGTTTTACCTACTAGTTCAGCAATTTGGTAGACTTAGACAAATAAAAGTCACCTCTGTTTCCCACCCTGATGCCTAATTTCCCTCACACAAAGTTATAAGGATTGAAAATGAAGATTTTTTTATGTTCTGGGCAAGATAAAAGTGTTAAAATTACTCTAAAATGTTTCTGTTTTTAAAAACTTGTATTAATGATCATATCAAATAAGGACAACAGGAGTCACCAAATTGTAAAACAACAGATGAAAAGAAAAAAAAAATCCAGCTTTGTTAGATAAGTAAAGCTATCACAGAACCTTCTAATGCCCATGGATGTTTTAAAGAACTACAGGGGAAAACAGCAGGGCCGTGGGGTAAATGCACACTTCTTTGTGACTATCTCTCGTCAAATCTGGATGGGTAGCTCAGTAGTTAGGACATAGCATCGGTGAGGTCCCGCTAGGATAGATGCAAACCATTTATGCTGCCCTGAGATACTGCTCTTCTGGGTCCCAGGCTGCAGCCTCAAACTGGAGCTGACCCTCTGACCAAGCGGAGGTTACTGGCACTTGCAGACAGTTAGCTAAAGGGCAAACCCTCCTTTTTTTTTCTTTCTTTCTTTCTTTTTTTTTTTTTGAGATGGCATCTTGCTATCTTGCTGTGTCACCCAGGCTGAAGTGCAGTGGCAATGATCTCAGCTCACTGCCACCTCTGCCTCCTGGGTTCAAGCAATTCTTGTGCCTCAGCCTCCCGAGTAGCTGGGATTACAGGCATATGCCACCAGGCCTGGCTAATAAACCCTGCTTTTAATACCACTAAAAATATAACTAAATGCTACATCCTGCAGATCAGGGTCCAATTTGTATTATCTCCATATATAAAGAGTGGCACAATTCAATTATATTTCTATTAGAAGCACTATCACTTTGGTAAGTTTGGATGAAAAAGAGAATTAGTAAGCTTTTGTGGTTTAAGAACAGGATAAACCAGCTAATAAATGTGGCATTTTAGCCTATCAAATATTTTCAATTCAGAAAGGTAAGGTCTGAAAAAACATCAGTAGCAGGAAAAAAAACACATTAGTGCCTATTTAGATACCAGGCAACTAATTGCTAATATGACCATAATGACTGGTCACTCATATGAGTATCCACAAATAAAAATGTACTTAAAATAAACGTCAGCATCCTTAAATATATATGACCGAAAGCCTTAACGTTTTATCAAAAGAGAATCATGGTGCACCTAAGCTAATGTGCACTTAATTGAATACAGATTTATATAGCTTTCATTGTTTTTTCCAGATCCATAATGATTTTTAAATCGAACACAAACACACTGGCAACTTATGGAAAAAAAATAAGAAATGTTACAATATTACAACCAGATGGTTTGCCAAAATGCGGAACAAATTAAAAAAGAAAGAAAGCATGAAAAAGAGCACTGAGGAACGAAGAGCTGAGAACCATGGGCAGCGAACATGTTGACAAACAGCACACTATGAGCGGGCGTTGATTCCACTTGGTACCTGTCAGCAGTCTGTATGCTGGGCTGAAGCACAGGTAAGAATTCCTGCTGCAGTAACCCCATGGGAGGGCTAGAAGGCCTTTAAAAAACAGCAAACAGCAGCATTCAAACACCCACACCGACTCACCCTGCACTGCAAAAACAACACTCCAGAGAAAATACACAAGACTAGAAGCAGACTAAACAGAAACTCATTAACCTCAACAAGCCCCTGGCCGTGGCTGGGTGTTTAAGGAGACTGGGGAGAAGCTAGCCAGCCCTCACTGCACCCGCTGCTGCTGGTGCGTGTCCAGAGGCGTCTCAGTTCCTGGTCCCAGAGCTCAGCCCCCTTTTGAGGTGGTATAAAAAGCGACCAGTGAGGAAGAGGATGATGGAATGCAGCTGAATGGCAATAGGGAGTAGGGGCAGCCTTTGAGAAGACACATTTTCAAAGCCAGCCTCTTTACTTTCCACTCTTCTCACGGTACACCAGTCCCAGCATTCAACCTGGTGATGTCTGGTAACCATCTTTAACAGGACTGAAGCCCCACCGGAGAGGCCCTTCCAAGAGGACTAAATGGTCTGGCAATGTTTTTGATTTAAAAAAAGGGTGAGTTTCAATTTCAAAAACGTATTGAGAACAGATGGGGGAAAATAAGAGTCCGGGACCCATGGCTGTGCAGAATTCTGTAACAACAAAGATTTAGTGTATTAGCTGGTGATCACCTCATAGAACATTATTATCCACCCTATTCAGAGTATAAGTAGGACATTGTTTTCCATTTTAATCCACTCTAATACAACTAAGATACTGCATTTATCAGCACAGAAACATTTCTCTATTTTAAAATACTTAAGAGCAAAAGGTCTGTATAACAGATTAAGAGCTTCTCCCTCCTTTGAGTGAAGCACCGGGTGCCCTCAGTGTTGGTACTGTACCTGCTTGCATCCCAGATGCCACAGCTAGGGCAGACTCACAGCCTTACCCCCGGGGAGAAGTGTACACTGCTCACAACATCTCTGCCACTCATCTGGAGGGACCACCCAAAAGGTCTGTAATGGCTTCAGAAAACTTGTTTGGAACCCAAAGGGAAAAGGAATTCAGATTGTTTAATAAAGATTCCAACCATTCCTCAGTTAGGAAGAGCTCTCTGGCTTAAGCAGTGTGCTTTCTACCATGTTAATTTAGGCATAAGTAATTAACCTTGAGATTCACACAGTGAAGACTGGGCAAATCCCTACGAGGTCAGATCACTAAGGAATAATCCCTATTCCTGCTTCCAAACTGATGAAACTGCAGCCTTCCTAAGAGGCTTGTCTTCTATAGAAAGTTAGAAGAAATTAAGGGTTGTATTGATCAAGGTGGGAGACCCTGGAGTTCTCCCTCACTAGTTAGAAGTGCATGATGGGTATCCTTTACACAAACAACTCCAAACACTCTTCCCTGTGATACTAGCTGGTACCCAACACTCCCCTTGCTCTCATTCCTCATCCTAGGGTTTGTCCACTTGGACTTATGTCACTCTTCAGCTCAGTAAAAACTGGTAGAAGAAGAAAGGTTCAGTACAATGAAGTCTGAGGTTCAACTGTTGATTTTTTGACAATCCATCTCTCACACCTGCACTAACAGTTAGGCATTATCTAGGTAAAGTGATAATCATCTGCAGGTTTAATCCTATGTACACAGACTTCGGTTCCACTATGGCTGTCTCTATATTAACTCGTATAGTGACTGCTGATGGGAATTAACTAAAAAGCTTGATTCAGGGTGTATTTGTATATCCAGTTTCAAAGTCTAGAAAACAAATCACAATACAAAAGGGGTTACCTGGGCTTCCGTATCCAAAGGTAATCTTTATCCCCAAACACTGTTAAGAATATTTTGAACAACATAGTTATTCTTCCCAAAGTTTCGATTCACGATCTTAGAAAAGTAAATGGGGATTGGAAGATGCCAGTCCTTGTCCATCCTGCTTAAGCAAACCAATGCAGAAAGGTCTCGTGTATTTTTAAAAAGAGCACTGTTCTTTTATTTTAAAAGTTTATAATTTAATAACACTTATAAGATGAAGGAGAAAAAACCACTTAATCTTTCCATTCTTGAGAATGGAGTCCACAAGACCCTATTCTTGCTAGACACAAAAAGAAATGTTTGCTACCAGCAAACTACTGAGGTTACAGAAATCTAAAATGAACATTTCTTACTTCTTTCCCTAGGCACTTCTAAGACTATCAAGATAGAACAAGATGTGGATTTTTGCTTTCAACCACTGAAAACTAGTTTATTCCACAACTGAGGGAAAAAGAAAAATGTTTTTAGTTTTAGCAGTACTTTCTTCTCATTCAGGATTCAGTCTCTTGCAGAAACTCTAACACTGACTTACAGACACACTGAATGTGCAGGAAGCAAAGGAGGAAGTATGAAAATAAAACTACACGTGGCATTTACAGCAGAGAGGATATATTACCCAAACTACAATGAGGATTGAAGGAGAGAAGCAAGATTTATGAGCTATTTAAAAATCATAAATGGTCACTAATTTGGCATTTTCATCTGGGCCAACCCGGAATTTTAGTAACATCTTGTGAGTTCAGGGGAGCATGGTGGAGACCAACCACTCCCACCATCATTTCTTGGGACAGGTGTGTTCTTAGAGGCACTATACCTGGCTATTAATACTTCGTTGTTATGTAAGTCATGAGGACTGCATAGGAGGGCTTCATAGGTAGTTTATAAATAAAAAGTCTGTAGTTTTTCCTAAAGAATTTTTCTAACCCAGCACAATTTTAATTAAGCACAGCTGTTTTGTTTGTTTGTTTTTTTTTTTGAGATGGAGTTTCACTCTTGTTGCCCAGGCTGGAGTGTAATGGCGCGACCTCGGCTCACTGCAACCTCCACCTCCTGGGTTCAAGCGGTTCTCCTGCCTCAGCCTCCCAAGTAGCTGGGATTACAGGTGCCCACTATCATGCCCACATAATTTTTTTTTTTTTTTTGTATTTTTAGTAGAGACGGGGTTTCACCATGTTGGCCAGGCTGGTCCTGAATTCCTGGCCTTAGGTGATCTGTCCTCCTTGGCCTCCCAAAGTGTTGAGATTACAGGCGTGAGCCACCATGCCTGGCCACACAACTGTTCTTAATTAAAGGCACTCTGTGACTAATCAGAAACTTATAGACTCACCCTATAAATTTTTGAAAGTAAAAGATATCATGAATGAGACTTTTGTCTAGTGAAAAAGTTGCAAATGTGACAAAAATACCCCAATTTAAGCAAAGTGTTTTAAGAAATGTAGTTAAGGAAATGCAAGTTTTTCAAAAGGTACCCAGAATCAAACTATCATAACAGAGACCAGGTTTAAAGTCCTTTGTATTAAATTTTTGATAGGTATAGACATTTACAAATACTTCATACAAAGACACAAAAGGTGAGCACTCAGCATGGAAGAGCAAAAGAGAACATGCTTACTTGATCAGCATTCCTTGATTGGGTAGTAATTCCAGATGAATTTTCCCACCTTCCTGAGTTCTCAAGTAGGCAAATTCCTCCAGCATATCAATATCTGCAGGCCAGATTCAGGTTAACCACATGTAAAAAAAGGTGCTAGTTTTCTCTGATGAGGAAATGGGGTCTCGGCAGTTGAGTAACTTGCCCATTGCCATCCCACTAAAAAAGGTGCCAGTTCTCTCTGATAAGGAAATGGGGTCTTGGCAGTTGAGTAACTTGCCCATTGCTACCCCACTAACTGCAGACTCCATATTTGAACCCAGATCTGTCTGATGCCAAAACCTGATTCTTATACCCACTAAACTCCCTCGCACAGATAACTCTTGGCATGAGATGTGCCAGGCTAAAGAGCATGAGGACAACATGTTTTCCATATCGATAATAATTAATACTACATGGTCACAAGAGCAAAATTTTTTTGTTTTCTTAATAAGAAATGAAAGAGGAGGTGAAAGTAGGGAGGATTCTTTGGTGTTACAGAACATAAAATTCATAAAAATCAAGTGATTACTTCTTCATAACTGGGGTGCAAGGGTTTATAGATGCATCAGAGGAGGAAGCTTCTGTGAGTCACCCAAATTTTATGCAATATGTCGATGACATTCATGTATGCATTTTTCTAGTGAAAAATTATGTAACTTTCATTAGATTCTCAAAAGATATCTGTCCCAAACCATGGTTAAAAACTATTACTTTGGCCTGGTATGGTAGTGCACACCTGTGGTCCTAGCTACTCAGAAGGCTGAGGTAGGAGGGTCTCTTGAGCCCAGGAGTTTAAGACTGCAGTGAGCTATGATCACACCACTACACTCCAGCCTGGGTGACACAGCAAGACCCCAACTCTAAAAAAAAACAAAATAAAAATAAAAACTATTGCTCTGAGCACCTGAACAAGAATATCATTTATATTCCTTGCAATTCAGAAATAATGTAATAAGATAAACAATGAAGTAAAAACACCCAAATTGATAACTAACCTTTAATTCAAAGGTCTTTCCCTAATAAGCAGTGTGAAATACAGCATTACCTAATGTCAGAAGCAGCTACTGTGCTGTGCAGCATCTCTGGTGGGTACTCATTGGTAGGTAAGACAGCTATGGCAGGGTGCCCTAACAAGTGATTGCAGGGCACAGCCACTGTCCCCAGAGGCTACAGGAGGCATTCTTTTGACAGATGGAAGAAGAGGAACTATTAGTATTATATTCCTTGACTAAACCGGGCAAGCTGGACCTATCAGCAACCTGTAGGCTATTACTGGAGGCATTTTGCGTACCTTCTTAGAAGTCACCTAGCAGTGGAAAATGGAAGAGGGTTGTAAGATTCCCAATTCCTTGAATCATGTCTTTCACGACTTTCAGAAGATCAACTGCCACAGCCCCAGTTTTAATCCCCATTCCTTCTCTTCGCTGCAAAATAGTAAAAATCATTATTTCTATCCAGAATGGTTCATTCTTTTTCTATCATGTATTCATTCTAAAGAAAATCAGAATGTGTTATGCTTAAACAAGAAAAAAGGATACTTGTAACGTAATTGAAAAAATTCTCATATTGGAAATTTCCTTGTTGGCAAATTTTATTGACAGCTTTCAGGAAAAGATTCTCGCCCCGTGGCCACTCTTGCTGAAGCAACACAATCACATGCCCCAATGCCATGTCGTCTCTGTTGTCTGTGAAAGCTCTAAGCTGCAAGACAAAGATTTATACAAGACAGAAGGAAAAGGAAGTCACAGGGTAATCTGAAATACAGCAAACATCACTTTCCAAAAATATGCTGTATATGCAAATGTGTGATAAACGTCATTAGAGTAAGAAGGAAACAAAGGCACAACGAAATGGCTGGTAAACATCACAGCTGCCTTCTAAGGAGGGTGGATTCTAACCAAAGAAGCCTCAGGCTCCCTCTGCACAGCTGCTGGCAGTGTGTAGATGGCAGTTGGACATGGGTGGGCCTGAAGCTTTTGCATATGAGAATCAGGGGCAGAGAACTCTGATTCATCCTGTGTAATGGAGAAATAAATCTGAAGATTTCTTTGAAAGGGAGCAGATGGGAGTAGGTGGGCAAGAGGCCATCCAGGAGAGAACTGTTTGTAGAGAACATGGGATTGCAGAGAAGGAAAGGTGGTGAGCCACAAGGAAATAAGCAGAAGTGTGAACTAAAGAAATGGTCAAAACAGTTTTTGTTTCAAATGAGCGGTTATGCATAAAATCACACTTTAAATTGTTTTTGTTGCCCTAAAAAAGTGATATGGATGATGAGTTAAGTGGGAGTTACTGCACTGAAGTGGAGACCCAATGTTTTACTCTCTGGCCAACAAACCTTCCAGAAACAATGAAGCCTCCCTGCTCTAAGGCTCTGCTCTACCTGTAGCCAAGGGCCTTGGCGTTCTTTCAAGTCCCGGAACTTTCCCAACTGTTGGGCTGTTACTGGTGTTGATCTCAACACCTAACATGCTTAATCTAGCACATCTTTACAATGACAAACTCATCATCCCTCCATGAACCTAACCGCAATTTGTATTCCCTTTCTTTGTAGCTAATATATTTATATTGATAAAATATTTACCAAACACTACAACAGTCAAGGTTATTTGCATATCTGTCCCACTATTACACTTTTTGAGGACGGGGAGAACTTCCTACTTCTCTTTGCCTAGCGCAGTCATTATTTAATATAGATTTGTTAATTAGTAGCCCATGTGCTTTTCTAACTGTTTGGGCCTGCCCTCAAAAGTACTAAAATAACAATCCTTAGCAAGGTTCTCAAGTTCTCGAGTCATGAGAATAATATTTGAAATTACATTTTTTTTCAAGCTAATCAACTTTAAGCTTACCTTAAAACAGGCTAACATTAAATGGAGGCAGTATGGCATGATAGCCTTGCTGGTACAAGGCAGGAGCTTCAGATCCGAACCTAACAGAAGTCCACAATGTTAGGTTAATGTATGTTATTATCAAAGATAACAGCTTTGAAAGGCAACTGTTTAAGATGCTTTCATTAACAACAACAAAAAAGAGAATATGCAACAGTCACACAATTTCAATTATATTTGAAACACAATTATACTTTGTGATGGTGAAATTGGCTTTTGATGGTCTCTAGATTTCATTTATCAATATTCTTTCCTAAACTTGCTTAAATACTTTTTATGAGAAAACATTTCAAATATACACAAAGTTATATAGAGAGAATATAACACTGGTGTGCTCACCACTCAGCTTCATGAAATGTTAATATCTTAATTTTAAACATTTCTAATATCAATAATCACAAAATCAGTTAAAGCCTATTGTGTATCCTTCTCTGATCCCATTCTCTTCCATCGCAGAGGTCGCCATAATTCTGAAGGCAGTGGTTGTCATTCCTATGACTGTTACACACGTAAACAACAATGGATTGTTCTGCATGCTTTCAGTCTACTATATAAATGGTGTCATTTTGTATGTATCCTTCTGCAAATTGCTTTTTTTACTCAACTTCATGTGGTTCAGATTTATCAACTGGTCAATATCAATACACATAGCTCTAGTTCATTCATTTTCAGTGTTATATAGTATTCTGTTGTCTGCATTCCTTTTACAGAGGATATTGACATTTCCAATTTTTCACTATTACAATGATAAATATACATTCTTACATATTCTTGTACATTTGTGGAAATAACTTTAAGCAATAGCTTTCAAAGCAAAATCCCAATCTTTCCTTTCTGGTCTGTGTTCTTTATGTCTGTTATCTTTCTCTACTCAGAGGCAAGATAGCAAGAAATAAATATTTTTCACATGGGATCCTGTACACACATACTTACATAATGTGATAGATCCAAAACAAAAGGTGCATGGAATAACAGTCTCTCTTCTTGTCTGAGATGTCGTCTTAAAATATTATTGAATTCTATCTCATTAAAAAAGAAAATTTCTGGTTGAAACTCATGACCCTGTAAATGAAAACTCACAGCTTGAAAAACACTCATCTAAGGTATACAACTAGGACGCGAGGTACATTTAATAATTAGGTAATGACATGTTCAACTTGGTCATGGGAAGTTGGTTTCCAGAATGGTTGCATGACTTTATACACCTTCCAGAAGCACGTGGCACTGTGTTCCTTCACATCCTCTTCAATTTTTGCATTCTGATGTGTGTGAAATGGTAGTTTATTGTTTTATTCTGAATTGCCCATATGACAAAAGGTTGAGAATCTTTCCAAATAGTTTTTGGCCATTTGGATTTCTGCTCCTGTGAATCTGTTCTTCCTGTCCTTTGCCTATTTTTCTATGGGGATTGGATAATTGCTTCCTATTGGTCTGAAGGAGCTCTTTCAAAACTCTAGATACTAAGTTTTTGTTGATTTTGTGTGATAGACAATTTTCTGGCAGCCTATGCCTTATCTTTTCACTTTGATTGTAACAGCCTTTGTTGGTATTTTAATTTTAATGTGATCAAATTTACTAATCTTTCTATTTTTAAATTTTCTTCTAAAAGTTTGGAAGTTTTGGAGTTTTTGCTGTCACATTTCAACCTTAAAATTTAAAGGATGTCTATGTAGTGTGAAGGAGGGGATCTCATTTTTTTATTGTCGTTTTTTACATTTGGATAATAAATTGTTCTAGTACCACTTATTGAATAAATTCATTCTTCCCCCACTGAATTTTAATGTCATCTATTTCTCAGTTTTCTATGCTGTTCCACTGGTCAACCCCTGTGCCAATACTACCCTGTCTTAAATTACTAAAGCTTTAAAATAAGTCTTGAAGTCAGCTAGGTCAGTCCTATCCACCTAATCAGTTTCTGGAAGGTATATAAAGTCATGCAGCCACTCTGGAAACTAACTTAGCATTACCAAGTTGAACATGTCATTACCTAATTATATGCCTTGCCTCCTAGTTGTACACCTTAGATTAGTGTTTCTCAAGCTGTGAGTCTTCATCTACAGGGTCATGAGTTTCAACCAGAAACTTTCTGTTCTGCAGAAATACTTAATTTTTGAAGAAGTCTGGGCTAGATTTTTTTTTTTGACCATTTGTTATAGAAAACTTCAAACATATACAACGTAATCTGCTCCAGCACCATTGGTTGAAAAGTCTTTCCTTTCCTTATTGAATTACTTTGATGCCTTCATCGAAAATCATTTGATCAAATCTATGCAGGTCTATTTCTGGATTCTCCATTCTTATGTCGATATTTTGTCAACTCTGTCTTGATTATTATGCTTGTATATTAAGTCTTGTTATTATGTAGTATAAGTCACTTAATTGTGTCTTTTTAAAACCTGTTTTGACTATTCTAGATTATGTAATATTTCCACTTACATTTTAGAATCACTTTGTGAACTTCTAGCAAAAAACCACCAAAAACCGTAAAGTCTGCTGTAATTTTGCTTGAAATTGCATTGAATCTACAGATACACGTGGGGAGAACTGGCACCATAATAATATTGAATCTTCTGATATAGAAACATGATCTGTCCATTTTCAAAAATCTTTAATTTTTCTCAGAAATGTTTTCTGATATTCAAAGTGGAGGTTTTGCATATCTTTCATTAAATTTACCTCTAAGTATTTTATGTTTTTTTGATGCTATTAGAAATAGTATCTTAAAAAATTCATTTTCTAATTGCTTATTAATAGCATACAAATTGAATTGATTTTTTATACACTAAAACGTCTTGGAATTTTTTTTTTTTTTTTTTTTTTTTTTTTGAGACAAGGTCTCACTCTGTCGCCTAGGCTGGAGTGCAGTGGTGCAATCTTGGCTCAATGAAACCTCCACCTCCCAGATTCAAGTGATTCTCCCACCTCAACCTCCTGAGTAGCTGGGATTAAAGGTGTGTGCCACTATACCTGGCTTATTTTTGTACTGTTAGTAGAGATGGGGTTTCACCATGTTGGCCAGGCTTGTCTCAAACTCCTGGCCTCAAGTGATCCACCTGCCTCGGCCTCCCAAAGTGTTGGGATTAGAGGTGTGAGCCACTGCGCCCAGCCTTGGGGATTTGTGGAGATTCCCTCAAGTTTTCTACATAGCCAAATATGTAACTGTGTTGGGTTTTTTGTTTTTGTTTTTTGAGACAGGGAAATCTTTCTCTGTCACCCAGGCTGGAGTGCAGTGACACAATCATAGCTCACCACAGCTTTGACCTCCTGGGCTCAAGCGATCCTCCTGCCTCAGCCTCTAGATAGCTGGAACTACAGGTGCACACCACTAAGCCTGACTGATTTTTAAATTTTTTGTAGAGACGGGATCTCACTTTGTTGCCCATGCTGGTTTGGGCTCCTGGGCTCAAGCAATCCACCTGCATCAGCCTCTCAAAGTGCGGGGATTACAGGCATAAGCCACCATGCCTGGCCAAATATGTAACTGTGAATAAAGGTACTCATATTTGTCAGATCTTTATGCCTTTATTCACTTTTCTTGCCTGCTGTACTGCCTAGAATCTCCAGATTATTGAACAGAAGTGGTGAGGGCAGACATCCTTGTATTGTTTCTAATCTTAGTGGGGGAAAGCATTCAATACTTCATAGTTAAGTTTGATGTTAAAAAATAGTTTCCTTCTATTCCTAGTTTGCTAAGATTTTTGTTATCATGAACTGATATTGAATTCTGTATGCATCTACTAAGACAGTCATGATTTTTCTCCTTCTGTCTGCTAATGGAGTGAATTACACTGATTTTTGTTTGTTTGGTTTTTTTTTTGAAACGGAGTCTCACTCTGTCGCCCAGGCTGGAGTGTAGTGGCGCAATCTCAGCTTACTGCAACCTCCGCCTCCCGGGTTCAAGCGATTCCCCTGCCTCAGCCTCCCGAGTAGCTGGGATTACAGGTGCCTGCCACCAGGCCTGGCTAATTTTTTGTATTTCTTAGTAGAGATGGAGTTTCACCATATTAGCAAGGATGGTCTCTATCTCCTGACCTCGTGATCCTCCTGCCTCGGCCTCCCAAAGTGCTGCAATTACAGGCATGAGCCACCATGCCTGGCCACTGATTTTTGTATGTTCAAACGCCTATGCATTCCTGGTATACCTGGTCATAATATATTGTCCTTCTATATTGCTGTATTCAATTTGCTAATATTTTGTTAAGGATTTGACACCTATTATAATTCATGATGGATACTGGCCTTTAAAGTTCTTTTCTTGTGATACTCTTGTTTGGTTTTACTATCAGGGTTATTGTGTCAGCCTTTAAAAATGAATTGGGACTCTTCCTCTATTTTCTGATAAGAGTTTGTGTAGAATTGGCACTATTTCTTCCTAAATTCTTGATAGAATTCACCAGTAAAGCCATTTGAACCTGAATTCTTTGTGGAAGGTTTTTGATAACAAATTTAATTTCCTTAATAGCTAAGGGAACATTCTGATTTATTTATTTTCTTTCTTTCTTTCTTTCTTGAACATTCTGATTTCTTTTCTTTCTTTTTGAGTCTGGTTGTGTTGACCAGGCTAGAGTGCAGTGGTGTGATCTCGGCTCACTGCAACCTCTGCCTCTCAGGTTCAAATGCTTCTCCCACCTCAGCCTCCTGAGTAGCTGAGACTACAGGTGTGTACCACCACACCCGGGTAATTTTTATATTTTTAGTAGAGATGGGGTTTCACCATGTTGCCCACACTGGTCTCGAACTTCTAGGCTCAAACGATCTGCCATCCTTGGCTTCCCAAAATGCTGGGATTACAGGCATGAGCTACTGTTCCTGGCAGAACATTCTGATTTTCTGTTTATTTTTTGTGTCAATTTTGGTAAATTGTGTTTAAGAAACTTTTTCATTTCATCTAAGTTGTTAAATTTATTGGCATAAAGTTTTTCATAATGTATTCCTTTACTGTCCTTTTGATTTCAGTAGGATTTGTAGTGACACTCCCTTTTTCATTTCTGATACTGGTAATTTATGTTCACCTTCCTCCTTATCGATCTTGTTAGGGGGTTATCAATTTTATAATATTTTTCAAAAAAAAAACTTCCAGTTTTATTAATGTTCTCTATTTTGTTTTCTATTTCATTGACTTCTGCTCTTAGCATTATTCTTTCCTGTCATCTATTTTCTTCAAGTTTAATTTATGTATCTTTTTCTAACAAACTCAGATCAGCTGTACATTTCATTTTTCAAGCAACACGAAGCTTGAGCTGAAGCTCAGAATGGTTTCAGAGGGATGTGCTGACAGATACCTCCTAATTAATCATCTACACATTTTTCTAGAATTGTAAAGACAGGAAAAAGAGTTCACTGAAATTTGTCAAAGAGATAACACACTCAGGAAGTGAAGAGAGCTTTGGAAGAAAGACATTTACAGCTGCTCATGAAATCAGAGCCAAGGAAAAACTTGGAAAGGGATTAACTTTTTATACAATTTGGCAAGCCCTGCAGCAGTATTATCTCATTAGGAACTGTAAAACATTGTTCAGCCTTGGGTCCTAAAACTATTTTTCTTTTCTTTTTAAAATTTTTTAAGAGATGGGGTCTCACTACATTGCCCAGGCTGGTCTCAAACTCCTGGGCTCAAAAGCTATCCTCCCGCCTCGACTTCCGAGTAGCTGAGATTACAAGTGTGAGCCACCGTGCCTGGCTTTCTAAAGCTATTTTTACAAAATAGTCATAAAACATGTCACTGTACCTTTTCTAAATTTGGGCTTTACTTTCGAGGGTTCCTCCTGGGATTTGCCTCCATCTTGAATGGGGAGTACCATGTAGCACATCAAATCAAGGACTTTTTCACATGTCATCTAAAGCAGAAAAGACCAAAAAGGAACTAACTTGAAGCTTTCTGAACTGAAATCAAATAAAGTACCAAAATATTTGCAGCATACAATCAGGCAATGTGTACATGGAAGTCTGTATTTCTACCTCTCTATGTGATCATTACCATTGCTCAATAGTGAATACAGAAAGAGTAAAGAATAAGACTCAAAGCTATGTACTAGACTTTAGAGGGAACACTAATCCATTCTTTGCTATTAAAAAAACAAAACTTAAAAATTAACCAAGCATTAAGTACTGAGGTGTTCAACAGCACAGCAGCAGCCAAAAGAAAGATGTCCCTGCCTGAAAGATACTGACTAACTCACTGCATAGAAAAACTAACAATAAAAAATGTAGCAGAGGTCTAAGGAGTATGATATAGAGCATAACTTAAAATGCAGGAGAAAATACACACAGGAGAAACTAGCAAGAAAAGCTTCAGGCAGGAAGGTTATCTTGACCTAAGCCTTAAAGAGAGGAAGGATTTGGAATGCAGAAAAGACGCCTTTCAGGCAGGAGAGAAAGACATGGGGAAGGGCTATATATGGGTTTAGGTGATTTACTTGAGGGCCAGCGGTTTGGTCTAGGACACAGATGAGACACTGGACGGATGCACTGCTGGTGGAGAGGAGCCTCGAGTGCCTCTGTGCAGGCTGCCCTTGATCCAGACAGTCTGCATCACCGCTCCCTCTCTATCTACTCAAATTCTCCTAACAACAGTCAGATTCCATGCAATGAGCCTTTTATCTGTGTCAAGCAAACCCTTTTGTTCTCTATTTTCCAGAGGAGGAATTGGAGCTTTTTTTTTTTCTTCTTTTATGCAAAAGGCCAGAGACATCTCTGGGTCTCTAGGTAATTTTTTATTTATTTATTTATTTTTGTACTTTAAGTTCTGGGATATATGTGCCGAACGTGTAGATTTGTTACATATATGTGTGCCTTGGTGGTTTGCTGCACCTATCAACCCGTCATCTAGGTTTTAAGTCTTGCATGCCTTAGGTATTTGTCCTAATGCTCTCCCTCTCCTTGCCCCCGACCCCCTGACAGGCCCCAGTGTGTGATGTTCCCCTGCCTGTGTCCATGTGTTCTCACTGTTGAACTCCTGGAAGTGGGGATTTAAACCCATGCTTCCCGACCCTTTTCATGTTGTGGCACATCCTGAAAGTAACCTGTGTGTGGCTGCTCAGGGTTGGCAGCAATTGACCTTGGGTGGCCCCAGCAGCCCTAGGTCATGGCTGACTGCCCCAAAAGCTGCAGGATCCATATATTGGCACCTCTAGAACCCACCTATGCCCACAGGGTTGTGAAGCTCTAGTTTAGAGAGATGAGCAGCCTGGTAGTTGAAAACTTGAACTCTGGAGTTGGATAGGCCTGGATGAGGTAACCTACCGATGTCACAGAGCTAGCCAGGACTTGTACTCCAGAGCTATGAGCTGCCATCCTTCGATGCCCATCTCCAGCCAATCTTTTCTATCAATCTTTCCTTGAGTCGTCTTTGGACCCAACAAAGAAAACACCCTTCCCTGAATGCCTATTGTGCCTATGACTGAGGACTATCAACTAATATTTGTTTTTTTCATTGTCTTATACAAACACTTATACTTTTTTCCCTAACTCAAACCATGTGCCCCTGAATTCAGGGTTCCCATATTCCCCACACCCTGCTTCTACTCCCCAGCCAACAGCGGGATTCAACACTGAGCACCAAGAAAACCAATACTTCAATTAAGTAGAAGGATGAAAGCAGTATTTTAGAAAGCAACGATTATAATTTTATAGGGTTGGAAAAAGGGTGATAGGCCAAAAACTTAGTTAAAAGGCATGGATTAGGGTGGTGACAATAGAAATACAAGGTAATATAGCAAAGAGATTAGTATCACACTGGAAGAATCAAAAGGATTCGCTAGAGTAAGAGTCCACCAAGACTTGAAAGTTTTGTGTCTAAGGGCCAGTACTATGGTCTGAATGTCTACATTCCCACCAAAATTTGTATGTTGAAACCTAACCCCCAATGTGAGGGCATCAGGAGGGACAGCCTTTGGGAGGTGAGTAGATGATGAGAGCAAAACCCTCATGAATGGGATTCGTGCCCTTATCAGAGCGACTCTACAGTGCTCTCTTGTCCCTTCTATGATCCGGGAAGCAGGACCTCACCAGACACTGAATCTGCTGATGCCTTCACCTTGGACTTCCCAGCCTCCAGAACTGTGAGGAATGAATTCCTATTGTTTACAAGCCTCCCACTTTATGGTATTTGGTTATAGCAACCCAAGCAGACAAAGACAGCCAGAGAACTAAGGACACTTACATCTGGACATATTGAGTCTGGGCTAAAGATGGGAAGTCAGGAATCAGGTCAGTCTGACACTGCCCATAGGCCTAATAGTGATGTACTCAGAGGTTGGAACTAAGCCCTCAAAGGAAATGAGTCTGTCTTGTTTAAGTTAGACAAGTCTGTCTTGTTCAGTAGTTTATATTCCCTACTACAATGAAGTTAGTATGCAGTATAGCTAATTCTACTTGAGATATGTATGTCGGTGTGAGTAAATACGTGCTGCCTTTTAAGTTCTTAAAAGGAATTAATTAAAACTTAGAGTTAAGTAACTGATGGATAATTATATAAATAATGGTGGAAAAGCATTTTCAATTTTGAATGCTTTACACATTCTCCAATTGTTCCTTTCTAAAGATCATAATGACAAATTAGTAATCATATTTCAAAGTTCAAGTTAAAAAACATTTAGGGATTTTAATCACAAAGTGATCAACAACATATAGAGGGCTGAGAAGAAATCAGTTTGTGTTATGCTGTGGCCTTGAGTTTATACAGTCCTTGCATACACAACAACACGGTTATCATTTTAACTGAATTCAAACACTTATTGTACTGTGGTAGGTGTCATGAGAGTTCAAAGATAAAAACATAGTCCCCACCCTGTAGTAGGAAGGGCTTGAAACCTCCTGGAGGAAACACACCCATTTATAAATCTGCCCCTATTGGGTATTATCACCATTTTTTTTTTTTTTTTGAGACAGAGTCTGGCTCTGTCACCCAGGCTGGAGTGCAGTGGCACAATCTTGGCTCACTGCAACCTCCACCTCCCAGGTTCAAGTGATTCTCCTTCCTCAGTCTCCCAAGTAGTTGGGATTACAGGTGCCCACCACCACACCCAGCTCATTTTTGTATTTTAATAGAGATGGGGTTTCACCATGTTGGCCAGGATGGTCTTAAACTCCTGACCTCAGGTGATGTGCTGGCCTCAGCCTCCCAAAGTCCTGGGATTATAGGTGTGAGCCACCACACCCGGGCGTGTTATTACCATTTAAAGAGAGAATCTGAAGTTTGAGTAAGCTAAATATAAATCTCCATTTCCCACTTAATAATGGCCTTGTGTTTCCAAGTACAACAGAAGAGACAAGAGTGTAATAATAATAAAAAGAAAAATAATAATAAAAAGAAAAATCCTCCAACAAATGGAACAATGAACAAGAAATGTAAAAAGTACTGATGCCTTATTTCAGGGAAGCTGTAGTAAAGAGAAAATTACGTAAAACAAAATCATTGTGATGTTCACTAGCAGATTAAGTAATAAATCTAGGCAGAAAGATCAAATTGAAATAAACGTGCACTGAATGAAAAGCCACGCTAGGGAAAGGAGAAAGGCCAGGTGGCCCCGTGCACCTGCGGCAGGCATGTATGTGTGCAGTACTCACTCTGTACTCCCCTAGCGCAAAGTGGCACGTCGCCAGCTGGATGAGCGCCCTCTGATGCTCCAGGGTCCCCTGCCCTGTGATCTGTGGCTGAGAAATGGATCCCTGGAGAGCTGCTAAGTGATGCAGGCTGGCTATCGCCTTTTTATATTGACCCTAAGAAAGATAGAATAGCAAGGAGGGGAAAAGCATCGCTGTTAAAAAAAGAAATTTAAAAAATACCGTTCCAGGGTTCACGAAGCAACGAGCAAGCAACTATACAAAGACGGTAGCTTGGTTTGATCATCTGAGGAAGAAACGGAGAATTGGCAATAGAATCAAATCAACTTAATTAAAGCCAGGTGGGAGTTCTTTCTGGCGGTACTTTATAAGGATGAAGATTTTTCTTTCTGGTCTTAGGTCTCGAGACTAAAGAAAATAACCAGGCCCTGTGATCCAGCACATTTGGATATAACATTTCTTTAGAAATATTTTACTACAAGCACCACTTCTCCTTTATGAAGGATGGAAGCAGCAACCTGCCCATTCCGACACCACCTCATTCGTGAATTATCGACTATCTCCATTCAAGGTCTAAGATGCTGGAGAACAGTACAGCCAGGCAGACTCCACCAGCAGAGAGAGGAGGGTGAGAAGTAATCCTCTTTTACCGAAAAGTAAAAATCTTACTTTTACAGAGAGGTGTGATTGGATATACCAAAAGTAACACAGAAGGTACAGGCTTGTCATTTTGGAGTTTTTGTTTCGTTTTGTTTTTGAGACAAGGTCTCACTGTCACCCAGGCTGGGGTGCAGTGGCGCTATCATGGTTCAGTGCAGTCTTGACTTCCTGGGCTCAAGTGATCCTCCCGCCTCAGCCTCCTGAGCAGCTGGAACTATAGGCACATGCCACCACACTTGGCTAAGTTTTTTATTTTGTAGAGACAGGGTCTCACTATGCTGCCAGGGCTAGTCTCGAACTCCTGGGCTCAAGCAATCCTCCCACCTCGGCCTCCCAAAGTGCTGGGATTACAGGCGTAAGCCACGACACCCGGCCGATAGTTACTTTGAAAGGAAAATGGACCATACCCCCTCAGCCACTGAAAACAGAACAGGTGTCAGGAGGCAGTGGACTAGCCCAAGAGGGAACATGACACATTCTGCATAGGAAAGCTGGTTTGCCACCATAGCCATGCTGTACAGACACAGGTACCTAAAATATGTATAATACTCTACCTGATAGATGATCATATCAGTGAGGAAGATTCTTAACCAAAGCCAAGTATCCGTCTTCCAGGCCAAGCAAATCCTTGTAAATTCTGAGTAAGAATTCAAGAACAAATTTACCAAATATATGCAGCAAAGAAGCAGAAAACAAACTAACAAATCCAGTAAGAGAGAAGAGAGACAACCTACCAAAAATGTATAGTAACTTTGACTTTGATTTCTAACACACTGCTCTAGAATTTCAAGTAGAGAAGAAACATACAACACTTATCAGTAATACACAAGCAATATTTTGTAGATGCTAACAACTTACTGAGCACATACCAGGTGCCAAGAACTGTTTAAAGTGCTTTTCATGTATTTCCTCATTTATCTTTTAAGCCACTTTGCTTTCCCCAAAACAAGGTCCCATTTTATTTTTATCTTATTTTTAGAGACATTCTCCCTGTCACCCAGGCTGGCAGTACAGTGGCCCTAACATGGGTCACTGCAGCCTCAACCTTCCGGCCTCAAGCAGTCCTCCTACCTCAGCTTCCTGAATAGCTGGCACTACAGACACATGCCATCACTCTTGGCTAAGTTTTGTTTTTGTTTTTTTATAGAGACGGGGTTTTGCCATATTGCCCAGGTTAGTCTCTAACTCCTGAGCTCAATGATCCACCTGCCTCAGCTTCCCAAAGCACTGGGATTACAGGCATGAGCCATCTTGCCTGGCCCATTTTATTTTGACCTAATTAAAATAACAAACATACAATGACACTAAAAGGTTTTATTCATTTTTAAAAAAATCAATTTCTAACTAAAGGAAAGATCCCCTCCAAAATTGTCACATATGTGTTCACAATCCCAAATGTAACAAAGAGAAACTGAACGGTGCTGAATTTACTTAGAAAAGATGACACAGCACATCTGGCCAAGGGCTCTGTATGACACATGACTGCAGCCAGGGGATGAATGTCCACGGGCTAAAAGTAAAATAAGGGGCCCCGATTCCAAAGTGTAGTAAGAATACCTTAGTTAGCAAACAGCTAGTGATTTCTAAGCAATGTCAAAATACCCAGTATACTCAAAGGAAAATAGGCTTCCTATAGTTTTTGGATTTTGAGTTTTTCAGACAATGGAGTTAATGCAGATAAAAACAGCAATATGGCTGGGCATGGTGGCTCACGCCTGTAATCCCAGCACTTTGGGAGGCCAAGGTGGGCGGATCACGTGGTCAGGAGTTCAAGACCAGCCTGATCAACACGATGAAACCCCGTCTCTACTAAAAATACAAAAAGTTAGCCGGGCATGGTCGCACGTGCCTGTAGTCCCAGCTACGAGGAAGGCTGAGGCAGAAGAACTGTTTGAACCCAGGAGGTGAGCGTTGCAGTGAGCCAAGATAACACCATTGTACTCCGGCCTGGGTGAAAAAGAGTGAGACTCCGTCTCAAAACAAGAAAAAAAAAATGCATGAACTACTGTAATCAACTTAATTTGCCGTAAGTGACCTGACATTTGAAGTAGCGTAATGATTTTATATAAAACATCAAACAGCACCAATGACATGCGCTTTCTTACCTTTGTCAAGGAATTCTAGGGAATAGAGCAACTCCCAGCTCTCCCTGGCCAATTTAAAGCTTTCTAACACTTCAGTGGAGTTAGCAAGTTCGGCTTTATTGACTACAATGTGACGATTTCTTCCTTTCGCCGAACAGTCTTCATCGTCTGAACTCTGCTTAAAGAATGTGGAGAACATGGTTAATTCAGTTATAAATATAGTCATATATGGAAACATATTATTGCTGCCAGTTTGGCCCGTGATATGAATTTTATATCAAAGGATACCACATACATACAATTTTTTTGAATTTAACAATTTAGCTTTGAAAATTAATTTTTTTTTGTCTTTATACTCTCACACATTCCATTTTTACTTCTAAAATTGAGTGAATTTTTTTTCTGATGTTAAATTCTTATGTTTGCTTATGGTGGTTTTAGAGCAAAGTTTAAAAATATCAATTTTATGAAAGTCAAAATTTAGATTTTTACATTGAGAGACACAGCTTAAACAGCACCTGTTTATAGTTTACTTTTTTTTCTAATACGTGACATGATTTAATTGGCTTCCAAATAATGGTTTGGCATGTACTGGGATAAAATTAAAGCCTGGGGCCGGGCGTGGCAGCTTATGCCTATATTCCCAGCACTTCGGGAGGCCGAGGAGGACAGATCACTTAAGGCCAGGAGTTTGAGACCAGCCTGGCCAACATGGCGAAACCCAGTCTCTATTAAAAATACAAAGTCAGCCGGGCATGGTGGCACGTGCCTGTAATCCTAGCTACTCAGGAGGTTGAGACACAAGAATTTCTTAAGCCCGGGAGGCAGAGGTTGCAGTGAGCAGAGACCGCACCACTGCACTCCAGCCTGGGCGACAGAGCAAGACTCTGTCTCAACAACAACAAAATTAAAGCCTGCGTCCTCTAAGAAATAATGTCAGAGAATAACTGTTAGTTATCTTTGGTTCACTGCGCATGACTCCCCTGCACTGGTCACCCCTCTCTCGCTCTCCTCCCCCAGTGCAAGGTCCTGGTCAGAAAGTACATTTGTCTGCACTTACCTAGTAAAGCCCTCTGTATTTTACAATACACATTTCTACTTTTCTTGCTCTTCATCTCAAGTAATATAAAGCCCACAGAAAAGAGAAGGCTACAGAGAAAGGCAATTATTGGAAATACCGCTGGGTAGAGTCAGATGTTTTGCCAAAAAAAAAAATGTAAAGGTAAAAGCAGCTCCACTGAATTTTATTTTGCTAAGAATTTTCTCAATCTTTTAATCCACCTAGGTCATTTTACTGATTTAATAACCCAAATGAAATTCTTCCTGCAGATCTTTACTCCACTAAGATCATTTAAAAATATGTGCAACTACATGTATACATATGTAACAAACCTGCACGTTGTGCACATGTACCCTAGAACTTAAAGTATAATAATGATAAAAGAAAACCTAAAAAATAAATAAATAAATAAAAATATGTGCAACTACTGTCACTAAAAGCTCCAATCCTCAAGCTCATCTCAGGTAAGGTGCGCAGGAAGCTGTCAGCACCTCCCTCCACTGCCCACCTTCCTTTCCACTTTCTGAGCTTGGTATCTTCCTGCTAGTCCCTGTTCTTGGTGACTTTTCCCTACCCCACTGTTCTGCTGCATGTTCTTATCCTCCCTAAGTAATGTTTTTGCATTGGGAAAAACACACCTTTTCCAATCAAAACCTGTCTACCAGGCCAGGTGTAGTGGCTTACCCCTGTAATCCCAGCAATTTTGGAGGCCAAGGTGGGAGGATTGCATGAACCCAGGAATTCAAGAACAGAGTAGGCAACATAGAAAGACCTTGTCTCCACCAAAAAAAAAAAAAACCACAACCGTATCTGCCAGGTACTGTTTCATCAGGGGCCTGTTCTTTGCCAAGTAACGGCAACCTAATATCATACACGAACACACATGGCGCGTCTGCTAGTGCTGCAGCTTACAGAAAACATTCCTGCCTCAACACGAGATCAGGAATTTATGAAAGGACCCCAGATGTGGTGGGACTAGTGTGAGTTCCAAATGTTTTTACATTTAAAGAAACTGATTTTGAAATGTGCAAGTACACTCTGAAGCACTGAGAGCGTGCTCTGAAGCAAGAATGCAGCAGGTGGGGGACAGATGCCCACAGGAGAGGCCTGTCCCAGCACCAGCCATTTATGACGTCACATGAGTCTGTGATGTCAGCTGGCTGGAGAACTGATGTGGGCCACCCCCCAACTCCAGTTGTGGGTTACCACCAGGGGCCAGTGTGATCAGATATCCTAATTACAAAAAGGAAGTCAGAAATCTGGATTGTTATGAGAAATGCTAGGTTTCTATTTTATTTTTTTATTTTTTATAGACGGGGTCTCCCTCTGTTGCTCGGGCTGGAGGGCGGTGGTGTGGTCATCACTCACTGGAACCTTGAACTCCTGAGCTCAAGGGATCTTCTCATCTCAGCCTCTGAAGCAGTTGGGATGATAGGTGCATGCCACCAGCCAGCTAGTTTTTTTTTTCATTTTTTATAGAGACGGGGTCTCACTATATTGCCCAGGTGGGTCTTAAACTCCTGGGCTGGTGATCCTCCTCTTTTGGCCCCCAAAGTGCTGGGATTACAGGCATGAGCCACTGCACCCAGCCTGGTTTCTAATTTTTAAATACTAGGTTATTTAAACAAACAAAACACTGTGAGCAAAGCAAGATATATGTGAGCTGAGCTCATGGGCCTTTAAGGTCTGGACCTGCATCAGGTTGGGGCAGACTCAGGGATAGAATGATAATCAGGACAAAATCAGTTAAGACCATGAAAACAAAAATGGATGGAAATTCCGCATTGGGTAGAAGGCCAGGTTATGAGAACAGGGCTTGCTAGATGAGTGCTTGACAGGCAAAAAAAACCGGAAGGAAGAACCGCTGGACCAGGTTTAAACAGCCATCCCATAGCCTGGACACCAAACCCAGGAGGGATCAATGAGAATTCCCTCCTTCACCAGATGCTCACCACACACCTGCTCCAGCCCAGGCACTACTCAGATGCCCAGGGTATGGTAGAGGACGAGGCAGAGAAAATGCTAGGCCCCACGGAGCTTGTACTCTAGTGAAGGAGGGACAGAGACAGTAAACCAGTCAGTGAATAAACAAGAAAAAACAGACAGCAAGGAGGATGCTGCAGAGAATTAAAAAAGAGGAATAAAAAGAGAGAACCAGACAGCTACTTCAGATGGGTGTTCAGGAGAAGCCTCAGAGGGAGACTCGTTTGGGCTGGGACCAAGTGACAAGGACCTAGCCAGGCAGAGATCCAAGGGAAAAGCACTGTAACCACAGAGCACAGCTTCAACGGGCAGAGGCTGGGAGGCAGGGACGGGCTCGGGGTACTGCCTGGTCAGGTTAGAGGACTGACGATTCTTCACATTCTCGGGCTTCTTGCATCTTTGTGCACACTTTTCCCTCTCAACAAAATCTACCTCCCAATTCCAACTGACAAAACCCTTCGCCTTTCAGCACTGATTTCAAATGTTGACCTCCTTCATGAAATCTTTTCTGCATCTGCCCATAGGCTGTTCCTGCTGCCCTGCCCACCTCAGAGCTTCCCATTCCGAGGCCAGTACCCCACACTGCACCCTGCTCTAGAGGTCCAATGCCATTTTGCTTTTGTTGTTTAAACTGAATCGATGCCATTCAGTCAAAACATGTATAAGGAACATATACCATGGGTTCTCCACCTCATCACTGACCTTTTGGGTGGTCCTGTACACTGTAAAGTGCTCAGCAGCAACCCTGGCCCCTCCCCACCAAGCTGTGACAACCAAAAATGTCTCCAGACATTGCCAAATGTCCCCTGAGGGCAAATCACCTCCAGTGGAGAACCACTGACTTAGTAATTATTAATATATCATACAATTTTAAAACCCAGGCTTTATCGATTTAGCTCCAAAGCCATATTTTACAAAGATTCATCTCTAGCAAAGCGTCCCATCCAATCTGTTAATAAGTATATTTGAAAGCCTTACCATGGTTTTTTCTCTTCCTTCAGCTAGTTTCCTCTTTTTATGGATGTGTTTATTACGATCAATTTCTACATCACCATACACATTCGATACATCTTCAAGAAGAACCAGTGGAACTTGGCTCGGGGCATTAGGACCTAAGGACGGGGAAAAACACCAACACTTACCAGTGCAGCAAGGAGGCCAGGCGCGGTGGCTCATGCCTGCAATCCCAGCCCTTTGGGAGGCTGAGGCAGGAGGATTGCCTGAGCTCGGGAGTTCAAAACCAGCCTGGGCAACATGGCGAAACCCCATCTCTACTAAAAATACAAAACATTAGCCGGGCATGGTAGCATGCGCCTGTTAATCCCGGCTACTCGGGAGGCTGAGGCAGGAGAATTGCTTGAACCCAGGAGGCGGAGGTTGCAGTGAGCCGAGATCACGCCACTGCACTCCAGCCTGGGCGACAGAGCGAGACTTAAAAAATAAATAAAATTAAAAAAAATTTAAAAATGCAGCTAGGAAAAGAATTCTTAAAATAAGGGAGAAGCTTACTCAACTGTCATGAGAAACGTCATTAAAAATACGTTCAGTGTGATCTCAATTAGGTAAACAAACAAGTATATGCACATAGAAAGAAAAGACTGTACAGATATATACCAAATTGTTAAAGATTCCCTGTCACTAATAGAATACAAGTGACGGTTCCTTCTTTGTATTTGTTATGTATCTGCACTTTTTATAATGATCATGAGTCATTAAAGTACCATAAAAGACTACCAAATTATACTTACATTATGGTTACAAATTCCAAACAAAATCTAAATATATGTAATATTATAAGGCAATACGTAAAAACGACCGCTGTATTATACTGGAAGGATTGTGGGTGATTTCACTCTTATTTCTATTTTTCAAATTTTCTACAGTATATTTATGCATATACTCTCTATATATAAAATGGATATTTTACTAAATAAATCTTTGCCTCTTGTGATGTCTTCATGAAATCTACTTAAATATGTTGTTACATCTGCTGTTTTTTTCTTTTTTTTTTTTGAGATGGAGTCTTGCTCTGTCACCCAGGCTGGAGTGCAAGGTGCGACCTCAGCTCACTGCAGCCTCTGCCTCCCGGGTTCAGGCGATTCTCCTGCCTCAGGTTCCCAAGTAGCTGGGATTACAGGTGCCTACAATCATGCCCAGCTAATATTTGTATTTTTAGTAGAGATGGGGTTTTACCATATTGGCCAGGCTGGTCTCAAACTCCTGACCTCAAGTGATTCACCGGCCTCACCTGCCAAAGTGCTGGGATTACAGGTGTGAGCCACAGCGCCCAGCCTGCTGTTATTTTCAAAATAGTGGCATTTGATATCTCTTTTTAGTTGTGCAGTACCATTACGCCCTTTGATATAGAAACTTTTAATGAAATATACTTACATAAAAACTACCAATTAAGCCAAACTAAACAAAACTAAATCGCCAACTATAAAAAGGACTGGTACTGCCCCACAGTTATTCGGATCCAGCAATACTGGATAAACACTTTCATTTTCCTTACCATCCCCACAGTATGAACTGGCTTTTTGGACACTCTAAAATTTGTAAACCAACCTTGGAAGAGAGATGGCTGTATGCTGTTGACATACTGGAATGCATTCTTAAAGAAGACCAGCATGGTGGAATACACCACTTGGTTTTTATATTTTGCATGTGCTTCACTATCAAAGTTGTTCATGTATCTGCAGAGATCCTTCATTCTATGCAAAATATCTCCATAGCTTCTAAAAAGGAAGGAATGATGAAACTTATTTGATTACTCTGGGCTGGTCAGCAAGAAGTCTAGAGAAAAGCTCTGGTGGTACCATTACATGTACCAAATGTTGCCCTAGGCATGTAAAACTATTCTTTATTGTCCAATATAAATGGTAACTTTTCCCTTCTGAATTAGGGTGGTGATCAAGATTTCATGACACAAACATGCTAAGTAGCTTCTCTTTTCTCTGAAGTATCTAGGAGACGTTCAAACACAACATCGTCTTAAGAGTTCATATTTCAGTTAGAAATCTGTTTTTCTTTTTTTTTTTCTTTTTTAGAGACAGGGTCTCACTCTGTCACCCAGGCTGGATTGCAGTGGTGTGATCTTGGCTCATCGTAGCCTCCACGTCCTGGGTTCAAGTGATTTTCTCACCTCAGCCTCCCGAGTAGCTGGGACTACAGGCACGCATCACCTCGCCTGGCTAATTTTTGTATTTTTAGTAGAGATGGGGTTTCACCATGTTGGCTAGGCTGGTCTCGAACTCCTGACCTCAAGTGATCTGCCCACCTCAGCCTCCCAAAGCACTGGGATTACAGATGTGAGCCATTGTGCCCAGTCAGAAATGTTTTGATAAAATGAAAAACCATCCTCTTTTGCATTGAGTGTCACAAAATTTGCCCAAAAACTATACCTACGCATTACACAGATTTAAAAAGCATGATTTTGTTTTTATAAGGATCCAAAAGAATCAATAGGCAATTCTGGAAATAAGCTATTTATTACCGTCTTCCTTTATCCATCTGCCATTCACATCTCATTCCAACAACATTCAAAATCTTAAACAACCTCTCCCAAGGGTCCACGATCTGGGATGATTTTTCCGTCAGCCCTTCTATTATGTACTTCTGAGAGCTACGTTTGCTAGGTGACATTAAATCAGATGTATCCTGGGCGCCTGAGATGTAAGAAAAAAGTAGCCTACAATTAACATTATGACTTACTGTTGACATGGTACCTGATAAAGAAAGTCTGACTCCCCATGAAAATGCACAGAGCACAGAATTCCAACATACTTATGTTTTGCTCAAGGACCGACAAGAGGCCACTGGTATAAGCAAGAAGTAATTTCCACTACTTCATCATGGTACATTTGTAATGTTCCATGCAATAACATTACAGCTCAGCCAGAAGACTGTTTTGATCAAGGGGTGGCATTGCTTCCAGAAAAGCCTCATCTTTTAGTATTTTTTTTCTAGATACCATCTTTTGAAACACTCCCAAACTGGTAAGTATCCAGAGGAGAATAATCAGAACATTGAGGGGTTTCTGAATTTTGCAATATTACTAAAGCCTATTTAAGTAAAAGTACAGGGTATTCCTACTTACCTTGATGCTGATTTTCTATTTGAGTAGACCTAGTGACATAATTGATATAAAATTCAGCTGCTTTGTTCAAGTACTTATACAATAAATTGGCAGGTAATCGAACATCATGGTTGTTAATTATTAGAGGAAGGACATCACAAACTGTTGGAGGAGAAAAAGAAGAAATAAATTAATTAGGTTGTCTACCCTAGAGTTCCGATAAATACAAAAGCTTTCAGAGTTCATTTGATGTAGTATCTAAAATATATAGGGGGAAAAATCCCTTATGACTCATGTATTCAAAATGTGCTGTGCAGAGAGACACCAGTGGCTGGAGTCAGGGAGGAAACACAGACACTTTTATGCTGTGGGTGAGGGTCCAGTTCTTCCATTGAATTCAGATGTTTATTACTATGCTTCATACTTACATATACAGCTATGCATATTCTTTCAGAGGTATCAAATCTTACATAACAAAAGTTTAGAAGTTGTTTAAAATGCTTTTTTTTTTTTTGAGACAGAGTCTCACTCAGTCACCAGGTTGGAGTACAGTGGCGCGATCTCGGCTTACTGCAACCTCCGCCTCCCAGTTTCAAGCGACTCTCCTGCCTCAACCTCCGTAGTAGCTGGGACTACAGGCGTGCGCCACCATGCCCAGCTAATTTTTGTATTTTTAGTAGAGACAGGTTTTCACCATGTTGGCCAGGATGGTCTCGATCTCTTGACCTCGTGATCCACCCACCTTGGCCTCCTTAAGTGCTAGGATTACAGGCGTGAGCCACCGCACCCAGCTAAAATGCTTCTAAATTAAAAAAAAAAGAACTTAAATGCCATAACACATAAAGCTCCTTTGCCTTTCATATATGAGCTTATCCCTGAACCAACACTTACCCCAGCATATTAATTTACCATAGAAGTAATAGAGAATACAATTTTCCTTACCAAATAATTTTCTAAAGCAGTTCACTGGAGATTCTTGTTCTTCAATAGTTTCAGCCTCTAATAGTGCCTCCCCAAGGCCAACCTATTTCAAAACAAAATTACTCATTTAAATGTGTTACAGCATAAGTTGTCAGAACTATATGAAGTAATGGGGTATTTTTTTTACTTATCACAGTTTGCATAATCAAACTTATCTGAGAAACAAATAATCACATTTTAAAGACTGGAAAATAAAAGAATGCACCAGCCACACACCCTAGAAGGCCAAATTCACCTGAACATCTGACCACTCTGTCTTGGTTATTCTCTTCATAATTAGCAAATTCTAATTAACGATGAACAAGAATTAACAAAATGTCTATAGAAATGTAAAGGAAGCAATGGAACTGGAGTTCAAATGATAATACAGAGGTAGAGAGATTTTCTAAGAAATAAAGAAACTAAGGTTATTCTCTACATGAAGATGTATCAATATAGACAAAACGTATCACGTTCAAGATAAGTTCTGAGGTGTAGCCAGTCATACAGTCTGGTGTAGAATGGACAGAAAAGTCAGAGTTTTAAGGCTACCTTTCCATTACCAATGCCTTAGCATAGTAGACGGTCCCTTACTCAAATCCACCAAGACACTGGTATCAACTTCCTTGTGACCACACAGGGATGCACCACAGGAGTGGAAAAGTGCGAAAGATTACATCACACAGAAGGTGAAAGGTCAGAGTTATGACCAGAAAGTGTGCTGGGCTGAACAGTGCCCCCCCAAATTCATATCCCCGCAGAACCTCAGAATGTGACCTCATAGACATCTTACCTTTTTTTTTAAAAAAAGTATCTTTGTAGATATAATTAATTAAGATGAGGTCATGGTGGATTAGAAAGGCCCTCAATCCAATGACTAGTGTCCTTATAACATGGCCATGTACACACACCTGTAATCCCAGCTACTCAGGAGGCTGTGGCATGAGAATTGGTAGAACCCAGGAGGCAGAGGATGCAGTGAGCCAAGATCATGCCACTGCACTGCTGCCTGGGCAACGGAGCAAGACTCTGCCTCAAAAAACAACGACAAAAAAGGCCATGTAAAGACAAAGGCACAAAAGAAAGAAGATCATGTGGTGATGGAGCAGAAATTGGAGGAGTGATGAAGCTGCCTGCCAGGGAATGCCAAAGATTGCTGACAACCATCAGAAGCCAGGGAGAGGTAAAGAAAGATTCTTCCCCAGAACCTTCAGAGGGAAAGTGCCTCTGCCAACACCTGACTTTTAGACTTCTAGCTTCCAGAATTGTGGGAGTCCTTCTGTTGTTTTAAGCTACCCAGTTTGTAGTACTTTGTTATGGCAACCCTAGGAGACTAACACAAGCAGGTATGGAAATGATTAACCCGGGCCAGACGCCAGAAAATGGCATGGGAAATAAGCCGCAGAGTATGAACGAATGGAGTGAATGGTTTGAAACCTGACACCTCACTGGCTATGGGAAGTTACTAAAACACAAAATGCTCAGTTTCGTCATCTGTAAAGTGGGATACTATTTACTTCAGGGGATTTAGGAAGATAGGAGATACCTAGCACTTTCCCATGCCTGCCAATAGCACTCGATAATTATTACAGATGAAGGAAAGGGGCAGGAATAGAATGAAAATAGTCTCCATAGGGCAGAAGCACAGGAAAAACGCATCTGTTAAGACTATAAACTCTACGCTAAATTCAAAAGCACATTGTAGAATACAACGGAAAAAGATTACTTTTTACCATATGGATTGCAATAAACAGTACTGTCAGAGCTTGGTGATTTTCCTGATAAAACAGCTTCTCCTGGAAACTTACAAAATATGGTGAAAAGAATGTCCTTTTAGCTTTACTAACAAAGAACCTTCTATTTCAGTTCAATCTTAACCAGTACTCTTCAGAAACTTCTGCTTTGTAGCTCCTCACCATACCGATGAATCTGTTGATGACCCATTGTATTTTATATTAAAAGAAGGGGAAGAATCAAATCTCACCCCATGCTGCACCACCGTTTCAGGGAAGCGCCTCAAAAGTAGAAGCAACATTTCTGATCGTTCTAACGTGTTGAAGCATTGTTCCGTGACCTTTAGTAACATTTCACACTGGACCCGACCAGGAAGAGTTTCAAATAAACCTGTACGAAACATATTTCACTTTTAAAAGTTTCTTGCGGACAGAAAAGACTGCAGCAACAGTGCTGAGTAAGGCATTTTCATGTACAGAACAGTAAACACTACATGTGAAATCAATGCAGTTAAGTTTCACCTACAACCTGGCAGCCTTTTGGAGCCAATAGTATCTGGCACAGGATGTTTGCTGAATAATGGTAAAATATTTGCAAGACTGATCAAATTCAAAAAACAATGATGTATGTGAATGGTCACAAGAATGCCTGTTGCAGGTTGAGATAGAGAGCATGTGCTTGTTGAAGTTCAAATGACCTATGCATCTACTTGCTATTTTATCTAGAGTTTGAAATCTTTGATTGACTACAGCAACATACAGAAGTTTAAAGAGAAAGCTTCTAAATTACTAAAAGCTTCTCTCCTGTTTTGTGGAGAGCTGGTTAATCTATAGCTGCTATCTGGTTATTGTAAAACCTGTTAAAAATATATACAATTAATTCCTCGTCTCACTGATAAATCCATATCCTTTAAAGAAGCTTAAAGGGTTCTAAGCAAGTCAAGGAACCGAGTGACATTATTATAGACTTTGGTTGCCAAGAATAAAACATACATATGGTTACCAATACCCCAGGTGTGACTTTTTTGTGTGTGAAATTACTATATATGATTTGGTATTCCCGAAATGGTAACTTATACACCATTATTCTTACTTCTTAAAAATTGGGTTTGTTTGTCCTGTGAATCGTTCCTTAATGCTGATGTAATAATGCTGATTTCTCTCCACACCACCGGCTGGTCTGGGAAATTCACAAACCTATTTTTAAAATAAATACATTAAATTAAAATGTCAAAGTCTATACAGTATCCAAAAGAAAAAACGTTAGCATTTGGTGAAAAAGTTTCCTTTATTCCAAGTGAATGCTTAGACGTGCCAAAACAAACCAAAATAAAAATGTAAAAATAAGAATTACTTGATTTATAAAAATGAGAGTACTCACATAAGTCTTTAGTGGGTTTTATAGGTGAAAAGACAAGTAACCATAACATAGAAAGAGCTTCTAAAAGTCAACAAGAATAAAACAAACTATTTGAAAGAAAAAATAGGCAAAGGCAAATCACAGAATACACACAGCCAAAGAGAACAGTTGAAACAATACTGAATCTTATTAACAGTATGAGTAGTACAAATTTTTTTTTAAAATAGCAAGATACCATTTTCTCCTATCACAGTGACAAGAACTAAAAAGAGACTAATAATATCCAGTGTTGGGAAGGGTATGGGAAAACACACTCTTTATACACCATTGGTGGTAATGTAGACTGGGATCGCACATTTTGGAGAGTAATTTCATAGCGTATCAAATTTTCAAATGCGCATAAACTTTGACTATGAAAATGTCTTAGAATCTATTCCACAGAAAAACACCAAAATATGACTACAAAATTGTTGACACACTGAATATAATTTCAAATAATTTAAAACTATCTATTTAAATGTCTACCAAGAAGAGAGTGTCTACGAAATACTACACAGGCATGAAAAGGAATGAAGTGGATCTCTACATACTGATATGGGAAGGGGTCCATGAGAGTGAGTAAAGGAAACATGCTGCAGGGCAAAGGTAGTATGGTCTTCTCACTTTTGTAACCCCTTCCCCCCAAAACCTTATTTATGTATTATGCATACATGTATAGATATACTGCCTACAAAACTTAACTCTGGTTCAGTTTAGGATGCACTTTCACTTTTTGTTCTCTATAACAAGTAGTGTTTGAATTTTTGTAATGAGCACATATTATTTCTAGAATAAATTATGAAACAGAAGTTTTAACAAGGATAAAACATAAGAATAATAATTAAACTCTTCTGCAAAAGCCATGTCAGCAATTTATGGCAGGCCTGGACTCCTTACTAGGTTTGCTTTAGGTATCGAAGATATAGATGAACTTGAAGATCTTCCCCCAACTCCCACTTCTGCAGAGAGAAACAAAACCTCATGGAGAGATTCAGTGCAGTAAAAGTGATGTCAAGCGTCCCACTCACATGTCGTACAGCAGCCTCCCGGCGGTGGCGGTCCGCTCTGCATTCCGCTCGATGGTGTACATCTCATACTGCAACACACATCAGGCACCCTGGTCACTCACCCCTGCCCAGAAGGCTCCCAGCTCATCCAGCATCGCTCGTTGGCCCTCCTGCAGGAAGGGAGGGCCTGAGAGTGAAGCTCCGCCTGGTGACACAGCGCCACATACATGGCAGACTTGCCATTGGGCTTAGAGTGTGACCCTGGGGTTCACCTGCAATCTCAGGCTCCCAGGATTAAGTAGGATAATATTTCCAAAGTCGCAGGCCCTGAACAAACTGCTGCCATTATGATGAATGAAGGAGCGAATGGCCTTTTGCTAGTGGCGATCATGTGCTGTCTAGGCCAGATGGCACGCTGAGCCCCAGGGACCTAAGCACACCCGACCTCAAGCGGGATCGGCCGTCTCTCAAGTGCTGGGGAGAGGGCTCCTGGAAGGTGTAGGAGCAAGGCGGGTGAAAGGTGTAGGAGCAAGGTGTAGGATGGGAGGGGAGAGAGGAGGGGGTGGGAGGGGAGAAAGCAGGGGGCCGGGCAGGAGGCGGCAGCCCCCAGGCAGGCGCAGCTCTGGGCCAGGGCAGCCCGGGCGACGGGAGCGCGCACCTCCACGCAGAGCGGCCGCATGCACAGCCGGGACCTCACCTGGATGTTAAAGTCTGCCGGGTAGAGGCTGCGGGCCGTGATCAGCCACGCCTTGGCTGCCCACAGGTCTTGCGGCACCAACTCCCGGGCTCGCTGCACCAGGAACTCGCAGTCCCCCTGGGCAGACATGACCCGAGCGCTCTCCAGCCGCCAGCCCGAAGCGGCCGGAACGTCCGGCTCTGGACTCTCAGCCGCCACGGCAGCCACCGCCGCCGCCGCCGCCACCGCGGGGGAGGCTACTGCGCATGTCTGGAGGCGCACGGAGGCTGGCAGAGTGGATCGGGAAAGCTTTTCCGGGTTTTGCGAGCAGTCTCCTCCCCTTGGCTCCTCGTTACCGCCCGGTCCCCTCCTCTTCTGAGAAGCCAGAGCAGTTGAACCGCTTCCAGGTCACCTCGAAAATGCGGAGAAGTGGATTTTCATTCCTGCGGGCTGCAGCGTGACCTTGGTGAAGTCAGGGAGCATGCGCGGGAGCGGGCAGGCGCCAGGCCTCTTCGCCATTTCCATCCTCTCTGGGTATTGCTCAGTTTGTCGGGGGCGGGGGCGGAGGCGGGGGCGGGGAGACGGGCGGTCCCGGGGAATGGGCGGTCCCTGGGCGTCCCCCCGGCGTGGAAGGTTGAGAAGAAGTTTGAGAGGAACAGCAGAGGGTCGGGGAGGCGGCGGGAAGCACTCTCCACCCGGGCCGGCCTGAAACACCTTCCCCGGGGGCCGCTGCCTGCGACTCACTCCCCGGGCTTCGATTTACGCGAAAACTCCTGGGGCTGGTGGGGGTGATCGTGCAAAGCGTGAGCTCCGGGGTTCCTTCTCTTTCCGAAATCCGTCCACGTTTTATTATTTCACCTTTATGCACCGGTTTCTCCAACAAACGTTTATTGAGCAACGAAGTACTTGGAAAGCGCTTTGGTGGATGCCGTCCGTGGGAGCTGCAAAGATGACTAAAACCCTGACCCAGCAAGGGTTTTATATGTTTTAAATGTTCTGGACGTGAAACCCACAGAAAGATAACTACGCTATTATTATAATTATCTCCTCCAGCCACAATCAATGTCCTTTTCACCAAAACTCCAGATTTGTTTTCCATCTAAGAGATGAAAAACATCTAGGAGATTCTCCATCTAAGAGATTCTCTTGCCTCAGCCTCTCGAGTGGCTGGGATTACAGGCGTCCACCACGACGCGCTAGCCCGGCCAATTTTTGTATTTTTAGTAGAGACGGGGTTTCACCATGTTGGCCAGGCTGGTCTGGAACTCCCGACCCCAGGTGATCCGCCCTCCTTCGCCTCCCAAAAGTGCTGAAATTACAGGCATGAGCCACCGTGCTGGGCTTCGAAGCACTGTTTAATATCTCCTACTTATGCACAGAACAGCATAACTGTATGATTACTTTATGGGCCAGGATTACTCAGTGATACAGTTATTTTGGGTTTGTAGAATAGAAGATGGTAGAAAATTGGATTTAAACGGAGTAGGATAATTTTTATGTTATAAAGTGTACAGCATAAAAGCAGATTGCTAGCTTGAATTGTTAAAATTATTTCATTGATGTTAATATATGAAGTGTAAGAATTTTCAAATGGTAAAAATGACTGATTTGGTCATTAAACTTTCTGGTTTTGGTCTTTACCAAAAATAAAAAAACAACTCCACACTTGTTCCTGAGCCTAGTGTTCTGTGGAATAACAATTGTAAATTAAGATTTTAAATTTAGAGGCTAAATAAGGAAATTCTGTTTTTGTTTGTTTGTTTGTTTTTGAGACACAGTCTTGCTCTGAAATCCAGACTGCCAGTGAGTGCAGCAGCTCGATCATGGATCACTGCAGCCTTGACCTCCCAGGCTCAAGCCATCCTCCTGTCTCAGCCTGTGGAGTAGCTGGGACTACAGGTGTGTGCCACCACATCTGGCTAATTTTAAATTTTTTTGTAGAGACACAGTCTCCCTATGTTGCTCAGGCAGTTCTTGAACTCCTGGGCTCAAGTGATCCTCCTGCTTCAGCCTCCCAAAGTGCTCGGATTACAGGCATGAGCCATTGCGCCCAGCCTCTGTATGTATTTTAGATGCCAACCTTGAGAGGGCCTCTAGACTTTTTGCCAGAATACAACGTAAGGTTTGTGGTTATTTTCTAGTCAGCTTCTTGATTTTGAATGGTCCCCAGCTAAACATTTCTCCTACAGTGTTATGCTGGCATCTCAAAGTACAGAAGGGAGGTAACACACCAAGTGAGTTTACATCTTTTGGCCTCCTTGCCATGATCTTGACTCACTGGAGACTTGAGGCGCCTAGCTCATGTTCTTCTCCATGACAACTTTTTTTTTTTTTTTTTTAAAGACGAGTTTTGCTCTTATTGTCCAGGCTAGAGTGCAGTGGCACAATCTCAGCTCACTGCAACCTCTGCCTTCCGGTTTCGAGTGATTCTACTGCCTCAGCATCCCAAGTCGCTGAGATTACAGGCGCCAGCCACCATGCCCAGCTAATTTTTTTTTTGTATTTTCAGTAGAGACGGGGTTTCACCATGTTGATCACGCTGGTCTTGAACTGCTGACCTCGTGATCCACCCACCTCGGCCTTCCAAAGTGCTGGGATTACAGGTGTGAACCACCACGCCGGCCCTTGACAACTTCTAAGTCACATAAAATGCCCTGCATCCAGCACCCGGCTTCAATTTCCGTGAGCTCAGTTCAGTGATCTGAATTAAACTCTACATTGCTTTTCCCCTTCCACTTCAAAATCTTCAAACTCCAAGTTTCCTCACATAACCTCTTAACTTCCCTGCCCTCAACTCTCTCCTTGGTTCTTTTTAATAATTTCCTCCTTTCCCTTCTCCCTGATTTTACCTTCATGGGCCTCTATCCCCTTGACACCTACATTTTCCCCTAAGTGCATCTGCCACCCTTTGGGCTTATTCCTCTCCCACTCATGCTAAACCCTGTGCTCAGACATTCAATATGTTCATGTCTTTGCCTTCTTATCCTGCCACTGTATCCACTATTTTTTTTTTTTTTTTTGAGACAGAGTCTTGCTCTCTCGTCCAGGCTGGAGTGCTGTGGCGCAATCTCAGCTTACTGCAACCTCCTCATCCTCGGTTCAAGTCATTCTTGTGCCTCAGCCTACCGAGTAGCTGAGATTACAGGCACAAGCCACCACACACGGCTAATTATTGTGTTTTTAGTACAGACAAGTTTTCGCCATGTTGGCCAGGCTGGTCTCAAACTCCTGGCCTCAAGCCATCCACCCTCCTCAGCATCCCAAACTGCTGGCATTACGGGTATGACCCACCGCACCCGGCCCTTAAACTCCAAGTTTGAATACCACAGCCCTATTTATCTTTCAAGACTGTACATCTGGTCATATATGTGTTTTTGTTTTGTTTTGCGTTGTGTTGTTTTTAAACAGTGTCTTTCTCTGTCACTCAGGCTGGAGTGCAGTGGCACGATCATGGCTCACTGCAGCTTCAACTTCCAGGCCCAAGCAATCCTCCCAGCTTAGCCTCCCAAGTAGCTGGGACTACAGGCGTGTGCCACCACACTTGGCTAATTTTTTAATTTTTTGTAGCAATAGGGTCTGATAATATTGCCTAGGTTGGTCTTGAACTCCTAAGCTCAAGCAATCCTCCTGCATAGGCCTCCCAAAGTGATGGGATTACAGGTATGAGCCAGCACAATGGGCCCAGATAAGTATTCTTTTTTTTTTTTTTTTTTTTTTTTTTTTGAGAGGGAGTCTCGCTCTGTCACCCAGGCTGGAGTGCAGTGGCATGACCTCAGCTCACTGCAACCTCTGCCTCCCAGGCTCAAGTGATTCTTCTGGCTCAACCTCCCGAGTATCTGGGACTACAGCCTTGCGCCAACACACCGGGCTAATTTTTGAATTTTAGTAGAGACAGAGTTTCACCATGATGGACAGGCTGCTCTGGAACTGCTGACCTCAAGTGATGCGCTCACCTCAGCCTCCCGAAGTGCTGGGATTACAGGCATGAGCTAACACGCCTGGCCTGTATATGTATTCTTAAAAACCCTTTGATGGTTTATAATTGTGCTTCCATGGGGTTTGCAGCTAGCTCTCTGCCCCATCATTTGCTAGGAGCCTCCACCCAGAAATGCTTTCAGTTCTTCAATGTAGTATGTTCTTTGTCGTTTCCACACATTCATGTGTACTATTCGCTAATATCACCTCTGTCCTGCCTAGAACACTGCCCCCTGCTGGTCTCGTTGGGCTAATTGAATTTCAGATAACACTTCTCAGGGAAACCTATTCTGCCCCTACCTCCCCGTTCCCCCAGTCCTTACGCTGTTTCATAACTGATGGTTTACCAGACAGTAAGCTCCATCAGGACATGGACCTGACCTGTCTTTTATGCTGTGGCTTTCCCAGCCCCTAAAACATGCCTGACACTTATTGATAGTAGGCTAGCAATAAAATTTAGGTGAATTTTAAATGTCTTGGCCCTTCCCTACAAATGTACATAAAGCCTCTAATTTTATACAAATTTCATTCTGTCTAGTTTCAAGGGATAAAGAGTCCCTTTTGTTCAAGGCCAAAATCCTCACCTGTGCTTCTAATCCCATACCCTTGGCTTCCTTAGGGAATCTGTTATCAGTTATCCCCACTCTGTAGTTTCTGTCTATTTCTCCTGGTACCTTCCAGTAGAGTATGTGTTTGTGTTGGATTACTGCTGTTTCCCATTGATTATAGTAGACATTGTATGCCCTGCTCAGATCGCCTTTGCCAGGCAGTACAACTACTCTCTACTGCTGTCAGTATTGGCTGCTAACTGCTCAGAACTGCTCCCTTCCGTAGAGAACTGCCCTTAGCTTCCTGGAGGAGTTAGCCACTCCCAAGGGGGTGATACATAGTAAAAAGGTTAGTGACCCTGCTTCAAAGGGGGCAAATGTGTGACATAATTTGTATTTCAAAGCCCTCCCTGGTGGATGGGGCCAAGGCTGGATCTGCCTGAGACCACACGCATGCTCAGCTCTTTCCTCTTCTGTACCCTTCTTCCCCACTTTGTAGGTTTTTCCTGACGAGCACTTTCTCAATAAATCATGTGCTCCCAGATCCCTGTCTCAGGCACTTCTAGGATGCCCAGAGACGATAGTTATTGCTGGACGGACATGAGGTGCTTCCATGAATCCTCTCTGTTCCAGATATAGCCCCTCCTGCATCGCTCATGTAACAGCAACTTTTTCCCCTTAGTTATCAGGATCAATTGTCTGACCAATAAAGTAACCCCTTTCTTTTGCACCTGTTAGTTCCATAGTATAAGAAGCCCAGAGCCGGGCATGATGGCTCACGCCTGTAATCCCAGCACTTTGGGAGGCTAAGGCAGGCAGATCATGAGGTCAGGAGATCAAGACCATCCTGGCTAACACGGTGAAATCCCATCTCTACTAAAAATACAAAAAATTAGCCGGGCATGGTGGCACACACTTGTAGTCCCAGCTACTTGGGAGGCTGAGGCAAGAGATTCGCTTGAACCTGGGAGGCGGAGGTTGCAGTGAGCCAAGATGATACCACTGCACTCCAGGCTGGGCAACAGAGCGAGACTCCATCTCAAACAAAGAAACAAACAAACAAAAGGAAGCCCAGATGCTCAGGAGGCAGTTTCACTTCCAATTCAATAGAACCAGGACTATGTTTCCTGTGGAAACCCTCCTCCCTTAGGAATTAGAGCTTCTTCCAAGTCTTCAGAGCACAAGATTGGGGAACATTCTGTTAGTGGGTTATTAGTATATTTTGAGAGGCTACTAGCTCCTTCCACCTTTGGTTGATTTAAAGCATGTACTTCTCCATAGGATGGTACCCAACCTCAAAGGATATGGCTTAGCTGACACCATAATTAAGCCTCCAGGAGACCGTATCTCACCATTCTCTCAGGCCAGTTACTTCTGGGTGATGAGAACAGGGTAAGACCAAGGAATTCCTTGAGTCTGTTCCCTTTGCTATATTTCTTTTGCCATAAAATGAGGTCTTAGGTCTGAAGTGATATTGTATGGGATACAATGGGCTATGGTTTGAATGTCTCCTCCAAATCTCATGGTGAAACTGAGCTCTCAGTTAGGCAATGTTGAGAGATGAGACCTATCAGAGGTGACTGGAACATGAGGGCTCTGCCCTTATGAATGGATACATCCATTCATGGATTTATTGGTTAATGGATTAATGGGTTATCATGGGAATTGAACTGGTGGCTTTATAAAAAGAGGCAGAGAGATTCAAGGTAGCACGCTCAGCCTCCTCACCATGCGATGCCCTGCACTGCCTTGGGACCCGTTAGGGAGTCTCCAGCAGCAAGTAGGCTCTTTCCAGAGGTGCCCCCTCAACCACAGACTTCCCAGTCTCCAGAACTGTAAGCAATAAAGTTCATTATAAATCACCCAGTTTCTGGTATTCTGTTATAAGCAACAGAAAACAAACTAAGTCACAAGGTAATGATTAACAGAAAACATATTAAGACACAGTGGTAATGAATAAGGTGTTCTGTACATGGATGAGTGGTGGTGTAACAGGCAGAAGTGTGATGGAGAATTATCTGAATCTATAATAGTATGAATTCCCATGAGGACAAATCATTGCCTCCTCCGCGATGGAAAAGGTCCAGTGTCATCAGCTTTCCACCAAGTGACTATCCAATCCTTCTGGGGAATGGTGCCATATTGAGGGTCTTGTTCTGGCTTCTTCCATTGACTGGGCGCTCAATAGTAGTTTTAGACATGTCATCCTTGGTGAAAGTAAGTCATGCTGAGCCCATACATAGCATCCCTGGTGCCATGGCTATTCTTTCCATGGACCCACTGAGCAAACCCCACATGGCTGGTGAAAGAGACTGACATCACAGGATGAGTCATCCTGTTTCCACCTGATTAATGAGATGCTTCTTTGCTATAGGTGTCCTCTGGGGGGGTTTTACAGAGAATGCAGCTGTTTTCACTCTTTGTGCCCATTTTAAGAGTCCACCTACTCCTCTCCTAGACCTCTTTGACACCAGTATTCCAATTTTGTTCTTTTGACATCCCTGACCTGTCAGACAAGTCTGTCAGCCACTGCCCTTGCCAAGGGAGAGCCATACTTCAGGATGTCTTTCCACAGTGGACCACCCAGATGAACTGCCCAAAGTCCTACCTACTGGAAATATTTCCCTTCATTGTGTTTTAGGGTTACCACTGAAGATGGCTGTCATTCAGAGGCTGCCTGCCTCCAGATGACCACATACCATGCACACCCTTCTGTATACCAGGTGCTCCCAAGAGGCTAAGATGTGAGTTCAGGGAAGGGTGGCGAGGCAGTAGATGTAGCCACGTGGCATTCTGAACCATGTTGATGAAATCTTGTGCTTTTCAGACCTGCTGAGGCCCTTTCATAAATATTGTATTTCCACTAAGTAATAGAATGCTGGTACTATAGTATAGTCGGAAGTATAGTTCCAACTTCATGGTGGGGTCATAAATGATATTTAAGATAATATCAAATTCATGCTGGGCAGCTGAGATCACATGTCAGTTGATAGTCTATGATCAGGGGTTCAGTCTCTACCAGGCTCCAATAACAGTCTAGGTTCTGGTGTTCAAATGGTCATGGTTTGGGTTTGCACTGTGATTCTTCTGTTAGCCATATCAGAGGCTCCAAACAGCGTCCCTGTCTGTCACAAGCATTTTGAATTCTATCGCATCTGTTACAGTAGTTGTAGAGGCTTATCCTGCTTTGAGCCCCACTCAACCGGCATTTGCTAGGGGAAAAGTTACATACCAGGTATCAGGAGCTATATTAATTTGTTTTTATTAAAAAAAATTTTTTTTAATTTTTCTAGAGACAGAGTCTCACTCTGTCATCCAGGCTGAAGTGCAGTGGCACTTTCATGACTGACTGCAGCCTCGAACTCCTGGGCTCAAGTGATCCTCCCACACCAGCCTCCTGAGTAGCCTGGACTTCAGGCACGTGTCACCATGCCTGGCTAAGTTTTAAAAATTTTTATTTTGTAGAGATGGGAGTCTTGCTATGTTGCCCAAGCTAGTCTCAAACTTCTGGCCTCAAGCAATCCTCCTGCCTTGGCCTCCCAAATTGCTGGGATTATAGGCACAAGCCACCATACCCAGTCTTAATTTGTTTTAGTATAAAGATACATATCTCACTTGAGCTCAGGAGTTTGAGACCATCCTAGGCAACATTGGGCGACCCCCGTCTCTATAAAAAATAATATAGGCCGGGGGTGGTGGCTCATGCCTGTAATCCCAACACTTTGGGAGGCCAAGGCGGGCAGATCACGAGGTCAGGAGTTCGAGACCAGCTTGGCCAATATGGTAAAACCCCGTCTCTGCTAAAAATACAAAAATTAGCTGGACGTGGTGGGGCACGCTTGTAGTCCCAGCTACTTGGGAGCCTGAGGCAGGAGAATCGCTTGAGCCCGGGAGGTGGAGGTTGCAGTGAGCTGTGATTGCACCACTGCATTCCAGCCTGGGTGACAGAGCAAGACCCTGTCTTAAAAAAAATAGCAAAAAATTACAAAAGGAAGATACACATCTAAACCAGCATCTGCAGCTGGCACCACCATCTGATTAAGGTTATGACATAGTTGTTCTCCAAGATCCATCTAGTTTTTTCAAGATGAATGCTCTGGTGTGTTAACTGAGATATCATGGGAGCCATTTACCACCCATCTTTCAGGGATCTGATGGTGGCATTAATCTCTGCAATTCCCCTTGAGGATACAGTGTTGCTTTTGGTTTACTATTTTGGCAACAGTGTTTCTACTCTTCTTACATAATAGTTCTACCCTTCCTATATAATAGCTCTCACATGGTTTGGCTGTGTCCGTGCCCAAAATCTCATCTTTAATTGTAATCCCCATAATGCCCACGTGTCAAGGGAGAGACCAGATGGAGGTAATTGAATCATGGGAGCTGTTTCCCCATGCTGTTCTCCTGATTGTGAGTGAGTTCTCGCAAGATCTGATGGTTTTATAAGTGTTTGGTAGTTCCTCCTGTGTTCATTCTCTCTCTTGCTGCCCTGTGAAGAGGGTGCCTTGCTTCCTCTTCACCTTCTACCATGATTACACGTTTCTTGAGGGCTCCCCAGCCATGCTGAACTGTGAGTCAATTAAACCTCTTTCTTTTATAAGTTACCCACTCTCGGGCAGTTCTTTATAGCAGTGTAAAAACAGACTAATACAAGCTCCTATTTTATTAGTCAGGGAATGGATGCGAGGATTCTTTTTGCTAGTTGTGAAATGTGTCTATGGGGAAATAATCACAGGATCATTTCCTGTGAGCATCATCGGACCCACTGTGAGATGGGCTTGGACCAAAACACACTTATCACCTGACCAGTAGACTAATGTGGTCAATATTAATTCAGAGTCAGTGTCTAATAACACGAGGAGGCCTGGGTTTTCCATTCCTTTAATGGCCAGTCACCCTGTTAAATGGCTGGAGGTCCCTCTGTGGAAGGTTTTGAGGATGATGTATGGTATGAAATTGTGATCAAGTTGCAGAGTCTTTCCTAAAAGGGATCTGGCCTCCACCTCAGCTAAGGAACTCTGGGTGTATGAACTGGCTGCAGTCTGGGAATTGGGTTCTTCCTACGATGGTCACTCAAGTCAGATTTCTGATCATTTGGCTTTGACTTTCTCTGATGTTATAAATCAAGTCATACATCTGTAGGCTGCCCATCTGTTGCTTTTGTAGGACCTTTATGATCCATTAGCTACTGCTACCAACTCTGAGAGCCAAAATGCTCTAGTTGCCACTGTATCCCTGTGACCTATTAGGGTTATTGCCTCTGATGGTCAAGTGCTGCCATGTGACTTCTACTATGCAAGAATCCCATTATTCCCATTGAAATCAGGAAGCCCAATTCTATGGCGGTATCTCATGCCAGCATCTCTGGCCCACAGAGGATAGCCAACACAAAAATTTTTATGGATGTTGATGCTTCCTTCAGTAATACATTTCTGGGCCCTCCTGGTGTGTATGGTAGGGGTTGGCTGAGCAGACTGCAGATAATGAATTCCCTCCAGCATTCCCATCTCATTAAGCCAGGGATATGGTTCGGCTCTGTTTCCCCACCCAAACCTCATCTCAAATTGTGATTCCCATAATCCCTGTGTGTCAAGGGAGGGACCTGGCAGGAGATGATTGGATCATGGGGGGCAGTTTCCCCCATGCTGTTCTCATGATGAGTATGTTCTCACCACATCTGATGGTTTTATAGGTGTTTGACAGTTCCTCTTGCGCTCATGCTTGCTCTCTCTCTCCTGCCACCTTGTAAGACATGCCTGCTTCCCCTTCCGCCATGAATGTAAGTTTCCTGAGGCCTCCCCAGGCATGTTGAGCTGTGAGTCAATTAAACTTCTTTTATAAATTACCCAGTCTTGGGCATTTCTTTATAGCAGTGTGAGAACTGACTAGTACAGCCACCATACTCGTTTCTCTAAAGCATGCTAGGAAAATTCCAGCATCTGTGTCTAGGTCATGTTTCAGCCTGGCTTGGAGCCATTTGGTACTCAACACTCATCTCAGGATCGAAGCAAGAGAGAGATCTGCAATTATTCTAACACATTCAATAGAATTCATAGTGTTTGTGACAAGTAGGGGTGCTGTGTGGAACCTCTGAAAAGGTCTAATAGGAGAATCACAGTGTAAGCCCATAGAGTTTGAGAACAAAAGCATGACCATTTGAAAAGCAGTTTCATGCCTGGGTATGGTGTCTCATGCCTATAATGTCAGCACTTTGGGAGGCCAAAGTGGAAGGTTTGCTTCAGACCAAGAGTTTGAAAGCAGCCTGGGCAACATAGCAAGACCCATCTCTACAAAAACAATTTTAAAATTAGCTAGATGCAGTAGCATGCACTTGTAAGCCCAGTTACTTGGGAGGCTGAGGGAGGAGGATTGCCCGGGAGTTCAAGGTTGCAGTGAGCTATAATCATGCAACTGCACTCTAGCCTGGGTAATAGAGCAAGACCTTGTCTCAAACAAACAAAAAACAGTTCCTAGATTGCTACTGGACATACTGAATCTGGAATTCCTGGAAAATGCGCTCATATTGATAAATTTGGCCCTAATTTTATAATTTGTCCCATTTGATCAATATCCTTATTGTCAATTCCAAGGGTCCTGTTAATACAAATTAGCAGAATCCTGCAACTCATTTGGCATACCCTGTACCTCTTCCTGGAATAGGTTTTATACTTCGCTTTCTGGGCTATACAGGAATTTCTTTTCCTTTTTAAAAAAAATTTTTTTTTACTTGGAAATAATTTCAAACTTACAGAAAATCTACATGAATAAAAATTGTATAAAAATTATTTATATACTTGCTATGAATTTAATCATGTCCCCCTCAAAGCAGACAGGTTGAAATCTAAACCCATAGTATCTCAGAATGTAACCTTATTTGGAAATAGGGTTTTTACAGAATTAAACAGATGTTTGACTTGAAGTCATTAGTGTGGGCCCTAATCTGATGTGTCCTTTTTCAAAGGGGAAATTTGGACACAGAGACAGGGAGAATGCCCTGTGAACATAAAGGCAGAGATCAATGTGACATGTCTATAAGTCAAGGAACCCCAAAGACTGCTAGCAAATCACCTAGAATCTAGGAAAGAAGCATGAACAGATTCTCTCCCACAGCCTTCAGAAGGAACCTTCCCTGCCAATGACTTGATCTCAGACTTCCACCCTGCAGAACAGAGACAAAAAATTTCTATTGTTTAAGCCGCCTAGTTCATAGAATTTTGTTATGGCATTCCTAGCAAACAAACAAATACATATCCTTTACCTGGATTCACTTATTATTACCTTTTAATTTCATTTGCTTTATTATTTGTGCAGATGCTCACTCTCTCTCCATAAATACGTATGTATGTATAATATTTATACTGAAAAATTTGAGAATAAATTTTATACATCATAGCTCTTTACTCCTAGACATTTCACAGTATATTTTATAAGAAAATGGATATATATTTATGTGTGTGTGTGTATATATATATATATATAAAATTTTTTTTTTTTTGAGACAGAATCTTGCTCTGTCACCCAGGCTGGAGTACAGTGCCATGATCTTGGCTCACTGCAACCTCCACCTCCCAGGTTAATGTGATTTTTCTGCCTCAGCCTCCCAAATAGCTGGGAGTACACACACCCACCACCACACCCAGCTAATTATTGTATTTTATCAAGATGGGGTTTCACCATGTTGGCCAGGTTGGTGTCAAACTCCTGGCCTCAAGTGACCCACCCCCCTCAGCCTCCTAAAGTGCTGGAATTACAAGCATGAACTACTGCGCCCAGCTGGAAGTGGATATTCTTCTACATAGCCACAATGTAATTATCAATGTCAGTAAATTTAACCTTAATAAAATAGTTTCACCCATCTACCATCTCTATTCCAATATTTTAATTCACCAATAATGTCTTTTACAGCATTTCCTCCTCTAGTGGAGTCCAGTTGTGGATCAGGTGTTACATTCACTTTTCCTTTAGTGTTTTTTCCACAGCCTCTTTTTTTTTTTGTCTTTTATGACTTCGATATTTTTGAAGAATGTAGTTTGACTTCATTTTCTTTTAAATAGAACGTTCTTCATTCTGGGCGTGTTCAATCCTTCCTCATTTTTAGATTCATTTGTGTATTCCTGGCTGGAATACCACATATTTGATATGTCCTTCTTAGGGTATCATATCTGAAGGCATAAAATGTCTATTTGCCCGTCATTGACAACATTTATTTTGTTCCCTTGTTCAAGGTGCTGTCTAATTTCTCCATTCTATAATTACTATTTTTTCCCTGGCAACACTAAGCAAACTACGGGAACACATTCTAAGTTCATACAAATAATCTGTCCTAGAATTTATCTCTTTTTATATGCCTGGAGACAATGAAGGATAATGAGGTGAATCTTGTAGAATAGGTATCCCAACCCTCAGCCACTTACAGCCTAGCAGCAGAGATAAGAAGTTCCTAGGAGGCCATGATAGAAGCTTTCTGATTTCAACCCATGCCTTGGTTGAAAGTTCAAGACACCAAGCTTATCTTTTTCAAAGCTGCCAATCTACTTATTGTTTGTCATACTGATTAAATAAGATTTCCCATGTCTTTTCTGCCCACTGTACTCCATTTCATGCCATGGCAGGCCATAAATTGAAATTATGCCTTTTTAACTTCAATTACATGGAAACACTCTGCTCTTATATGGCTCCTGCTCCACCACCTTTCACTAATTATATCTTTGATTTCACTAAATGTATCTTTATACATCGTATACTCCAAAACATAGACTAATGATTTTTTATGCTTTTGTCTTTTAAATCACGTGGAAATAAAAATTGGTGTTGCAAACTAAAGTTATAATAATACTGGCTTTACAATTAAACCAGATATTTATCTTTACCAGAGATCTTTATTTCTTTATGTGGCTTCAAGTTACTGTCTTTTGTTCTTTCACTTTAATCTCAAGTATTACCTTTGGCATTTATTTCAGGGCATGTCTAATGGTAGTGAATGCCCTCAGTTTTTGTTTATCTGGGAATGTCTTAATTTCTCCCTCATTTTTGAAGGACAGTTTTGCCTGACGTGGAATTCTTGTTGACACTTATTTTTCTTTCAACACTTTGAATGTACCAACCCACTACCTTCGGTTTCCAAGGTTTTCTGATGACAAATCTGTTGGTCATTTTATTGAGAATTACTTGTATTGGATGAATTATTTATTTTTTGATGCTTTTGAGATTTTTTTTATCTTTGGCTTTTGACAGATTATAATGCATTTTTGTATAGGTCTCTGAGTTTATCTTACTTGGAGTTAGTTGAACTTTTTAGATTTGTGGATTCACATACAACATCAAAGTTTTTGGCCATTATTTCTTGAAATAATCTCTCTCCGCCTTTCTCTGTTTCTCTCTTCTATTTCTGTAATTTCCACAATGCATATGCTTGTCCACCTGATGTATTTCCTCAAGTTCCTTGGGCTCTGTTCACTTTTCTTCCGTTTTTTTCTTACTTTTCCTCAGAGGCAATAATTCAATTCTCCTACATTCAAGTTTGTTGATTCTTTCTTCTGCCTGCTCTAGTCTGCCTTTAAATTCATCTAGTGAATTTTCTATTTGAGTTATAATTTTCAGTTGCAGAATTTCTTTTTTGTTCTGCTTTGATTTTTGTCTCTTCATTGATATTCCATACATATTTCTGACTTTGTCCACATCTTCCTTTAGCTCTTTGAGCATCTTTAAGACAGCTGTTTTATTAAAGTGTTTTTCTGGTAAGTCCACCATCTGAACTTCCTCAGGGATGGTTTCAGTCTATTTGTTTTACCTTTGAATAGGCAACACTTTCTAGTTTCTTTTTGTGTCTTTTAATGTTTTCATTAAAAACTGCATATTTGGATTTTATAATTTGGTAACTCTGGAAAACAGATTTTTCTCCTTTTTGCTTTTCTTCTGTTTGTTTTTGTTGGCTGTTTTTAAATTTTTTTTTTCAGTGGGGTATTACCCTCTGTGTGAGATCAGCCTGAGATGTAAACTGAAGGTCTTCTCACATCTTTTCTGAGCCTATGTCTCAGGCATGTTTAGTGAGTTTCTATATTCCCACAAATATGCAGTTGCTTTTGAATGTCCAATCTTAAATGCCTGGCCTCCAAAGGTAGAAAAAGGGGGAAATAAATGAGAAAAAAAAGGCATTGTCTTTGTCAAAGAAAATTTATGGAAGGCCATTATTTGGACTAAGCTTCTGCTCTAGTTCCCAGCAGACCCGGCCAAACCTAAATGGACTCACTCATGCTAAGTGCCACATAATCAAACTGAACTTTGAAAAAGGCCATTTTCCCAAGAAACAGAAGATTCAGAGCAATTAGTTGTACTGAGCCAGCATAATAAGAAAGTTCCTTCTAAACCCTGTAAGGAAAATCATCTGGAAATTGATGCAGGATTTTTCCTTGACCCCTTTGCAGGACTTGCAACAGGGGTGCCCCATTTACTCAGGCTTCCACACTCAACTCCTTGTGGGAGGGAGCACATGAGCGAATGAGTGTAGGAACTGGCTGGCTGCTTTGGCGCTGGCAGGAGCAAACTCCAGGCAGGCCTGCAGCAGCATCCAGATGGGGGTGCCTGTGACCCCAAAACCCCAGAGGGTATGTTACAGTGCTCTCTTAGCTTCACCATCTGAGGACAGCAGAGTGCTATCAGCTCAGTGGTCCCTTTGCCTCATTGCATGGGGTGGCGGCCCTCCACCAGTGAGAGCAAAGGGCTAGTGTGAGCCTTTTTGGGTACTGCACTTGGTGGGTCCCGAACTCTTGTCCAGTACCCAAGAAAAGTGAGGTCACGTGGACAACTGAAGGCTGGTGAATGCGAAGATTTTTACTGAGCAATGAAAGTGGCTCTCAGTAGAGAAGGGAGCTGGAAAGCAGATGGGAAGGGCAGGTCACTCTCCCCTGAAGTCAAGTTGACTTTCTACTTCTCTCCTCAGAAGTCAAGTTGACTCTTCGATGTCCAGCTGCTTCTCTGAAGTCAAGTCACCTCTCCCTGACATCCAGCCATTTTTTCTCCTTACTGACTGAATCTGGGGTCTTTATAGCCACAGGATGGGGGGCAGGGTGGGCCATATGTAGTTCTGTAAAAGGCAACATTCAGTTGGTAAAAAGACACTATTTAGAAAGAACGAATCAGGAGAGAGCAGGCAAATGGGTACAGAAGTTCTCACTTTGCGCCACAGGTTTCAGGCTTTTCGTCTTGAAGGTGGAGTTTCACTGGGGACCTGCCCTTGTTTTCCTAGAGTTTCTCTGCTTTCTGCCTCTATCAAAGTAACCAGTATGCTTTTTTGTTCGTTTGTTTGTTTTTTGTTTTTGTTTTTGTTTGAGACAGAGTCTCACCCTGTCACCCAGGCTATAGTGCAGTGGTGTGGTTTTGGTTTACTGCAACCTCCACGTCCTGGGTTCAAGTGATTCTTGTGCCTTAGCCTCCCAAGTAACTAGGATGACAGGTGTGTGCATTTTTGTATTTTTAGTAGAGATGGGGTTACGCTACATTGGTCAGGCTGGTCTCAAACTCCTGGCCTCAAATGGTCCACCTGTGTCGGACTCCCAGAGTGCTGGGAGGACAGGCATGAGTCACCATGCCTGGCCCAGTCTGCTTGTTATTCCTTGTTTTTGCTTTCAGCCCTTTTCTCCTTATAAAGCCAAGTCTCTCTGCTCAGCTCACCAGAGCATTTATTCTATTTTGTAGAATGAAATGCTTCCTGATTCTAGAGTCACAAGTATAAGCCAATTGGATCTTTAACTCTGTAGTTTTTGTCTTTTAACATCTCTTTAAATCCGCTGGTAGCCACTTTGGCTGGAGTGGTATTAAACAATGGCAGTGGGAGTTGCAACAGTGGCTGCCTGCCTCTGTGTCTGCTTCTCTGTAACCAGAAGCACCAGTCATGATTACAACACAGATCCCCAACATTTGGAGAACAAAGTCCTTATTGCCCACTCCATATCCTAAAAGCCACTCTAGGTACCCTAACACAGCTGCCTGCCACAGAGCTGGGGGTGGGACGATGCATAGTTGCTGCTGCACTAGGCTGAAATTGATCAAAATTAACCACACCTTCCCCTGGAAACTGCAAGCCTTTGAGTGGAGTATAGAATTCCCAAATAGTTTTATCAGACAGATTCTGCCAGTACAATCACTGTCTCTCTCAAGAGACAGATCCCTGGTGCTTCCTGCTCTGCCACCTCCCCTGACATTCCAAGCTTATTTAAACTTACATTCTTGTACAGTTCCTTTTAAATTATGTGTTGAAATTCTAATTTAACATTTATGAAAACTGACTCTAAGTTGCTGTGTGGAATTTAGAAGTGTTGAAAGTCATAGTTGGAAATTAATTTTTAATAACATTTTAAGGCCTTCTTCAAGTGATATTCCAGGTTAGGCAAGGACAAAAGAAGGCATGTTTCTGTGTATAAATAAGACATACATATACCATAAAATCTAGTAGAGAAAGGATTGGGATCCTGGGGAACTAAAGCTTTTGAGACTATTGTAAAACCATCAACTTGCCATTATCTTAAAAATAAGAAGATAATTTAAAAATTTAAGTTTTAATTTAATTTAGATTAAATTTAAGTTTAAATTTAATTTAAATTTAATTTAGATTAAAAATCTTAATTGTTGTAGAGTAGCATCTCTTGTGACAGAGTGATCAAGCAGAGTCCCAATAATGAAGAAAAATTACTTTCTGAAAGTTTAATGTTCCTCTTGTATTAGGCCTTATTTTATGGCTTCATCTTACTTTTAAATATGTTTTCTTTGACTCCCTGCATTATTTATACACTATCATATTTTTGTTATTTCCATTAGCTTGATTTATTTCTCCTATTAGATGGCATTTCTTTGAGAGCAATCATTGTTTTAATTTTTTATGCTATACACTATTGGGTACAGCTATTTGATTAATGTTTGATAATTACTTATTTTGGATACAGGAAATCTAACACCTTGAAACTTGTGATTTATCAGAACAAATACTTTTATTTAAGAAGCTGCTACATTAGTATGAGTTCTGATGAGAGTGAAGGAAGACATTCTTGATATAGAGAATGAGTTCCTAATTATGGCTCAAAGTTCTCTCTTTTGTTTCTTCTTGATCCTATTGGACATGTAAATAATTCACTGACATGTATATAAGTCAATAATTTGGTATTTTAAGTTTGGTACTAAGGCATTAAACAAAATAAATTAAACCATTGAAAATTGGAAAAGGACACTATTATTAAATTTTAGCTGTGGAACACCTTGTAATAGTTTGAGAATCACCACCGTAAATCATCCAAATACAGATTGAGCATCCCTAATCAAAAAATCTGAAATCCAAAATGTTCCAAAATGCAAAACTTCTTTGAGCACCAACATGACACCAGAGTGGAAAATTCTACACCTGACCTCATGTGATGGGTCACAGGCAAAACCTTGTTTAATGCACAAAATTATTCAAAATAGTATGTAAGATTACCTTTAGGCTATGTGTATAAGGTGTATATGAAACATAAGTGAATTTTGTGTTTACACTTGGGTCCTATTCCTGAGATCTCTCAGTATGTATATGCAAATATCCCAAAATAAAAAAAATCTTAAATTTGAAACAATTCTGATCCCAAGCATTTCAGATAAATGATACTCTACCTATATACCATACATTTAACAAGTCAGTATTCAAACTTATTTCCTGGACAGTGTCTTTTGCTAAAACCAATTGTTTTTATTCATTATAATTGTGTAACACTTAAACTTTCTGAAAATAATACATAATCATTATAGGAAATTAGAAAAGTACAGAAAAGCACAAGGAAGAAAATAAAATCACTCGTAATTCCATCATTCAGAAATAGTCATTATTGCCATTAGGGAGGATCCATGCAGTCCGTTTTAAAAATCTTTTTCTCCACTTATATTCTGTACTTTTAAAGGAAAAGACAAGTAATCCGATAGAAAAAATGGGCAAGAGTTTTGAATAGGCACTTCATAAAGGAGTATATCTAAATGGCCAATAAAGCTATGAGAAATAAGGAAAATACGCATTCAAATCTCAACAAGATATTGCTACACAACCATACTATGATTAAGGGTAACAATAACCAGTATTATTAAGGATATGAACAATGGAAACTCTCACTGTGCTCATGAGAGTGACAAATGGTTATAGGCAATTTGGCGATCTGTTAGATATAATCTATAAAAGCTGAAGATCTACATATCACTTCATCTGGTTATTCTACTCCTAATTCGCTCAACAGAGTTATACGCTCCCTGTGTGATGAAAGACATCTAGAAGAATGTTTGTAGTAGCATATTCCCCAACTGGAAACTAAATGTCCTTCAAGAGCAGAGTGAATGAAGACATTGTGGTATATTCATGTAACCCATTAGAAAGGCTTTTTCCATTCCAATGTGTATACAGCAATGAAAAACGATTACTAGGTACAACAAGAGGGATGAGCTTCACAACCAAAATGTTGCGTGAAAGAGCCCAAGAACAAAAGAACGTATATTATATGATTCCATTTACATAATGTTTGAACTCAAACCAAACTAAATTATAGCGTTTACTGATATAAATGCAAGTGATGAAACTATGAAGAATGGAAATGATTACAATCCTATCAGGAATGTGGTTCATTTGCAGAGAAGGGAGGGTATAGAGATTGGGAAGTAGAAGGAGGGCATTTTGGGGATGCCTGAAAGATTTTAGTTCTAGACTTGGGTGGTGGTAACAGATATTCATTTTGTGATAAATCAGCTATCCCCATTTTTTCTGCACACAGTTATTTATGTGTGTTATATGGAATAGTAGAGATGTTTAAAAGGAAATGATAGTATTGCAGTAGACATTGCTTTTAAATTTGCTCTTTTCAAAACCATCTCACTAACGTTTTCGACATTATTAAGTGTTCTACATTTTTACGGCTGCATATTATTTCCTTGAGTTGATAATTTAACAAGCTCCTTATTATATATGACATTTAGTTATTTCTAGTTTTTTAAAACTATATAATAGTTCGCTGAACATCTTTGTTTATACACCTTTTCAAACTTTCATGATAATTTCTTTGGACTAAATTCTTAAAAGTGAAGTCATTTAAGTAAAGATTTTTAGAAAGGTTTTTTGGAAAAAAACTTTAATATTAAATATTGCCAAATTACTCTCCAAACAAGTTATGACAAACTAGATTCCTATCAGCATTGTAGGAGAATGCTACTTCTCTCCATGCTCAACGACATTAGGTATTGCCATTTTATTTTTATCTTTTCCAATATCATCAATCACACTCTTATTTTTTACTTGAACTTGCATTTCCTTGACAATAAGCAAGTTTGAACATTAAAAAATATGTTTATTGCTCAATGTAGGTCTTCTATGAAATATCTTCGCTCATTTTTAAAGTGAGCTAAGTTTTTTCTTATTAATTTTTTAAAGATTATTAAATAAGAATATTAATCATTTGCTAACATAGATGGACTTTTTATAGTGTGCCTTTTAATCTTATGATGTTTTAGAAATAATGTTTTTGTTGTAAAACATGGATATAGATGACCAAACAAAATGAAAACATAGCTTAGTGAATTATTCTAAAGCAAACATCTTTGTAATTACTTCCCAGGTGGAGAAAGAGAAGTTTGTCTCCCACAAAGCCCCTATATGCTCATCTTTATCTCCCTCCTTCCCCCAACAAGTAACCACTACCTGACTTGTATAAAATAACTTCTTTTATAGTTTGAACACCCAAGCGTGCATCCATAAACACTGTGGTTTAGTATTATCCATTAAAAATTAATATATCCCCTTTATTTGTTATTTTGAAAATGGAATATAATTTGCACACCATAAAATTCACCCTTTTAAAGCATACAATTCAGTGTTTCTTAGCACATTCTCGCAGTTGTGCGCTCACAATCAATATCTAACTCCAGAACATTTTCATCACTCCCAAGAGAAACTCTGTACCCATTAGCAGCCACTTCCTATTCCCGTTTCACCCTGGCACTGACAACCATTAATCCTTCTGTCCCTAAGGATGTGTTTTTTCTGGATATTTCATATAATGGAATCATATGAAATGTGATTTTTGTATCTGGCTTCTTTCACTTAGCATAAAATTTTCAAGGCTTATCCATGTTATAATAAGTATTAGTACTTCATTCCTTTTTATGGCCAAATAATATTCCATGGCATGTATATACCATACTCTGTTTATCCATTCATCAACTATTGGACATTGGTGTTGTTTCCAGTCTTTGGCTAGTATGAATAATGCTCCTATGAACATTTGTGTACAAGTTTTTGTGTGAACTTGTGTTTTCATTTCTCTTGGATATATACTTAGGAATAGAATTGCTGGATCATATGAGAACTCTACAGCTAACTTTTGGAAGAACTGCTAAACTTTTTTTCAACAGCAGCTGCACTATTTTATATTCTCACTAGCAATCTACAAGGATTCTAATTTCTCTGCCAACTCTCATTATATTAGTATGTTGTTTAAGGTTCTTTTATTCTATACTGTCTCCCACCCCATTTCTTTGTTTTCTTAACAATGCATTTATTGAAGAAACCAGACTATTTGATCTGTAGAGCTTCTCACGATTTGGGTTTTATTAAATGCATACTTATGGTGAAATTTTAAGTGTCATCTAATTTCTGCAAATTGGCAGCTGTATTCAGAGACTGGGTCAGACTAGGTTTGATGTATTTGGCAAGACTGTAGATGGTTTTATCAAGAGGCACGTGATGTCTGACGGTCTCTCTGATGGTGATGTTAACAGCTGCGAATGCTTTGTGCCTAGATTTAATAATTCACTGGGGATTATGAAATGTTGCTCGTCAAATTCTATCACTTCTCTTTCACTTGTTGGCTAGAATATGCTCATAAATATAATTTTTGTTACTCTCGTGCTATAATTCATATAGGATGCAGCTCATACAGGAGTGGAAAATTACATGCTTGATTCGTGTCCTTTATTAATTAGATCTGCAAGACAACTGGTTTCCTATCAACCTCTGAAAGTGATTAATTTCGGTTTTAAAAATATTAATTAGTTAGTATTCTTTTTTTTTTTTTTTTTCTGAGATGGAGTTTTGCTCATTGCCCACGCTGGACTACAATGGCATGATCTTGGCTCACTGCAACCCCTGCCTCCCAGGTTCAAGTGATTCTCCTGCCTCAGCCTCCCAAGTAGTGGGGGTTACAGGCGCCCGCCACCATGCCCAGATAATTTTTTGTGTTTTTAGTAGAGATGGTGTTTCAGTATGTTGACTAGGCTGGTCTCGAACTCCTGACCTCAGGTGATCCACCCACCTCAGCCTCCCAAAGTGTTGGGATTACAGGCGTGAGCCACTGCACCCAGCCCAATTAGTTAGTATTCTTATGAACTCTCGGGTTTAAATTTATTTGATGGGTTTCAGATCGTTGCAATGATTAACCTTCTTGAGAGCCTATTGTCTTATCTTTGGCCAGGAGAATCCTCTTTGAGTTGGCTGCACAGAGTTATTCTGTCAATACTCTAGTAGTTTTTGACAGCTTCCTTTTTACCTGACGTATTAGTCCATTTTCATGCTGCTAATAAAGACATACCTAAGACTGGGTAATTTATAAAGAAAAAGAGGCTTAATGGACTTGCAGTTCCATGAGGCTGGGAAGACATCACAATCATGGCAGAAGGTGAAAGGCACGTCTTACATGGTGGCAGGCAAGAGAGAATGAGAACCAAGCAAAAGAGGTTTCCCCTTATAAAACCATCAGGTCTCGTGAGACTTATTCATCACCACGAGAACAGTATGGGGGACACAATCCCCATGATTCAATTACCTCCCACCAGTTCCCTCCCACAACATGTGGGGATTATAGGAGCTACAATTCGAGATGAGATTTGGGTGGGGACACTGCCAAACCATATCAACTGCTATAACAAGATATTCCAGAGTCATCTTCTACTGCTTCTCTTTTAGATCTGTTAGCGATTTTTTAAAGATGCCTTTTTTTGTTTGTTTCTTTTTGTATCATTTTGTATTTTCATGGGAACTGTCTTCCAGTGTCCACTGTCAAGGTGTTCTGCTGTTCTTTACTGTGGATTTCTGTTGGCTGTTCTGTGGTGTTGCTGTTCTCACCCTGTCAGATGCCCGGTGGCTTCTCTCTGTTTCTTCCTGCAAAGATGTCAATACCATACAGGTATTGTGGCTGTTGGTGGTTTGTCCTTATCTGCTTGAATTTTGGGGTTTGTGGGCATACCCTCTCACCCAGGTTTATTGTTAATGTTATCCGTGATTTTGCCATTGCTAAATAGTTTCTCTGTCTATTGTTACATGGCAATTCAGAAAGAACCCAAAGCTATGTCACGTCTGCCACTGCCACATTCCCAGAATCTTCTGTGGTGTTTTTGGACTTGCAGAAGTCTTAAATTTTAATGTAGTCAGATTTATCAATCTTTAATGTTATGGGTTTATGCTTCTGCTTGTATGCTTAGAGAGGCTTTCTCCACTCTAAACTCAGATAAGTAATCTCTCATACATTTTTAAGTACTTTATTGGGTTTTTTTTGTACATTAAAAATGTAATCCATCTGTAATTTATTTTGGTGTTTGGTGAGATTTAGGGATCTGATTTTATTTTTCCAAGTAGCCTTTTCCAAAACCATTTATTGGATTATCTCAGAACTGATTTAAAAGGCCTCATTTAATCTAGACTAAACACTCTTTGTAGTTAGGTCTGCTTTAACCTCTTGAATCATTTCCATCAGTCTGTCTTCCACACAGTTTTAACGACCAAACATTATAATTTTCCATGTCTGCTAAGTGTGAGAACCTTTCTTTTATTAATCCTTTCTAACATTTTAAAACCATTCCTTCCCATTTATTCTTTAAGATGAATAGCTGAAAAATTTCATCAATCCCATGGTTATTTTGACTGGAATGGCAAATAATTTGGAGAGAAATAATATTTTCATAACATTAGAATGTTTCCATTCAGGGAAATAGTATATTTCTTCATTTATTCTAGTCTTCTCTTATGGTCCTTGGTAAAATTGTCAATTTATTCCTATAAGTCCTCCAAATCTCTTTGTGAATAGAAAAATATAATCCATTATCTCCTTCTTCTGAGAGGCAGAATTTGTTCCAGAGTCTGGGCTGCTGATTCCCCAAATGGGGTTAAATGTTGCATTGCTCCCCAGCTGGAAACCTGCAGAGACAGAGAATAAACGAGGTATGGCCACTGTGAGCATGTGACTTGCAGCTCTCTAACTTCAGGGAGCATAACTGTGCAAGGGCCGGAGCTGCAGTGCTCTGATGTGCGCTGCAACATTTGCACCAGGCCGTGTTACTCAGAGGTTGCGCCAAGCCAATGACAGGGTGTGGCTGAGATGCTGAGGCAGACTCATTTCTAGGAGACAGACTTCAGCCAGCTGACTTTAGCTTGAGGACTTCTCAAAAGCTCTGCTGAGATTGCCTTAAATTGCATGGCCATGGCTGTTTGGGATGTTTCCACTCAATTTTTCTCCCCTATTTCCTTCACTTGCGTCCTCTTTCCTTGTGTCAGTCTGTCGATCTGGTGGATCTCTAGGCCTTCTTGGCTCCCCACCTATTTTCTCCCACAGGTGTTTTCTCTAATACAAGTCTTGTATGTTTAATACCATGTTTGTATCTACTTCTTAGAGTACCTGGACTAACACACGTGACTTTGCAATTTCGTATTTTAAAATGATTTTACTCTTAAAATTTAATAAAAACATATCATATGGTTAAAATGTTGTACCAGTAAGTAGTTTCTCCACAGTAGAAGAGCTAATAAGTAGTTGAGCTGGGCATCAAATACTAGCTTTTGGTCTAACTCAAAAGCCCATTCTCAGCTCACACATGTGGTTTACACTTTGAAGGGCAGTATTATCGGGTTGGCACAGAGACTCCATATTAACCAGGAGAAGCATTTAAGGTGGGAATGAGAAGTTGGGACTGGAGTCTGGGCAATTTGAGTGCTTGGCTAGGGCATTTAAGGAGCTGTGAATTCTGGGTGAGCAGTGGCCTGTCATTCTACTTAAAGCAGAGTCTAAGTTTGTTGGTGGCAAGGGAATTTAGCATTTCAAAAGGTAGTTTGGAAATACGTGTATACAGAGTGTCAAATGAATGCCTTTTGATGCCGCATTTGCACTTCTAGAAATTTATGTGAAGAAAATAATTAAGAATATACTCAGCTATGGTACTATAATAATGTTCAATAAACTGCTGTTTGAAATAATGCAAAGTTGGAAACAATGTAAATGTCTAACAATAGAAGATTTGGTTAAATAAGTGATGATCTATACAAGTGTGTAAAAACATTTGAAATGATGTTACATGAATGTAACTGCTGATGTGAAAAGTGTTTACAATATGCTTTTAAATGACGTATTTATTTACAGACAAGGGTTTCCCTACATTTCCCAGGCTGAAGTGCAGAGGTGCAATCACAGCTCACTGCAGCCTCGACTTCCCAGTCTCAGGTGAGCGTCCCCCTCAGCCTCCTGAGTAACTGGGACTACAAGTGTGTGCCACCACGCTCTGCTAATTTATTGTATTATTTTGTAGAGATGGGGTTTCTTCATGTTGCCCAAGCTGGTCTGGAACTTTTGGGCTCAAGAGGTCCACCCACCGTGGCCTCCCAAATTGTTGGGATTACAGATGTGAACCACCATGCCTGGGCACCATATGCTTTTTTTCTTCCAAAATCATTGTTGAATTAAAAAAAACCCTTTATTTTGAAATAAACTTATAAAAACATTGCAAAAACAGTAAAGATTTCTTTTCCTTAACCATTTTAAACGAAGTTGCCAACATGATGTCCCGATGGCCCTGAATACTTGTGTACTGTGGTTAGGTGTAGGTCATTCTCCTACCTAATCAACATACAACTATAAATATCAAGAAATTAACATTGATATCTGCATTAGGGTTCTCCAGCCTGGAAAAAACAAGGAAGGATTCTCCCCTAGAGCCTCCAGAGGGAGCTCAGCCCTGCTGACACACTGATTTTGGACTTCTGGACTGTAGAACTGTAGAGAAAACATTTCTGTTATTTTAAACCATGAAGCTTGTGATAATTTGTTACGGTAGCCTCAATAAACAAATATAATGTCCTTTCCTTGCTCTAGCCCTAGTATTAGCTATTTCTCAAGGAGCCCTGGTTCCTTGGTGTAGAATGTGTAATATACATGTACATCCATGAATTCACACTGATCTCTCTAGTTTCTACCTACAATCACAACTTTCACACCTGTCTTCTTTTTTCCCATATTAATACCTTCCTTCTCTAACAGTGAGAAACCACCTGGTTCTCAATATATTATTAGTTGAATCCCCCATATGTATGTAGATTAGCTCCCATTGTTACTGGTGGAGGGTGTCCAGGTTCTTGGTGTCTTTAACAAAACACACAAACAAAGCAAGGAAAGAATGAAGCAACAAAAACAGATTTATTGAAAACAAAACTACACTCCGCAGGGTAAAAGTGGGCTGAGCAAGCGGCTTAAGAGCCTGGTTACAGAATTTTCTGGGGTTTAAATACCCTCTAGAGATTTTCCATTGGTTACGTGGTGTACACCCAATGTAAATGAAGTAGTGGCCCTTGATCAGTCTGATTGGTTGTAGGGGGACCAATCAGAGGCTGAAGTGAAGTCACAAAGTTACACGCTATGCAAATGTCCGATTGGTTGCAGAAAGTGACCGACCAGAGGCTGAAGTACAGTTACAAAGTTATACTTCTATGCAAATGAAGGTTTGGCCTGTGACCAGCCCGATTGGTTGTGGGAGGGGACCAATCAGAGATACTTTGAAATTTTCATCTGCCACAGAGAAAAGGGGTGGTTTGCAAACGGAGTAGCCTCCGGTCCTTTTGTTACTTGGGCATGGAAAGTTAGGGTTTTCCTTTTGGTTTAGTTATAGGAAGTCAGTGTGAATCAGCCGTAGGTTCCCTGCCCCCAGACCCTATTCTCCTGCCTCACCATCACCACCAGTGCCCACCCCCTCACAGATGCTCTTCTCATCCTGCTTAGTCTTTAAATTCCTGTTTGGGAGCCGCCACGCAGCAGGCTGCCCCTCATGGTGGTGTCCTCCTCACTCAGTTGGATTATTTTTTTAATTTTTCTAATTTTTTAGTTAGTTTCTTTCTTTTTTTTTTTGAGGCAGGGTCTCACCCTGTTGCCCAGGCTGTAGTACAGTGGCACCATCTCAGATCTCAGCTCACTGCAACCTCTGCCTTCCAGGCTCAAGTGATCCTCCTACTTCACCCTCCGAAGTGGTTGGGGCTACGGGTGTGTGCCACCACGCCTGGATAATTTTTTTAATTTTTAATTTTTTGTAGAGGCAGAGGTCTCACTATATTGCCCAAGCTTATCTCGAACTCCTGGGCTAAAGCAATTCTCCCACTTCTGCCTCCCAGGGTGCTGGAATTATAGACATGAGCCACCGTGCCTGGCCCCACTTGAATTCTGACACTTTGCACGAGGCTGCCAATGTCACTCTCCACTCCTCTTCTACTCCTCCCCCTGCTGTCTCTGATGTACCCCATGCTGGGCTGCCACAGCCTGCCCTCCCTACCCTACCCTCACACTCAGCCACAGGGTGCCCCCCTCACTTGGTTCCACTTAATGATTTAATGATCTTGGACTCAGTTTTTCAGGAAGAAAAAGAAGAAGGAAAAGAGGAAAATAAAGGCAGAAAGGAAGACACCATCTACATTTTTAAGTGAAAAAAAAAGTCATACTCACATATTTGGGGGAAAATCTGTACAAGCAAAGAGAAAAATCTGGACATGCCTATGCTAAGATTATCCACAGTGACTGTCGCTGGGAGACTAGGTCTTGGGTTTACTTTCTTTCCTCTTTTTGCTGGACTTAATTTTCTTTTCTTCTCTTTGTCGTCCTCCCCCACCTTCTCCTTAAGAGGGGTGTTCAATGAGCACAATTTTTTTTTTTTTTTTTAGAGTCTCTCTCTGTTGCCCAGGCTGGAGTGCAGTGGTGCAATCTTGGCTAACTGCAACCTCCACGTCCCTGGTTGAAGGGATCCTCCTGCCCCAGCCTCCCGAGTAGCTGGGATTACAGGCATGCGTCACCACGCCCGGCTAATTTTTGTGTCACAGTCTGTTTTTGTAATAACTAAAATAACTAAAAACTTTATTTTTGAATATGAAAAACAGGGTCTATAATTAAACTCATTTTTTTTTCTGTCCTGTGTAGAGAGTAACTCAAATAGTATGGTTTTTAGGATTACTTGAGTTTTTCTTTTAACTTGAAAAATGGTTTTTGGAAGCTGGCCCACCCAGAAAATAATGCTGCTTACTTATTGTGTTAATTGCTTGAATCTGAGGGTGTATCTTTTTCTATCACTAACTGATATCTCTGACATTTTCCCAGCTGGTTTATTGATTCACTAAAAGATAAATCATTCATCTGTGCTGGGCAATGTGTAGAGTAAGAGAGAAAAATATAGAAAACAGGATTCTTGTTCTTTTTTATGCTCTCAAATTTAATACAATTTATTAACATTTTCACTTGTGTCAAGTAGAGCTGACTTGAATCTAGGCAAATACCAACCCAACTAAGAGCAAATACCAACCCAACTATAGCTCTTTACATTTCTACTCTGCAGATATTGGTGGGATGTATGTGGTTGATTGTAAGCAACCTGTTTTAGAAAGTTACATACATGCAAAAGCTTTGTGATATGTTATACTAATATAGCTCTGTAATATAGTTCCTGTTGCTCCAAATCTTTGTTTTCTTGAGTTACTTATGGTAGAATCAATTTCACTTTACATGTGGCTGTTGAAAACAGACTCCATTTAGAACGATTTATTCCATGAAGTCATGCTCTTTGCTCTTTGGAGCTTTCACCAGGGAAGTTTTATTTCTTTGTATTAGTGATTTTGGCCCGACGAAGCGTTTCTCCACTCTGACTGGTTTCTGAGTAAGCCACACTTGCCTGGGCCTTTTAGATTCCAGCTGTAGAAATTTTGAGCCTATTGAAAAATCGTTTCCTATTAACTCTGTAAAGGGAACCAAATGTGTAACACCCTTTAGCATTAGGTTTATATTTTTCTAGTACTTTTGTTTGGGTTCTTTTTTATCCTTGTGTCCAGTAACATTATTTGTAATGGTCCGTTTTCAGGGAGATTAATTACATTCTCGGTATATCTGCTTTCCTATTTAAAAATTTTCTTTCTGGAACAGGATTGGAAAATAATAGAAAACAGCTCACGCAGCTGCCTTAGTTACCAAGACAACAAAATGGAGAAATAACTGGCTGGTTGGCTTTTTTCTCTTTTTCTGAACTACCTTCCAAATACAGTCATCTCCTTCGTAAAAGCAACGTATCTGTTTGAAATAACTAGTTTGAGATTACTAGTTGATAGTTACTGTATTACTTTTGTCACAACAGTATTAAGTGCCCTGATTATAGTCTGAGGACAAAACAGTTTGTTTTTCTCCAAGTTTTCCTTTAAATTATTTAAAAAATTATATAGATAATACATTTATACATGTTCAGTATAAGAAAGTAAAACTTTACAGAGGTATAAAGAGTAAAAAGTGTAAGTCCTGCTTTCCAGGTCACTTATCTTGATAGATATGAACATATTGTAGTGAATATGATTTCAATAAATTGACTCTGAGTGAACTTCAGAGCAGTAATGTGTTCAGATCAGTAAGAACCATGTGTTAAATACAGATGTTAAAAGTTAAACATTTAAGAACCCCTGGCAGGGCATTGTGGCTCATGCCTGTTATCCCAGCACTTTGGGAGGCCAAGGCGGGTAGATCACATGAGGTCAGGAGTTTGAGACGAGCCTGGACAACATGGTGAAACCCTGTCTCTACTAAAAATAAAAACAATTAGCTAGGTGTGGTGGTGGGCTCCTGTAATCCCAGCTCCTTAGGAGGCTGAGGCAGGAGAATCTCTTGAACCTGGGAGGCGGAGGTTGCAGTGAGCCGAGATTGCACCATCGCACTCCAGCCTGGGCGACAAGAGCGAAACTCCATCTCATAATAATCATAATAAATACATAAGTAAATAACCCCCCCTTAACATTTATATAAGGAATATATGTTTCTTGTATAAAATTCAGAAAAAGACAAGCAAGAAAGTACAAATTACCCGTAATTGCAATACCCAGAAGTCACCCCCATTCAAATTTAGTTTCTAATTCTTTCAAGAGGATTAGTTTTTATTTTAAAGTCATACCAGATCATTAAATAAAAAATAAATATGTATTGCCATTCATAATAACAAAGCAAAAATAATAGCTGCTCTTATTAATACTTCCTATGTGTCAGCCCTGTAGTAAAAGCTTACATGCCTGTAAACACAACCATTTTGGGGTAACATTTGGCATATTAATTTGTGATCCATTCTTTCCTTTTGAATATAGGCATTTTTTTTTTTTTGAGACAGAGTTTCACTCTTGTTGCCCAGGCTGGAGTGCAATGGCGTGATCTCGGCTCACAGCAACCTCCGCTTCCTGGGTTCAAGCCATTCTCCTGCCTCAGCCTCCCAAGGAGCTGGGATTACAGGCATGTGCCACCACGCCTGGCTAATTTTGTATTTTTAGTAGAGATGGGGTTTCTCCATGTTGGTCAGGCTGGTCTCGAACTCCGGACCTCAGGCGATCCACCCGCCTCGGCCTCCGAAAGTGCTGGGATTACAGGCATGAGCCACCGCGCCCAGTCTATATAGGTATTTTGTAAAAGTATATAGTTATTGTTGTACTGTATAGACAATTAGAAGTCTAATTTTTGTTTAAAATTTTTCTGTGATTTATATATTATTGGAAATAATATATTTTTATATTACATTATCAGATAGCTTTTTAAGCATGCTTTTATTGGTTGTCTAATATTTCACTGAATGCATGTATGATTCATATATAATCATTTCCATGTTGTTGGACATTTATTATTTCTACCTTTTCATGTGGAGCTCTTTTTATATTATTATTCCTTAGAATAAATTACTTAGAATAAATTACTTCTAAAATCGATTTATCAGAAATGAATTTATATTATTATTATTATTATACGTTTTTAATATATTATTCCTTAGAATAAATTACTTCTTAAAATGGATTTATCAGAAATGAAATGATTGGGTCAAGGCTATGAATTGTTTTGGAGCTCTTGAATGTATTGCTAAATTGCCTTACCAAAGGGATACTGATTGATCCTGTCGTCATCATTACATAACAGCATTAGCGACTGTGTTTCCTATTCTTCTAATTTGATAGAAGCAAAATGACAACATGTATTTCGTTAGTTTCTCTTTGATTATGACTGAGTTTAGTTATTTATCCATGTTTACTAGTACTATTTCCTGTTTTAATGAATTTTTTTCTCTGTTATGATGCTGCATTTTATCCTAAAAATGTATGTCTTTTTTAAATCCCAAAAGTAATACACACTTATTTTAAAATTAAAACAATACAAAATGCAGATAAAAAACAGAACTTTCTCTCTTTTACTGCATCTCCTTAATCCAGGAGTGGAGGGGTATGTATATCTACATCTCCAGACCTTTCTCTAAGATAAGGAATTAAACCCTATCCGTTCTTTTTGATAGCGATGGAGGGGCTACGAGTTCGATATGGGTTCCTTTTCAAGCAAAGATAGTCACCTTTGTCTTATGTCCTTTATGTGTATATTTTCCATTTGTTGTTTACCTTTAAAGGTTAAACTAAATATTAATTATAATTCATTTTAAATTTTTTAAATTAGGCTTTTGTTGCTGTTGCAGTCAAATTTGCTCATCTTTTCCCTTGTGTTTTCATTTTTAATTCTTTTCACCTTACAATGGGCTTTTTCACCAAAAGGCTCACAAAATATTAAGTTCTGTCTTCTGCTAATATAAAATTGTGGTATATATTGTAAGATGATCTTCTGAAAGCTTTCTCCCCCCAAATGGTGAGTCATGTCCTCAAACGTTGGGCTGCATAATCCCGGTCTTTCTCAATGATTTGCAGTGCCTCCATCGTTCTATTTTAAGTTCAGAACTCTAAGAAGATCTTTCTCCAGTGTATCTTGTTTTATTGAGTTGTGTCATTTAATGTTATTTTTAAAAAGTGTTACATAAAAATAGGTCTGATATTTTAATAAGAGTAGATTTCCCTTTGTATAAAACACAGAAAAGTTTATGTATGCCTCCCTGGGAAATGTTTTTCCTCCAGAACTTGCCAAAATTTTTAAAAAGTGCTGTTAATATTTTATGATGTACATTAAATATGGATTAACATATAAAAATGAGATTACTCATTTTCTTATTTTCAGTTTAGAGCTTGAGTTCTGCTCAGATGTTTACTTCTCAGTGATGATGAGGCGGGGGACACAGCAGAGAGTTGGTACCTAATCAATACTGCTAATCTTGTTTTGCAGATGAAAAAACTAAGGACCTAACTAGGGTCTGTCTCATATGCATGACTGACTGCTATTATTGAAGAAAATTTGGCTTGCTTTCTTCCTCTGACTTTTGTAAACATCTCTTTTTAAGTATGAGAGTTAGAGCTTCTTGTTTCCTAATTCACAACACATCTTTTTCTCTTAAAGAATGGGTATCTAAATATTGCCATGTAAAAGTTTTAAGAGAATGTGGCATGTAGAGTGTCTAAATCATGTAAGAGCAGAGCTTAACTACAGCCAATTGAATTATGAGTGTTTAGATGTTCACATTCTCGTTCATTGATTAAAAACTTGATTTCAACATTTCAACTTGATTTCAACTGTGCCTAGCTGTGCAGCTAACATCTCAAATTATCTCTTATTATTTTTAAGTTGTGGTAAATATATGCAACATAAAATTTACCACATTGACCATTTTAAGTGTACATTTCAGTGGCATTAAGTATATTCACAATGTTGTACAGCCTTCACCATCATCCATCTCGAGAATCTTTTCATTATCCTACACAGAAAATGTACCATTAAATAAGTAGCTCCTCATTCTCTCCTCCTTAGTCCCTAATAACCTCTGTTCTACTTTTGTCTCTGTGTATTTCCCTATTCCATGTACCTCCTGTAAGTTAAATCATACAATATTTTCCCCTTAGTGTCTGTTTATTTCACTTAGCATAATGTTTTCAGGGTTCATTCATATAGTAGCAGGTATCACAATTTCATTTCTTTCATGGCTGAATAATATTCCATTATGTCTATACACCATATGTTGTTTATCCATTCATCTATTGATAAGCACAAAAGATGTTTCCACCTTTTGGCTATTGCAAATAATGCTACAGTGAACACTGAGTATCTGTTTGAGTCACTGTTCTCAATTGTTTTTATAAAATTTAAGTTCCGGGATACATGTGCAGAACGTGCAGGTTTGTTACCTAGGTATGTGTGTGCCATGGTGGTTTGCTGCACCTATCAACCCATTATCTAGCTTTTAAGCCCTGCATGGATTAGCTATTTGTCCTAATGTTCTCCCTCCCCTTGCCCCCCAGCCCCCAACAGGCCCTGCTGTGTGTTGTTCCCCTCCCTGTGTCCATATGTTCTCATTGTTCAGCTCCCACTTATGAGTGGGAACTTGTGGTATCTGGTTTTCTGTTCCTGTGTTAGTTTGCTGAGGATGGTGGTTTCTAGCTTCATCCATGTCCCTGCAAAGAACATGATCTCATTCCCTTTTATGGCTGCATAGTATTCCATCATGTATATGTACGACATTTTCTTTATCCAGTCTATAATTGATGGGCATTTGGGTTGGTTCCATGTCTTTGCTATTGTAAATAGTGCTGCAATAAACATGTGTGCATGTGTCTTTATAGTAGAATGATTCATATTCCTTTGGGTATATACCAAGTAATGGGATTGCTGGGTCAAATGGTATTTCTGGTTCTAGATCCTTGAGGAATCGCCACACTGCCTTCCACAGTGGTTGAACTAATTTACATTCCCACCAACAGTATAAAAGCGTTCCTATTTCTCCAAAGCTTCATCAGCATCTATTGTTTCTTGTCTTTTTAATAATTGCCATTCTTAGTGGCGTGAGATGGTATCTCATTGTGGTTTTGATTTGCATTTCTCTAATGATCAATGATGTTGAGCTTTTTTTTATCTGTTTGGCCACATAAATGTCTTCTTCTTCTTCTTTTTTTTTTTTTTTTTTTGAGACAGAGTCTTGCTCTGTTGCCCATGTTGGAGTGCAGTGGCACCATCTCGGCTCAATGCAACCTCTGCCTTCTGAGTTCAAGTGATTCTCCTGCCTCAGCCTCCTGAGTAGCTGGGATTACAGGCATGCACAACCATGCCCAGCTAACTTTTTGTATTTTTAGTAGAGACAGAGTTTCACCACGCTGGGAAGGCTGATCTCGAACTCCTCACCTCATGATCTGCCCGACTCAGCCTCCCAAAGTGCAGGGATTACAGGCATGAGCCAGTGTGCCCGGCCAGTGTATTTTTTTTGAGAAGTTGTCTGTTCATATCCTTTGACCACTTTTTGATAGGGTCAAAGGGTTTGTTTTTTTCTTGTAAATTTGTTTAGGTTCCTTGTAGATTCTGGATATTAGACCTTTGTCAGGTGGGTAGATTGCAAAAATTTTCTCCCATTCTGTAGGTTACCTGTTCACTCTGATGCGCATTTCTTTTGCTGTGCAGAAGCTCTTTAGTTTAATTAAATCCCATTTGTCAATTTTGGCTTTTTTTGTTTTTGCCAGGATACATTTAGATGGATACATTTAAGTCTTTAATCCATCTTGAGTTAATTTTTGTGTAAGGTGTAAGGAAGGGGTGCAGTTTCATTTTTCTGAATATGGCTAGCCAGTTTTCCCAGAACCATTTATTGAATAGGAGATCCTTTCCCCATTGCTTGCTTTTGTCAGGTTTGTCAAAGATCAGATGGTTGTAGATGTGTGGTGTTATTTCTGAGATCTCTGTTCTGTTCCACTGGTCTATATGTCTGTTTTGGTACCAGTACCATGCTGTTTTGGTTCTGGTAGCCTTGCAGTATAGTTTGAAGTGACATAGCATGATGCCTCCAGCTTTGTTCTTTTTATTTATAATTGTCTTGGCTATATGGGCTCTTTTTTGGTTCCATATGCAATTTAAAATAGTTTTTTCTAATTCTGTAAAGACTGTCAATGGTAGTTTGATAGGAATAGCATTGAATCTATAAATTACTTTGGGCAGTATGGCCATTTTCATGATATTGATTCTTCCTATCCATGAAGATGGAATGTTTTTCCATTTGTTTATGTCCTCTCTTATTTCCTTGAGCAGTGGTTTGTAGTTCTCCTTGAAGAGGTCCTTCACATCCCTTGTTAGCCATATTCCTAGGTATTTTATTCTCTTTGTAGCAATTGTGAATGTGAGTTCACTTACGATTTGGCTCTCTGCTTGTCTGTTGTTGGTACATAAGAATGCTTGTGATTTTTGCACATTGATTTTGTATCCTGACATTTTGCTGAAGTTGCTTATCAGCTTAAGAAGTTTTTGGACTGAGATGATGGGGTTTTCTAAATATACAATCATGTCATCTGCAAACAGACAATTTGACTTCTTCTCTTCCTATTTGACTACCCTTTATTTATTTCTCTTGTTTGATTGCCCTAGCCAGAACTTCCAATACTATGTTGAATAGGAGTGGTGAGAGAGGGCATCCTTGTCTCGGGCCAGTTTTCAAAGGGAATGCTTCAAGCTTTTGCCTATTCAGTACGATATTGGCTGTGGGCTTGTCTGAAATAGTTCTTATTATTTGGAGATATGTTCCATCAATACCAGGTTTATTGACTGTTCTCAGTTCTTTGGGGTATATACCTGAGAGAAGAATCGCTGGATCATATGGTAATTCTATGTTTAACTCTTTGAGGAACAAGTAACATTTTTTTTTCATAGCAGCTGTACTATTTTACACTCCCACTAGCAATGCACAAGAATTCCATTTTCTTCATATCCTGGCCAATATTTTGATTTGCATTTACTTAATGACTAATGATGTTAAACATCTTTTCATTGCTTATTAGCCACTATGTATTTTTCTTGGGGAAATGTCTGTTTAAGTCCCTTACCGCTCTGTGAATTGGGTTGTCTGGCTTGTTGTTGAGTTATACAAGTTCTTCATACATTGCAGATATTAATCCTTTATCAGGTACACGATTTGCAAATATTTTCTTCCACTCAGTGAGTTATTTTCTTATTCTTTTGTTGATGTCCTTTAAAGTACAAAAGTCTTAAAATTTGAAGTCCATTTTATTATTATTTTTGTTTGTTGCCTGTGGTTTTGGTGTTATAGCCAAGAAGTCACCACCAAATCCAAGTCATGAAGATTGTCTTCCAAGAGTTTTATAATTTACACTCTTCGATTTAGATCTTTGACCCATATTGAGTTAATTTTTTGTATATGCTGTAAAGCAAGTGTCCAACTTCATTCTTTTGCATGTGGATATCCAGGTTTCCCAGCATTGTTTGTTGAAAAAACTGTCTTTTCCTTATTGAATAATAAGGCGTTCTTGTCAAAAAATCAACTGACTACATTTTTAAGAGCTTTTTCCTGGGCTCTAGGTTCTATTCCATTGGTTTATATATATATTTTTATGCCAGTACCACACTGGGTTAATTACTGAAATTTTGTAGTAATTTTTGAAAAAGAAAGTGTGAGAACTCCGACTTTGTTCTTTTTCAAGCTTGTTTTGGCTCTTTGGTATCCCATGAGATTCCATAAGAATTTCAAGTTGGATTTTTCTATTTCTGAAAAAAAAAGTCCTTAGAATTTTGTAGTGTCTTTGTCTGGCTTTGGCAGTAGGGTAACACTGGCCTCATAGTTAGGAAATGTCTCCTTCTCTTAAATTTTCTGAAAGCGTTTAAGAAAGATTGGTGTTAATTCTTCTTAAATGTTTGGTAGAATTCACCAGTGAACCCATGTGGTCCTGGGTTTTTTTGTGTGTAATATTTATGATTACCAGTTGAATCTCCTTAGTATCTATATGTCTATTCAGATTTTCTGTTTCTTCATGGCTCAGTTTTGGTAGATTGTGTGTTTAGAAGAATTTGTCCACCTCATCTAGGTTATTCAATTTGTTGGCATACAATGGTTTATGGTATTCTTTTATCATTTTTATTTCTATAGAATCAGTAGTAATGCCTATTCATTTTCCTGTTACAATTGTATTATGATAAGAGCATGAAATACATTTTAAGGGAAAATTATTGAACTTAAATTTCTTATTATTAAATTCATGAAGTTTATAACTCAGGAGGGCAATCTTGGAACAAAAGTTTTGGAACCAAAATTCTCAAGTATCTTATGTCACAAAATAAAGTGCTTTTGTTGGTGGCTTGAGTCAGGATGAAAGGCTGGCTTTTAGTTTGAATTTTGCAGTGTTTCAAATACAGGAAATTTCTAGGTGTCACAGTTAAGACCCAATCTGACTTGGATGCAATTATATCCAAATGTGGCATTTCTGTTTTAGGAGTGATATCAGATGTGTCACATCCATGGATGTCATCAGTCTCCAGGTGATGAAGTAAGAAGGGTAGCATTTGCATAATTCATTGTATATTTAATTTATTACCCATTGTTTTATTTCTGCACTTACCTATAACTTGAATATGTATGGATACAAAGCCAATTCAATTTTTTTGGTAGTTCTTTAAGGCCTAGACAACAGATAACTGTCAATCAATAGATGTAAGGTCAAAAACTGCAAAACAATACTTTTATCTTTGATCATCACAGTAATAGTTTCTAGAAATTGGAAAGCATTTGAAAGAATTGAGAAAGCCAATATCCTTACGGTGGATGGAGAAAATCTTATTTTCTTAGTAGAGTTTAGAAGAGTCAATGGTATGATTTCAAACCAGTTCACATGATGGTATAAACTGGCATAATCGTTCAGTAAAGCAATATGGCAGTATCTTCAAGAGCTCTACAACTATTCATAATCTTGAGCCAATAATTTTATTGTTGATCAATACATTCTAAGAAATAATGCTAATTAAATATATAAAGATCTTGATATAAAAATAGAAAGACAGCTTTCTGTATAGTATTTTATAGTCCCCATAACATAATTGGTAAAGTTTAAGTAAAAGTATGGATTTGTTCACAGCTATAGAAGATTAAAATTAAATTTCATTAACAGGGCAACACACAGATGTTCAGGTACCTTATCCTCAGTCTACCTCCACAGTATTTTGTGAAGTGAAACATTAAGAAAAAAATAAAATTTATTTATCACTAGTGTTTCTATGTGATAATGTGGTCAGCAGTGTTTTGATGGCAAACTAAGATCTTTACATTAAGGAACAAAACATGAACTTATTTAGCAAGATAGAAAAGTAGAATGAGATATGAAAAAATAATTTCAGTATATAGTCTCTAAGGGTCATTTGAATCGGAAATTCTCTAGAACATTGATTTTGTCACAAGGGACATTTGTCAACCTCAGGAGACGTTTTTTGATTGTCTTGACTGGGGGTGGGGAGTGGGGGTGTGCTAGTGACATCTAGTGGTGGAAAGATCAGAGATGCTTGCTGCTAAACATTCTATGCTGGTACAGGACGGTCATCCACAGCTGCCCTGAATGGTCAGTAATGCTGAGGTCGAGAAACCAGCTCTAAAGAAAGTCATGCATATGCTTATGCTATCACAATTATTAATTTACAAGGATGAGAAGTCTCAAACAGGTAGATTTTGACTATGCTATTACTATGATCATGAGATGAAATTACAAGTGTGCTATATTTGAATTGCAGAAGGAAGGAAGTCCAGTATATGGATAATCAGTTACCAGAGACACATTCTATTCTCTACAAAGACTTCCTCTAATTCCACACCCACCACTAAATTATTCAAAATATAAAATTAGGACAAGTGTACAGTAGTATAAATGAGTTAACATCCATTTGCAAAGAGGTCTACATAAAAATATGTTGTCATAAGAGGTGTTACCCTCTCAGCTTTTTTTTTTAGTTTTTATTTTTTGAGATGGGGCCTCCCTCTGTCACCCAGGGTAGTGTAGTGGTGTGATCGTAGCTCACTGTAACCTTGAGCTCCTGTGTTCAGGGGATCCTCCTGCCTCAGCTTTCTGAGTACGGAGGACTGCAAGTGTGGACCACCACACCTGGCTAATAATTTTTTTTTTTTTTTAGGAGACAGGGATCTCGCTATGTTGCCCAGGCTAGTCTCGAACTCCTGGCCTCAAGTGATCCTCTCACCTCATTGTCCGGAGTAGCTGAGATTATAGTGGTGAACCACCATGCCTGGCACCCCCTCAGCTTTATTAAGGTATGATTGACAATTAAAAATGGCATATAATGTGATGCTTTGATATATGTATGCATTGTGAAATGATTAAATCAAGCTAATTAATATATCCATCACCTCACATGCTTATCATTTTCTCGTGGTAAGAACATTTAAGATCTAATCTCTTAGCAATTTCAAGTATACAATGCATTATTATTATAGTTACCATGCTATACAATAGATCTTCAGAACTTATTCATCCGTCTAACTGAAACTTAGTACTTTTTGCTGTTTGCTCTGAGAATCCTTGCTGGCGGCGTTTGCCCAGCATAACTTTGATAGGAACTACCTCGCTTTTAATTTGTCAGGAACTATCTCACTTCTGTTGTTATTTTCCCATTGCTCTAATATATTGACTTCGGAAACAAAAGACATCATTCTATTTATAGCATCCTGTTTTTAGTACTGGTATTTCCATTTAGAAAATATAGTAATTCTCAATCGCTGAAGATGTCAAATCCTAGCAAACGTAGAATTCCTACATTTGATGTTAACGTGGCTCTGGAAAAGTTGTTGGCTGAAAGAAGATTCATTTAATGAATCTGATTTTTTCCGAAATAGACGATTCAGATGATTCTGATGTTCATTCTGTTGAGAAATAACTCTAAGAACTGTTTTTATATTTTATTTTCACATTGAAAATCAGATTTACTTCAGCCTCAAGGAGCGTGTTTATGTAAAATTATATGAGTGCTGGCAGTGAGCTGCACTTTTTTTCGAAACGGTAAAAGCAACACCTCCCCAGTTCTCCTCCATAAGAGGTGTTTTTAATACCTAATATCATTATATTTGATACATACAATAATATGTAATGATATACACATCAGATATAAATATGTACATGATGATATAAGTAGATATTAGTAATGATGCATTAAATGAATACCCATAGCCTGCCACCCAACTTATGACTTAGGACATTACCAACACTGTAGGTTTCTATCTCCCCAAGAGGTAACCACTGTCTTGAACTTTAGATTTATTATTCCCATGCCTTATAAAAATAGTGAAATCATATATACATATCACTACATTGTATGCTGTTTTTGCTTTTCTTTTCCTATATAAAAATGGTATTAGAATGGAGGTAGTCTTTTGCAACTTGCTTTTCTTACTCAATATTTTTCATTTTATCACATGTAATTCATTCATGTTACTTCTGCATAACATTCCTTTGAGTACTTATTCCAAAATTTGGTTATGTTTTCCTGTTTATTATGTATATTATGTACACATTTAGGTCTGTTCGAGGCTAAATTGTTTTCCTCAAAATTGCATATGTTGAAGCTCTAACCCTCCCCAACCGTAGAATGTGACTGTATTGGAGATGGGACCTTCGAAAAGTTGATTAAGGCAGAATAAGGCGTTAGACTGGGCCCTAATCTAATCTGACTGGTATCCTTATAAGAAGAGGACATTGAGATTCACGGAGACACCAAGATTTGCACGTAGAGGAAAGACCCTGTGGGAACGCACCAAGAAGGCAGCCATCTGCAACCCAAGGAGGGAGGCCCCAGGAAAAGGCCCCTGCCGCCATCTTGATCCAGGACTTCCGCCATCTTGACCCAGGACTGCTACTCTCCCAAGCAGTGAGAAAAATCCATTTCTGTTGTTTAAGCCACTCAGCCTGTGGCATTTTGTTATGGCAGCTCCAGTAAGTGAATACAGGGTTGTATCTAGTTTTTAATGTTATGAACAATGCTGCTAAAAACATTTTAGTTTCTCTCCACATGTACCTCATACTTTCTTCTCCATATGCAAGAGTGGTACTGCTGGGTTGTCGAGTATACATATTTTTCTCTAGTAAGATAGTGCCTAAAAGTTTTCCACAGAAGTGTAAAATTTTAACATAACTCTACAATGTTGCGAATACTTAATATTGTCAGACTGAATTGTTGCTGTTCTTGATTTTTCTAAATTGAATTTTCTTTTTCTTCCTTACCTTGTTCATGGGTTCAGAAGTTATCTACCGTATTTCTTTTATTTTAGTGGTTACCTTTAGTATTTTACCTTACATCTTTTACATTTTTTTTTTGAGATGGAGTCTTGCTCTGTTGCCCAGGCTGGAGTGCAGTGGTGCGATCTCGGCTCACTGCAAGCTCTGCCTCCTGGGTTCACGCCATTCTCCTGCCTCAGCCTCCCCAGTAGCTAGGACTGCAGGCGCCAGCCACCACGCCCAGCAATTTTTTCCTGTATTTTTAGTAGAGATGGGGTCTCACCGTGTTAGCCAGGAAGGTCTCAATCTCCTGACCTTGTGATCCGTCCGCCTTGGCCTCCCAACGTGCTGGGATTACAGGCGTGAGCCACCGCGCCCGGCCAAAATTTTTTTTTAATATTTGTGGGTACATAGTAGGTGTATGTATTTATGGGACACATGAGATGTTCTGATACAGGCATGCAATGTGAAATAAGCACATCATGGAGAATGGAGTATCCATCCCCTCAAGCATTTATCCTTTGAGTTATAAACAATACAATTATACTCGTTAAGTTATTTTTAAATGTACAATTATTATTGGCTATAGTTATCCTGTTGTGATATCAAATAGTGAGTCTTATTCATTCTAATTTTTTGTACCCATTAACTATGCCTTCCTCCCCACCAGCCCCCCATTACCCTTCCCAGCCTTTGGCAACCATCCTTCTACTCTCTACGTCCGTGAGTTCAATTGTTTTGACTTTTAGATCCCACAAATAAGTGAGAACAGTGATGTTTGTCTTTCTGTGCCTGGCTTATTTCACTTAACATAATGATCTCCAGGTTTACTGTACATCTTTTAATCTAAAGTTAATCAGTGTCTTTCCCAGGATCATATAAGAGGCTTAGAACATTGTTGCAATCACACTTTCCCAACTTACATGGTACTGTTGTCTAGTGTTTTGTTTTAATTATGTTGTTTTAACTATGTTGCCCAGGCTAGATTCCAACTCCTGGGCTTAAGGAATCCTCCTACCTCAGCCTCCCAAGTAGCTGGGCCTATAGGTATGCATCACTGTACCTGGCTGTTTTTCTTTTTTTTAAATTTAAATACACACATCTTTCTCTGTTGCCCAGGCTGGAGTGCAGTGGTGTGATCACAGCTTACTACAGCCTTGCTTGAACTCTTGGACTCAAGTGATCCTCCTGCCTCATCTTCCCAAGTAGCTGAGACTACAGGCGTGCACCACCATGATGGGCTAATTTTTCTGTTTTTCACGGTAACTGGGTTTTGCCATGTTGCCCAGACTAGTCTCAAACTCCTGGGCTCAAGTAATCCAGTGCCTTGGCCTCCCAAAGTGCTGGGATTACAGACATGAGCCATCACGCCTGGGCTGTTTTCATTTTTTTCTTAACTTATGAAGCTAGACGCTATTATTCTATATAGGTAATATGTGCTTTAGATATACACATGTTTATCATTTTGTTTCTTTGTTCATTCATTCCTTCTTATATTTCACACTTTGCTCCTTCAGCTGGTTTTTGTTTTTGATTTTCTTTCATTTCTGAACATCTTTTAGAAGTACCATTAGTGAAGGTTCACTGGAGATAAATTCTGTTTTTGCTTATCTGAAAATGCCTTTCAGTTTTATTCTTGAAATACAGTTTTTTGGAGGTCATAATTCGAGGGCCATGGTGGTTTGCTGTCTGTATTTTTTATGTATTATTTGACATTTCAGTTCTCTGACTTCCATTTGTTGCTGTTAAGAAGACTGCTAACAGTCCGGTGATCATTCTGTATATGTATAGGTGACATTTTTTCTCACTGGGTGCTTTTTTTGAGATGGATCTTGCTCTGTCACCCAGGCTGGAGTGCAGTGGCATGATCTTGGCTCACTGCAACCTCCACCCTCCCTAGGTTCAAGCAATTGTCCTGTCTTAGCCTCTCAAGTAGCTGGGATTACAGGCACATATCACCACATCTGGCTAATTTTTTATATTTTTTGTAGAGACGGACGGGGTTTCACCATGTTGGCCAGGCTGATCTCAAACTCCTGACCTCAAGTGATCCACCAGCTCAGCCCCCAAAGTGCTGGAATTACAGGCATGAGCCACTCTGCCCGGCTTTACTGGGTGCTTTAATAGGATGACCTGGTATGTGAGTTTGCCTACGACAGCTGTTTTAAGTCTGTTTTCTTAGAACATCTATTAAGAATGCCCTCATTGACTCCAAAAAAAGTTCTAGTTTGGAGAATAAATAATATGGTTACCTCAGCATTTAAGATCTTTTTTTATCTTTCCTGTTCAGTTTCACTGAACTGTATCTGGAGTTAGGTTTATTTTAATTCATGACCCTTGATACATGGCATATTCTTTATTTCCCTTTTTTTCCTTGCAGCAACAACTTCTACTCTATCCTCATATGTGCTAATTCTCTCTTTAGCTATATCTAAATTGGCATTTTGCCCATCCATTGAGCCTTTAAAGCCAATTGATTATATTTTCAAAATCAATTCATTTAAAATAAATTATTGGCTCATTTATGATATGTTTTATTGCTTGTGCAATGCTCAGTTTTGTCTGTCTTTTATACAATCTTTTTTCTTCTTCATACAGATTTATTTTGTATTCTATATCTGATAATTCCAATATTAAATTCAGTTCTTTGGGTTATAAGTTATTTTTTCCTGGACTTTTTTTCATGCTGGCCTATTTCCTCATATGTTTGATGACTTTGCACCATGAACTTATATTTGATTGACTTTAATCAGTTGGAATCCTGAGGTCCTAAATCATGGAAGCTTTCCTCAGAAAGAATTTGTTTTACTTTCTGATGTGTGCCAGTGGGAGCTGCTAGTCTGGAACCACTTTAGACTGCTTCAAAAGACCCAGCTTAATGTGAGAGTCTCGGGTTTAGCTCCCAGACTTTGTGTTGAGCTCTAGGAATGTGGATTTTTCTGTTTTACCTTTCAGTTGTATTAGTTTCTGCTTCATGTACTTTGAAGTTCTGTTGTTTGATGCATGCACGTTTAGGATTGTTACGTCTTCTTGGCAAATTGATCCTTTAGCATTACGTAATACCCCTCTGAATCCCTGGTAATATTCCTTGTTCTGAAGCCTACTTCGTCTGCTGTTAGTATGGCCACTCTCACTTTTTTTTAGTTTGAGTTTGCATCTTATATCTTTTTCTACCCTTGTATTTTTAACCAATGTCTTTAAAGTTAGTTTCCTGTAGACAGCATAAAATTGGTTCTTGCTTTTTAAAAATTGTTCTAACAATCTGTCATGTAATTGAAGCTGATAGAGTTAATTTTTTCTATGGAATTTATATAGGAGAGGACTAAAATTTTTTGGTAGTATTGAAATAGTCACTTATTAATAATGAGATACATAAAAATTACTAAATTAGTCCACAGTATCAAAGTTCTAAATGTTGTCTAGCACATGATAGGTACTCAAAAAGCATGTATCACATGAAATGCTGAAAATGTTTAGGGTTACCTAGATTCAGCCAAATACATTTATTGAGCGCTTACTGTTTCCTAAACTGTATCAGGCGCCAGCCTAGTTGAAATAAAGAAAATATAGTACTGTGTTGACTTGCATTATTTCACCTTTCTTCCCGTTTCATTCTGAAATGATAGGTAGAAATGGGAGTGATAGAAGCAGTTTCTCAACAGCCCAGAATCTTAGAGGATAATTTGTGGCTGGCTTTTTTTTTTTGAGATGGAGTCTTGCTCTGTCGCCCAGGCTGGAGTGCAGTGGCGTGATCTTGGCTCACTGCAAGCTCCGCCTCCCGGGTTCATGCCATTCTTCTGCCCCAGCCTCCCGAGTAGCTGCAGTGACTGGTGTTTTAATTGCCCACAGCAATGTTTGCCCCTGGTTTTGATTGTAATTAGAAGCAGAATGTACTTTAAATAAATATTGATGCTTGATACGGAAGCTTTGCCTCAAATTTCCCCATTTCCACCCTCTTTCTCATCTCCCTGCTCCCATTTGACACTGCACTGGGACAGCAGCACCCTCATGTTGCTTGGTGTAACCGAAATGGCGGTGGGATTTGGAACTCAGAAGGTAGTTGTTAGAATCCTGGCTCAGCCATTAATTTGTTCTGGGAATTTCAGAACAAGTAGATTCAGATTGCTCAGCAACAAACACATAGAAGGCGCTAAGTCCTGACCCCTGTCCGATTAAAAAAATTATAAATCCAAGGATGATGTGAAACATACTTTTAAAGATAAAAAGAATCTGGATTATTTATTAGTGACTTCTTAGGAAATTGTTATTATGGAGAAATTTTAAACATCAAAAGTAAAGGGAATGGTATAATAGAACCCATGTTCTCATTATCAAAACATTTCGCCAATCTTTTTGCTTATCTCTAGCCCACCTTTTTTTTCCTTTTGTTTCCCAAAGCATTCTAAGGAAATAGATACCAAATAACAGGTACCAGGTCATTACACCTATAAATACTTCAGTATATAAGTAAATCTTTTAAAATTACATCTACTAAACTTTTCTTGGGTCCTACTCCCTCCTTATTAGATTAGGAAACTAAGAAGTTAGTGACTTGCCCAAGGCCATATAATTAAGTGGAAGAACTGGAGCGAGAACGTTAGTGTTCCTAATGCTTAATCCTGTATTCTTTCCCCATAACATGTTGGCTCTGAAGAACACCTATGTACTAACTGTCTTAGACTGTTCAGGCTGCTATAAGAATGTGGCTTACAAATAACACAAACTTATTTCTCACAACTCTGGCCGCTGAGAACTACAAGACGCAAGTGTCAGCAGATTTGGTGTCTGGTGAGGGCCTGCTTTTTGGTTCATAGATGGTACCTTCTAGAGGTGTCCTCGCATGGGGAAAGGGGTAAACAAGCTCCCTTGACCTCTTTTGTAAAGGCACTAATTTTATTCATCCATGAGGGCCCTGCCCTCGTGACCTAATCACCCTCCCTTTGGGTGCCACATCTCTTAATGCCATCACACTTGGGATCATGTTTCAATACAGGATTTTTGGGGAAATACAAATGTTCAGATCATAACACTAGCTAAAAAGAAAATTGCAATTAGATTCTCCACCAGTATCGTGTATCAGAATCATCTTAGACAATATTAGAAATGCAGGTTCCTGAGCCCCATCCCCAAAGGACCTCATTTCTTAGGGCTGAGCTGAAGCCAGCAGTGTGTTAGAGCCAACTTATTTCAGTTCCTGAGAGCCAACTATTAAATTTCAAGAATTTTATGAGCTCATTACTAAAAATCATTACAAATTAAATTGTAGAAGCTCACAGTTACATAAATTATGTTAAAAACAAGCATAATAAGTATACAAAACTCATCACTTCCTATTGACTTTACTACACGTTGCTATTATCTGTGCTTTTGAGGTTATGTCTATTACTTCTGTGTGGTGGAGATACTGATACTGGTGTGCTACTGTACATCTCTTCCCAACTTCACATGCACTGGTAGCTTGAAATTGGCCATGTGGGAATATTTACACCATGGCATTTGTCAAATACAACCAGGCTTGATTTATTGTTTTGTTGGTTATGTAGACAATGATGGAATAAATGTTAATAATGTAGATTAAACTTAAAGTGTGTCATGCCTGTGGTTGTTACATGATAAATAGTATAAACTTAAGGAAATTATTGTCCCAGTCTTCAAAAACTATCTTCCAGTTCATCAAAGAAGTCTCTCACATCATTAATAAGTCATGTGAGATTAAGAAATGATGCTTCATTTTTACTCATTAATGTAAACAAAATTATTATTATGATTTAAGAGACAAGGTCTTGCTCTGTCATCCAGGCTAGAGTGCAGCAGTATGAACTTAGTATTCTCAAGCTCCTGGACTGTAGCACTCCTGCTGCCTCAGCCTCCTGAGTAGCTGGGACTACAAGTATATTCCATGGTGCCTGGAGAAATTTAAAAAAAAAGTTTTTTAGAGACAGGGCCTCGCTACGTTGCTTAGGCTGATCTTGAACTCCTGGCCTCAAGTAATCCTTTCATCTGAGTAAACAAAATTATTACCCAACATTCAATTGGAACTATACTTGTTCATCTCTTGCAGCCATAGGCTGACTGCAGATACAAGAGTTTAGCAAAAGCCAACAAAAGCATTTTGTAAGATTTATTACATTTACAATAAAGAATATTGGATGTATTATTACTTGTAAATTAGGTCCTACACATTCTCTTATCAGTAATATTTTCTAGCATACCTCTATATAAAACCCTGGAAACTGCATTTCAAATTAGCATCTCAGATACACTCATGCATACTAAATTTGGAGAACCACTGTTTTAGTCATTGAACAAAAAAATCAGGATCACTTAATTTAGTCTCCAAAGGTTCTTCCTGATTTTTACTGAAAGCAAGATAGAGAACATGTTCTTTCAAATGCAGAGGCCTGTTTTTTAAATTTAAAAATTAATTTTAAAGTAGTTGTAGAGAGGTATAATTAACATACAAAAAATTGGCACACTTTAGCATACGCAAGTTGCTAAGCTTCGACATATGTATACCCCCGTGAAACCATCACCACAATCAAGATTGTGAATATATCCATCCCCCCTAAAAGTTTTCCAGTACCCCTTGGTAATTCTTTCCTTCCACGCCTTCTTACATACCCCATACCCAAGTAACCACTGATCTCCTTTCTGTCGCTATGTTAGTTTGCATTTTTTAGAATTTTGTATAAATGAAATCATACAATATGTGACTTTTTTGGTATGTTTATTTTTCTCAGCATAATGATTTTGAGACCTATCCTCGTTGGTGAGCGTCTGAGTAGTTAATTCCATTTTCTGATTGAGCAGTATCCCATTTTATTATATGCCACAATTTCTTTATTTACCTGCTAAGGACATTTGGGTTGTTTACAGTTTTTGCCTGTTACAGATAATACTGCTCATGATGCAGGGCAGGCAAATCCCAACACTGGGGCTTAGCGCAGGAGTGTTCTTGGCTTCACCCAGGAAAGTATTCAAGAGTGAGTAAGGCAGTGGTGTTAGACAGCAACTTTTATTGAAATGGCAGTGTACAGCAGTGGCAAATGTACAGCTCCTTGTGGAGCAGGGATACCCCATAGGCAGTGTGACCAGAGTAGCAGCCCAGAGGCAGGTCTGCACTGACATTTATACCCACTTTTAATGACATGCAAATTGAAGGATGCATTATGCAGCAATCTTTAGAAAATGGGTGGTAACTTCTGGGCCATTGGATTGTTGCCATGGAAGGGAGTGGTAACTTCCAGGTGTTGCCATGACAGTGGTAAACTGACATAACACAGTAGTGGGTGTGTCTAATGGAAAGCTGCTTCTGCCTCATTCTGTGTTTTAGCTAGTCCTCAACTCAGTCCAGTGTCCAAGCCCTATCTCTGTAGTCAAGTCCTACCTCCTGAGTCAAGTCCTTCCTCTTACCTCACAATGAACATTTGTGTTTAGATTTTTATATTGAAATGTATTTCCCTTTCTCTTAGATAAATATCTGGGAGTAGAATGGCTGGATCATATGGCTGATATGTGTTTAACTTTTTTTTTTTTTTTTTTTTTTTGAGACAGAGTCTCACTCTGTCACCCAGGCTGGAGTCCACTGGTGCAATCTCGGCTCACTGCAACCTCCACCTCCCCCAGGTTCAAGGGATTCTTCCTGCCTCGGCCTCCTGAGTAGCTGGTATTATAGGCGCCTGCCACCAAGCCCGGATAATTTTTGTATTTTTAATAGAGACGTAGTTTTGCCGTGTTGGCCAGGCTGGTCTCAGACTCTTGACCTCAGGTGATCTGCCCGTCTTGGCCTCCCAAAGTGCTGGGATTACAGGCGTGAGCCACTGCTCCCGGCTGATACGTGTTTAACTTTTTAAGAAACTACCACTCTGTTTTCCAAAATGGCAGAAATCAATTATTTTCTTCCCTGTCTCCCTCCGTCCTTTTCTTTCTTCCTCCTTTCTTAACCCCCACACCCCCGCAACTTATTTCTTTCTTTCTTTTGTGGTGGTGAGAAAGTATGAGTAATTAAGACTTTCATGTGAGCACTCCAAGCAAGCTAGTAATGTAACATAATTTATATCATTTAAGTAATTACTTAACATTTATTTAGTAGGAGTGGGAAAGTATTTTGTAGTAATGAACATTACCTAGAGTTAGAGTCACTTAATTTACTTCATTGGCTGATGATGAATTTGTTTAAATTTGTTTTCCACTTTTTCAGCAGTTCTAGTTTGCCCTTCCATTTCCTTTTGTGAGTTTCTGAACCAGACAACACCTTGGGAGGTATATTAAAGGGTTTAACATTTTGGATAATAAAAGATTCACTCACTTCTGTAAGTATTATGCCATGTATTATTTGGTTTTAGAATTTCAGTTGAAGGCAGCAAATTACTATTTAGCATGTATACATTGCCAAAATATTCAACAGAGTGTGTGTGTGTGTATGTGTGTGACTGTGTGCGTGCATGTGTGTGTGTGTGTGTGTGGTGGGGTGGTGTTTGTCTTCCAACTCCGAAATGCCTGTTTCAAGAGTAGTGAGACAATTACATTTTACTCGGGATAAGTGGGGCTGTATTTCCAATTTATTTTAGCGTTATGTGAGTTCCCCCTTATAGTTTCCTCTTATAGATTGTTGCTCTAAGAAGCTGCCTGGCAGACCTCTGCCTCTATCTGGCTCTGAATGTTCCCTTTGAAGAAAGAAAACCTAAAAGCTAAGACTAGGTATGCTATTATTATACAAGGAGACTTTTCAAAACCCCTAATCTAAACTAGCATAGCTTCAGTTCATTGCCAGTTAATTGTAACTAGAAATTCAGAGCCGCATCAAGGCATCTGCAAGGACATGCCCACAGGGAACCCTGACCAGAAAACATTTTTCTTTGTACGTGTGACAGCTTCTGACTTACTTCAAGATAAGGCATTATTTCCCACATTTTCTTGGAATGAGTTCGTTGGTGGCAGAACTGGAAGAGACGATGACCTAGCCAGTGCTATTGCTTACTGGAGCTTCAGGTAGCCCTCCCAGGAGGAGGTGGTTTCGGCAACCTCCTCCATCCTTGGGGAAAGAGGCAACAGGTGCAAATTCTCCCAGAAGTTACTGGACCAGTGCCCAATTCTTTGATGACTCGGCAATGTGGTGTTATTAAAATTTATTTTGTTATTTTATCTGTAATCACCATATTACTCTGAAAAATGTAACTTTTCATATAGCAGTAAAAGTTTATTATCCACCCCCAACACCCAGCCTTTTCCTGGGTGTTATTTTCCAGTGAATTGCAGAAGTTATGTAAAAGTCTTCAAAAAGCCCTTTATCAGCAAGGGAACAGTCTGTCTTTCTCTGCCCAATCAAGATAAAAGCTGTGTCTGAAGGGAAGCACTGTTTATAGGTCCTGGGACTGGTTGTCTTCCAAGATGCTAGTAAAAAAGAAAAAAAAAGTAGGAAGGAGAAGTATCTGTTCTGTGAGAGGGAAAAGAAACAAACACACAAAGAGCTTCCTTATTTTAGTTCTGTGAACACTGTTGATATGACTCTAGTTATTGGCTTAATAAAATGAGAGTACACAGATGGCACTAATTATCACCCCAATGAGAGTACAAAACATGGTATGATATGAGTAAAGAATGAAGCAAATGACTGAAGGAGTATATGCATTCATCGCCATCTTGTTGGCCTTTCCATTGTGATACTTCCTCACCCTTCTGACCACACATAGCACAGCAAAGGATCACTGGACTGGGAGTTGGGTGGGCAAATCCCAATTCTGAATTTATCTTGTTCTTAGAGGAAATATTAGAGATCAGTGGTTTCCTCCTATTTTCCTCCTATTATTCTTTCCTACCAAGAACCTATTTTTATTATTTCTGCCCTGTAAATAGGATGTTTTGAAAAATATTATTAGTTACCTCTTTTATCTCAGACTGTAAGGTATGGGAACCCCAGAGTTGTGTCCATGGGAAAGGTTGGCCTGAGTTTGAATCCTGACGTCATGGCTTACTAGCTGTATGACCTTGGGAATGTTCTATAACCTCTTTAAGCCTCAGTTTCTCTATAGGGTTGTGGCAAGTATATATTTATGGCTTAGAGCAGCGGTTCCCAATCTTCTTGGCACCAGGGACTGGTTTCGTGGAAAACAGTTTTTCCACGGGCAGGGGGTGGGGGATGAAATCTTCTACCTCAGATTATTAGGCATTAGTTAGATTCTCATAAACAGCCTACAACCTAGATCCCATGCATGTGCAATTCATGATAGGGTTCGTGCTCCTATGAGAATCTAATGCCACCGCAGATCTGACAGGAGGCAGAGCTCACGTGGTCATGCTCTCTTGCCTGCTGCTCACCTCCTGCTGTGCGGTCCAGTTCCTAACAGGCCAGAGACTGGTACTGGTTTGCAGCCTGGGGCTTGAGGACCCCTGGCTTAGAGCAGTGCCTGGAACATGGTGCAAGTCAAACTACAATAGTAATATGATGATGATGATGATGATGATGATGATGATACGGTTATTACTGCTATTATTGTTTGAACTAACCAGGGAGAAGGGTTGGCCCTTTTTAGAGTTGACTAGCAGTCCCACCTACACGTCCAAAAGAATATGGAAAACTGTGGTTTGAGTGGTGTTGCCGTATTGTTTAAGGACGTGTGGGAGTGAGCAACAGGAGTTTGGGTGCAGAGGTACTATTTTTCAGGTTGCTGAGGTCTACACTAATTTTTTGGGGGCTCTCAAGGTCAGAGAAGGGTTAGGGAGCAAAGTTAGAGTATTGCAGGTGGGGGAAAGTGACATAGAAAAAAAAAAAAGCAAGAAGGGGTCAAGGTATAGGTCAGATAGTCTGGGCTTCAAACTTCAGGGTTTGTTACCAGAGGGGGACTCTTACCTGCAGAAAACCATGTCCAACCATTAAAACTCCCTGTAAAACAAAGGTATTACTGCAAGAGAGTGCAGCTGGTGGAAGGCAGACACTCAAGGCAGGTCCAGACATGGTGAGCCCATCCTGCCCATGAACGGGCTGTGGTTCCTAACAGAGGGCACCATATTTGCTTAGGACAAACTCAGGTCTCTGTCATGGCCGATTGTAGGTTAAAGGTCTTGAGAGTCTATAACTGCAGGAGTGGGAAAAGTAGGGCTCATGATGTTTTTCCCATTTTTATTAACATTATTTCTCTATTCCATCTCTGATCCAAATATTTAACCAAACATTTACCGTCATTGAAGTATAATAAGTTTACCTGATATCTGATGGTGGTGATGCTAAAAGACAATCAGGATATGCAAATATACAGGATATATAAATATACAGGATATGCAAATATAGAGATACATATGCACTGTTCACTGCTTCTGCCTGCTTAATTCTGGGTTGGTTTCTAGGCCAAAAAACGCATGGTATGCTGGACACTCTGTGCTCAGTGACTCGGTCCCCATTCACATTCCAGAGTGTCCTGTGATGTCAACCGCGAATCAGCATAGGCTCATTGTGAAATGTCAGTGTAACCACATAGGTTTTATATGATTCTAGTAAAACTTTAATATTTACTTAGCTTTTTCAGCAGCATTGTGAGAAAATATGCCTCTTTTGTTGTTTTGAGGGCTCATAGATAGCTAAAGATACTTCTTGACAAACTCAATGGATACTATAGAATTTTTTTATCTTTTTTTGAGACGGAGTCTTGCTCTGTTGCCAGGCTGGAGTACAGTGGCGTGATCTCGGTCACTGCAGCGTTTGCCTCCAGGGTTCAAGCGATTCCCCTGCCTCAGCCTCCTGAGTAGCTGGGACTACAGGCACGTGCCACCACGTTGGGCTACTTTTTTTGTATTTTAGTAGAGATGGGGTTTCATCATATTGGCCAGGATGGTCTCAATCTCCTGACCTCGTGATCCGCACGCCTCGGCCTCCCACAATGCTAGGATTGCAGACATAAGCCACCACACCCCGCCTCAGAATTGTATACATGGAACCATTACCCACCTCTGGAAACTCTCTGACCACTGAGGCATCTCCCTTACTGGTTCTGGCTTTCCCATCATTCCTTCCCAGCATCCTTTACAGAATCCTCTAATGTAGGGGTATCCAATCTCCAGGCCATGGATGAGTATTGGTCTGTGGCCTATTAGGAACTGGGCTGCAGTCAGGAACAGCAGGAGGTGAGTGGTGAGTGGCGGGCCAGTGAGCAATGCTTCATCTGTATTTACAGCCACTCCCCATCACTCACATTACCACCTGAGCTCTGCCTCCTGTCAGATCAACAGCAGCATTAGATTCTCATAGGATCTCGAACCCTATTGTGAACTGCTCACGTGAGCTATCTAGGTTGTGAGCTCCTTATGAGAATCTAATGCCTGATGATCTGTCATTGTCTCTTGTCACCCCCAGATGGGACCATTTAGTTGCAGGAAAATGAGCTCAGGGCTCCCACTGATTCTACATTATGGTGAGTTGTATGATTATCTCATTATATATTACAATGTAATAATAATAGAAATAAAGTACACAATAAATGTAATGTGCTTGCATCATCTCAAAACCACCCCTGCCCCTGTGGTCCATGGAAAAATTCTCTTCCATGAAACCTGTCCCTGGTGCCAAAAAAGTTGGGGACCGCTGCTCAGATGCTCCCTGGATTGTGCTCTCGGCCACCACCTTGCACTGGATCTTCTCTCTCTAGTTGGTCTTTTCATTCTAATTATTTAAACAATTACATTTTTGTACATGGAGGACCTCCATTCTTTCTAGATCTCTAGCTCTAGCCTATCCTGAGTTCCAGATCTCTATTTCCAATTGATAACCAGACCTCTCCTCTGAGATATCGCACGGATTCCATCAAGGCTCAGCCACTTTTGCCATTGGTTTTTCCTGTTGGCTTAAACCAATCATAATTTATTTCCCTAGCCCTACTCAGAGCTGGGGCAGTGTTGATTCTCTCTTTTAGGGCCTCGTGGAGATGGGCTTTGAGCAAACTTAGGGCTCTTCCAGCAAGAAAGAAAGAATGTTGATTAAGCGACTAACAGTGTCTGCTCACATCCACAGATTTGCACCCTACTAAAATTCATATAATAAATTTTTTTCTGGCATAATAATTTTTTTTCTGGCATTCAAAGTCCCCCATTTCTAGACTCAGAACACTTTTAAAGTCTTGCCTTTCCTTTTAAATGTCCCACATGTTCTGGTCATTTTGGATCCTGTCCTTTGGATCAGGACTTGCCTAGGATTTCCCAATCTCTGCTTCAGTTACTTCTTGGGGACCACCTCCTATTTTCTCAGCCCATCCGAATTCTACTAACCTTTCAAGATCTCTTTCAAAAGCCACTTCTGGCTGGGTGCAGTGGCTTATGCCTGTAATCCCAGCACTTTGGGAGGCCGAGGCGAGCGGATCACGTGAGGTCAGGAGTTCGAGACCAGCCTGGCCAACATGACGAAACTCCATCTCTACTAAAAATACAAAAATTAGCTGGACGTGGTAGTGGGTACCTCTAATCTTAGCTACTGGGCAGGCTGAGGCAGGGGAATATGGAGGTAGACGTCGCAGTGAGCCGAGAATGCACCACTGCACTCCATCCTGGGTGACAGAATGAGACTCTGTCTCAAAAAAAAAAAAAAAAAAAAAAAAGCGTCAGTTCTAACGTGAAGCCATCTATGGACAATTCAGGGCTCTCTCTTTTTTCTACTTTTAATCCCTATATTTCCAGTCTTCTCTACTAGATTTTAGGTTTCTTGATAAAAACTATGCTTAGTCATTTGTGTGGTTCCCACTGTACTGGGCACACAGTAACTGCCTAACTTACTGTTGGATGAATAATGATTTGACTCGAACATTTTCTGGTTGTGTTTACAGAAAAAGCCAAACACATCTCATATAGCAAGGGAGGCATTACTGGCATCATCTGGTTTGAAGGCCAAATTTCTCCTCAATGGGACACGTTTGTGGCTATATACAGTGAATCCCCTCTGTGCAACAGGAAAGGAAATACCCTTGTTTCTGAAATTGGCAAAGCTTGTTTCCCACGTTATTGCCTTTGCCTGTCTTTTTCTTTTCTTGGCGGATAACGCACTTGTTGCTTTTCTTTAGACATTTCTTGTTTTTGGACGTATTGATACTGACTATACTCGCCCTTCCCTTCCTCAGGCTATTTTCCCTGTTCAGTGTTAATATTTTATACAGTAGCTCTTCTAGTATCCTTGAGTGTACCTTTATGCATCTTATTTCTACTATTGGTAATAAAGATTCTTATAATAATGTGTGTTGAAACATATTGTCTTATTAATGGAGAGTTTATCATAGTGTTTCATAGTGAAAGGGCACAGAGTAAGGTATGAAAGTGGGACAGGATTTTGTAGATATTGACTTAAATGATAAATATCTACTTTTTAAAGTGGTGCTAAAAATGCTTGGAAAGAAACAACAGTAATAATTTAAATAACCTATCCATCAGAATTTAAAAATTAAAGGTGGAGTAAAGGTTAGAAGACCTTTCTCTAAAATACTGAATTTTGAGTTATCAAAGGGAAACTATTTGAAAACTAGTTTTCCAATTGATAAATAAAGGTCTGGGTGAGCTAGATATGCACGTTGGTGAATTAGTGTAATTACTGTAGAAATAAAAGACACCGTTTTCAGCAGATCTGTGTTTAGATATCTGGATTTTATGTCAGGCAGATGCAGACCAGATCTAGATTAATCTCTGCTGCCCCACTCATCTTGTTTTCTGTACTAGTTCCCTCTGTTACCCTTTTGTTCTCTTCTATAGATTGGAGAAGTGACGACGCTGAGTGGACAGAAGTAGAATGAAAAACTCAACCTGTGAAGCACCCTGATGTACCAAATGACTTTTTTTTTTTCTTTTTGAGATGGAGTCTTGCTCTGTTGCCCAGGCTGGAGTGATCTTGGCTTACTGCAACCTCCGCCTCCCAGGTTCAAGTGATTCTCATGCCTCAGCCTCCCGAGTAGCTGGGATTACAGGTGCGCGCCCCCACGCCCGGCTGATGTTTGTATTTTTAGTAGAGACGGGGTTTCAACATGTTGGCCAGGCTGGTCTTGAGCTCCTGACTTCAGGTGATCCACCTGCCTCGGCCTCCCAAAGTGCTGGGATTATAGGCATGAGCCACTGCGCCTGGCCTGTACTAGATGACTTTTATGTGAGATCTCAGTTATGCAGTTGAAAGCGTTACACCAGAGAGCTGTGCCTGTTGTGCCATTTGGAGAAGAAAGCTCGGCAATGGTGCAGTGAGAGGGACACACGTTCCCCCTTTAGTCCTCCTCCTGGACTGAGCTGGAGAGAAACAGCACGAACAATGAAGAGTGTAAATTTGAAAATAGTAGGAAACAACTCGCTTATTTTAATGTGTATATTTAAAGGCGTTAATTCAAAACATCCAGAAGAAATTAAAAGCATCCCCTTTTCAGTCAGCAAATATTAACAAAGCCCCCACTATGTTTGAGTTGTGCTTATGGAATGAGGTCTTGAACATGTGTGACCTTTTTTTTCTAGAAGAGCAAAGTTGACCTCTCCAGGTCAAATGTTTATTTTACTCATTTAAAATAAAAAATTCATTTAGAAATATATTTCATATTTTCCATGTTCCTTAAGTAGACTCTATGGAATATAATTAGATCCTAGCTTAATGATTTACCACCCACAATAGTACTGTCTGGCCAGTATTTATGCTTGGGTACAACAATCCTCTTCCGTCTAATGAGCAGTCTCTAACTATACGGCACATTTGCTGTCATCTAAGAAATCAGATAACCCTGATTACTAGAACTGTATTTAAAGTAAGAGTCAACATGACATGAGTACGTGTCTTCGAAAATAATGTAATTGAGTTTTAATGAATGAGTTTCACAACTGTTCTTTCAGCTACTGAATGGCTCTGGGTCAAAGTTCTCAAAGACCCTGGTGAGGCTGAGAAGTCTAACCTTGAACTGTGTGAAGTATTTCTGTACCTAAAAATACCTATTCAAATATATTTGAAACAAGTTATTAAAGATATTAAACATATTGTACGTATCTTGCATTTTATAAATGTAAAAGTTTGCCACTTTATATATTGTTTTAGAATATATATTTTTATATGGGCTGCCCTATAAAAATGATGCCACGATGCCATATATTTTATTCCATTTTTTCCCTAAGGGGATAAAATCACTCTGACACCATGACTTGACTTATTTCCACAACTTTCTATATATTTCCTTACTATTACTGCATTATCAGCACCATATTAAGGTACACTTGTAATGTCCTTGTAAATTAAAATAACATATTTTGATTCTCAAATCATGTTTATGAAAAATGTTTAACCACATGACTAAAGCTAAACTCCATATAGAAACTTTTCTTTTTCTCACGACAGAGTCTTGCTCTATTGCCCAGGCTGGAGTGTGGGGGTGTGATCTCGGTTCACTGCAACCTCCCCTTCCAGGGTTCAAGCAATTCTCATGCCTCAGCCTCCTGAGTAGCTGGGATTACAGATGCCTGCCACCATGCCTGGCTAACTTTTGTATTTTTGAAGTAGAGATAGGGTTTCATCATGTTGGCCAGGCTGGTCTCAAACTCCTGACCTCAAGTGATCTGCCAGCCTCGGTCTCCCAAAGTGTTAGGATTACCGGTGTGAGCTACCATGCCCTGCCTTTTTTTTTTTTTGTAGTAATTATTATTATTATTTTAAAGAGTCTCTCTCTGTTGCCCAGACTAGAGTATAGTGGTGTGATCTTGGCTCACTTCAGCCTTGGCGTCCTGGGCTCAAGCGATCTTCCCTTCTCAGCCTCCCACGTAGCTGGGACTATGGCATATACCACCATACCTGGCTAAATTTAAAAAAATTTGTTTTGTAGAGAAAGGGTTTCACTATGTTGCCTAAGCTGGTCTCGAACTCCTGGCCTCAAGCAGTTTTCCAGCCTTAGCCTCCCAAAGTGCTGGGATTACAGGCATGAGCCACCATGCCTGGCCATACGTCTTAAAAATTGGTTTTTACACGTAGGTTTTGTGTTCAACCTGGTTGTTACTCTCCTTTGGTCTTTGAGGTGTAAAGGAACCCATCCTTCTATTAGGTTCACTGACTTCATTCTGCTAGACATTGTTAGGGCACTGGGGTTGCAGAGATGAGTTGGCCATTCTTTTCCCTCATACTCTGCTGCCTTTTCTAATGACGGACACTAAGTACCACCAATACTGCTTGATAATAGTGGCTTCCAAAGGGATAATCCAAAGGCTATTACACATCTACTTGCTTTTTTTTCCAGAAAAAAGTGTATCTTTTCTCACATTGTGTTACTTGGTTTCATAGTTTTATCACCTTTTCCGCTCTCTTACCATTTCATATATTAATTGTTGTCAAAATGTATAGGGGCACCAAACCCTTAGCTAGAACTGGCTTTATGAATTGATATGTATTGATACATACTGATATCACACATATTGTTGTGCACATTGCTATGCTTTTATATTACTATCCAAATGAAAAAATTTGGAAATGGTAACAAGGTACTGTTATAAGTTATAAGCCCCTAAAAAAGTAATTAATCCTGAAGTGAGCTCCCTCTTTTTTTTATTTGAGACAGAGTCTCATTCTGCCATCTCCGCTCACTGCAACCTCCGCCTCTCCGGTTCAAGTGATTCTGCTGCCTCAGCCTGCTGAGTAGTTGGGATTACAGGCATGCACCACCACACCTGGCTAATTTTTGTATTTTTAGTAGAGACAGCGTTTCATCATGTTGGCCAGGCTGGTCTCAAACTCCTGACCTCAGGCGATCCACTCACTTCGGCCTCCCAAAGTGCTGGGATTACAGGCGTGAGCCACCGCGCCCGGCCTCTATCTCTTTCTTTTAGATAACAGCTATAGAACCAATTGCAGCAACAAGGACGCCTCCTCCACCCTCCCCAAGCCTGTCCACATAGTCTAGAACCTGAGTCCAACCGTGTGTGTCTGTGGTGGGCCCTGGCAGTTACTGCTCAAGTCCTCTGGGCTGTCTTCCAGACCAGATTCCATGCTGAAACTGTATTTTCTAATTCTGCAGATATCACTGAGCAGAAGGACGGGAGATGCTTCAGGAGAGGAAAGAAAATCAATGCTTTGACAACACACCTGCCAATATAGGGAGGTGTAGGAATGCTTCGGTGGCAGTGGGAAGGCTCTGAAGAGGTTACTTGGTTACCCAAAGAGTGCTTGACTGTGAAGGTTCTAACCTTTACACAACTCATAACCAACGCCAGCCTCCATGTCCTGCCCTCCGTCTGCAAAATGGGGAGTATCATGATTTGCCTTAAGAGGGTGCTGTGTGATAATGTGGGAAGGAGCCTTGGCCAATGGCTTGTACCTATGTATGTGTGTACGTATGCTGTGTTAACTATTTATTACCTCCATTATGCAGCATTTTGGGGCAGTAGCAGAATAGACATATTTTTCATTCATTTGGAAAACACCCACTTCCCTGTTTCCCAAGTCTCAATTGAATTGCAGTGGGTATATTAGGTCACGAGGGTGAAGAGTTCACTCAGGGTGTGGGGTGGGGATAGGTCCACCTGGGGAGTCCAGGTGGGAAGCAAAACTTGCTTCAGGGATGCTTCCTGCAGGTAAGCAGGAGCTTAATGGAAACCGAGCTGCTTCAAGACTGTGCCTATAGCCTCAGGACTGCCTACCCTGTGCCCACAATAAAGTCTGGTGCGCCGGAATCTCCCAGATGGAGACTCTGAGCCAGGCAGTAGAAGGAGCCATGGCCAGGTAGTAGAAAGAGCACTGCCTCAGGAGTCATAGGACTGGTTTCCAGCTCCGGTTCTGCGGTGGCTCAGCCCTGGGGCCTCTGCAAGTTGCTTAACCGCATCTGCAGGTGATGACCTCTTCCAGTCTAACTGACTCCTCCTGAGTCCCCCTCAATTACACTGAAAATTGGCGATCCTATTTCCCAACTCCCTCTCCCACAGAGATGCGCTGGAGCACTTACAGATAAAAGGCGACCTGTGGCCCTGGAGGGTGCCTGCCTGTGTGTGCTGGAGGTGGCGGTGGATCTTTTATTACCCAACACTCCACTTGCCTTTTTAGCCTTTCCTCTCCCTCTTCTCTCCTGGCCTCCCAGTGGCCGTCAGGGGTCCCTGCAGACATCGCTTACCCACAGTGGTGCGGTGTGAGAGTTACAGGGGTTCCTGACCTTCGCTGTAAGTAAAAGCTCTCTAGGGGAGGCGTTATAGCTGACCAGGGCAGCAGAGACCGCGACTAAAGCGTGAATTCCCCGAAGTGCGATTTACAAAGTTTTTGCATGGAAGTCGGCGCTCGGCGGGGAGGGCAGCCAAGGGAACAGAGCGGGTGGAGCAGGGGGATGGGGAACTCTGTCCTGCAAGAGTAAGGACCCCATGGAGATTGGACACCTCTCTCCTGCAACTCGGGCCACGCCACAGTGTCCTAGTCTCTAAACTTCTCCGGCTCTTGGTGTCCAGTCACGCGTAAACCGCCCCTGGTGTCCGAGCGCGGCCCCTTCCGAGAGTGACAGGCTTCGGCCAGGGCGCCGCTCCGACGGGCGCAGGGACGCACTGCAGAGAGGCCGTGGGTGACGCGGAGGTACGCGGCCAACCGCGACCCCAGCCCGGCCTTGGCCGCCCCCGCCGGACCTACCCTGCGGCGGGGCGCCAGGCTTGGCCGCTGTTGCGCCCGCCCGCCCGAGCCGCCGCCGCCGCCGCTGCTCCCCGCCCCCGGGGTCCCTGGAGGCTCCGCGGCTGCCGGAGCGGGAGGTGGAGCCGAGTCCGCGGCGGCCGCGCAGGAGGGAAAGTTCAGCGACGGCGGCAGCGGCCGGAGCCGGGCCGGGCAGCTAGCAGGGCGCTTCGGGTGAGTCGGGTCCCCTCCCGGGCCAGCCGGGCGCGGTGTGCCGCGCGGGGGCGTCAGTGGCGCCGGCAGATCCCCACAGCCCCGCGCGCCTAGCTCGCGCCCGCCCACCCCGCGACCTCGGGGTGGCTCGTGCAGCTGCGGAGGACGGTGCCGCGCCTGGCCTCCCTCCGCCGCTGCCCGCCGGGGGCCCAGGGCACGGGCAGGGGCCGGGGACCGGCTTGGCAGGCGGAGGGCGCGGCGCCTCCAGGTGGGCGCGCGGGGACGCGGAGGGAGCTTCCAGGGAGGGTCCGGGGCCGCTGCGCTCCCGGGGTCGGTTTGGCTTCACCAGCGTTTCTCGTGGCCTTCCGCTGTCTGATTGCTTTCTGCAAAACCCACTGAAAAGTAGCCTTTCCACGTGCCGCGCGATGACTGCGGTTATTGTATTATTGTGGCTGGGATGGAGAGGGTGGAGGGGGCGTGACGAGGGTGGCCGGTGGGCAGCGCGCTCGCCTGCCCGGGACCGGGCTAGTGGGGGATGTGGCTGAGGGTCACCGCTGCCCGAACATGCCCAGGGGACGTGCGATCGGTGGGCAGAAGCTGTTCGAGGGCATGATCTTGGGGTGGGATGGGGGCTAGAAGGGCGGGGAGGAGAGGAAAGCTGTAGGAAGCGGAGGCAAAGTTGTTTGTTTCCGTCGCACTTCCTGCACCTGCATTCCTGTCAGAGATTTTGAAGTTATCTTTTCATCGATGAGCAAAGAATGGTGAGAAAGGAAGAGATGTTAACAGCACTGTGCCTGCCAAAACAGTGAGCCTCGGGAAATACTCATAAGTGAAATACTAATAAAAAGCATGGAGTGGTTAAATTTCACAAACTCCACTTTTCTTCTGGTTTCAAAGCCTTGGTGCAGTTTTTACTTAACGTCATTAGATACGTCTAGATAATAAAGGTAATGAAGTGTTCTTTCACGGTTTTTTTTTTTAAACTGGAAATTTAAATTTAATTCTGTAGGATTTCGTCGACATTGTTCCTACAAGAAAGTCAAATTACCTTGGTGTTACTTGCAACAGTGAGCATTAATAAGCCCTGTGCAGTGCTGAAATGTTGCTAATTGGAGGGAGAAAGGTCCTTCAAACTTGGAAATAGACGCAGAAAGGCAAGATGAATTTTTATGTAAGCCTTAGGCATAAAAGGCGACTTGAACACGTTTTGTAATAGTGCATAATACACAGGGGACTAGGTGTTGGGCTGCCGGAAGATGGTCAATTCCTAGAAAGCAAGAGACGGGCCATACCCATTGTAAGATCACCGTACATATTTAATAATTCGTCTGCCTTGAGCTGCCACACCATATGTACTCCACATAATACAATATCAAAATACTTTAATCCTGTTCATCTTTGTGTGCTAAATCTTATATGTCTATTTGTAAAATGTATTAGTGGGTTTTAAAGCAGAATCTCCGACATTTGGATTCATCCGTTTACATTACAGTGCAGTGAGCTTGTGTCTTTGCTGTTCCAGAGACCTGAGCTCCAGGCGGCTTCTTCCACTTATTAATTGCATGACCTTGGGCAAGTTACTTCCCCTTTCCTAGCCTTGGTGTCCTAATTTGTAAAATGCCAATAGTATTCCTCACCTTATAGAGATGTTTAGCAGGAGGAAATTACATTTGGGAACTTATCCTAGTGCCCCGAGCACACAGTATGCACTTCATAAATGTTGTCTTTTTTTTTTTTTTTTTTTTTTTTTGTCTTTCTTTACATTTAGGGATCCCCAACTCCAGCATGTTTCAACATTTAAAAAAAATTGTAAAAATTCCTTCTTCTTTGTAACCCTACTTTCTATTCATTTATCTATTGATTATTTATTGGAGAATCTCAGATACTGCCCAGTATAGGTGTTGAAAATAAGGAGTTGAAACTTTGGGGCAATACTTCAGCTTTTTCTTGTATCTTCCTAAGAATCCATCCTAAGTTCATATGATGATGAATGATACTTACCAATCTTCATGTTGCTCTAGCTCTGTTCTTAATGCCATGTTATTACATTAAAAAGAAATATCAGTAAGGTCTGCAAGGGTCCTCATCTTTCCTCTTTCCTCCATGTCTAACACAGTGCCTGGCAGGGCATAAGGACTAAATAAATATTTGTTGATTTAAAATACAGAATGTAATGAAGTTATTCTTTGGATCACATCCTTCTTTTAATAATTCCTGATGAAAGGACCTTGAGATTCTAAATGTTAGCCCTACTATATATTAGGGCTAATAGAGGTTATTACAGAGGCAAAGCTAGGGTAGACTTTATTACCTATTGATTTTGCATTCATGATGAAGCAGTCTTATAAAACCTATAAAGCCGGGTTGGAGAGGAGCTTCGCCACTAGGGGACCTCTTCAGCATAGTGTATCACCCCAGGCTGTCATTTATTACCATTATCCTGTCCTTTAAGGTAGCAAAGAAATTTAACTTCCTGGGTTCACGACATGGAATACTTTATTAGAAAAGGGCAACCTTGTGTCAAAAGCATTAGCCAAAGGCCTAAAAATAAATTAAAGTGGTCTTAAATGATGGATTTGGTACTGTTTTTAATAATTTTAGAGTTAAGGGCTTAAAAGAGATGTAAGAATTTGGATTTGTATTTTATATATCCTAATTTCCAAATATATGCTTTTTTAAACTTTGAAAATATATATGTATATGGTTTTCATCTAGGTATTTCAGTGGTTTTCTTTGTATGTCTTTGGTACAGCTTATTTTTATCTTTTAATGTGTTTAAAATGGTTTTATTTCCTAAATAGATATTTGTATCATTAACAGCAAAAAAGTTGTTTTTCAAGGAATTTTATCTGGCTAGCAGAAGCTTCTGGTTATCTGTCCTTTTTAAAAAATGTCTCACATCTATAATCCCAGCGCTTTGGGAGGCTGAGGCAGGCAGATACCTTGAGGTAAGGAGTTTGAGACCAGCCTGGCCAACAGGGCGAAACCCCACCTCTACTAAAAATACAAAAATTAGCTGGGCATGGTGGCACATGCCTGTAATCCTAGCTACCCGGGAGGCTGAGGCAGGAGAATCGCCTGAACCAGGGAGGCGGAGGTTGCATTGAGCTGAGATCAGGCCACTGCCCTCCAGCCTGGGCAACAGAGCGAGACTGAAAAAAGAAAATGGAGCCACATTGAATCTCACCTTTAAAAAGTGTTTTATCACATTCCAAGATGCATCACTGAAAGTCACCTTTCTTCTATGTGTTTTTGAGAAGACTTCTTATTTCTAAATTCTAATGTGAATGAAGTTAGTCGAGCTTGAGAATATTTATTGAACAACTCCAAGGTGTTTTTATTTGTTTGTGTTTTTATTTGCCAGAAATAATTTGCTATTTGGTAGAAAAATTACTGACAATGTATATAAACAAACATTATTACTGAAAATATTGCCATATTGTATGTAAATGAATGAGAACATTATATTTTCAGGTTTTCCATGAAACTTAATTCGAGTGACAAACTAAATACCTTTAATCTGTAAGTAAAATTAGAAACAGTTAGACCCAGGTGTGGTGGTCCCAGCTACTTGGGAGGCTGAGGTAGTAGGATTTCTGAAGCACTCAATATATCAAAACCACGCTAGGCAATATCTCAAGACCTTGTCTCAGAAGCAAATGGACAAAACCCAACGAAACCACAACAAAAACTAGCAACAGAGAAAAGTTTAGCCCATTGTAGGTCTTAAATCTTACCAGTGGTTTTCCTGTCTTATCTAGCAGAATGTCTCTGAGTTTGGAAAATTATCAGACATCCAATTCTGATATTTACATGGCAGGATTTTACGGTAAGACAATCTGGTTTTTTTTAAAAAATCAAGGTCTAGGTCAGTAATCTTAGGAGAACAGGGTAAGAGGAATAACTTTTGGATGAAGGTTGTAGAACATTTTAAATATCATTTCCCTCTGATTAAGCTAAATGTTTTGGATTACTTTTAGGATTCTGCGCACATGAAAAGGTTATAGAGATCCCATTTGCACAGACTAATGCTTCCCCAGAACTGCAAGAGTTTGGCTTATCCTCAAACCCCCAGCTAGCAAAGGCCATGGTGTCTCCCTGCCTCTCCTTCATCTTCGCAGACTGAAGCTGAGTCCACGCCAAGATGATAGGTACAAAGCTTTATGCAGGATGGGACAATTTAGTTTGGGCAAGAGCTCCAAGCTGAACAAGGTTATGGATGGCTGAGTTGAGAGGAAATGAATGAGTCTTTAAACTTGGGAGTCATTTTTAGGAACCAGCACTTGGGAGTTGTGCCTGCACAAAAATAATTGTTTGCTAGAATTTCATGTTTTGAACCTATGACTTAGGGAAACATTACTTTGCTGCACAGATAATTTTTATTGCTGTTTTTAGGCAATGCATAAAACATAACATTCAGTTACCCTGGAGTCATATTTGATAATTTGTTTCATTTTCACACACAAAGGACATTTGAGTTGATGGAAGAAAAGAGAAGCAGGAAATGGGGAGGAGGTAGATGTGATTTGTCCATTTATACTGAGGGCCAGCCTTGTTTTTGTATTCTTAAGGCACGTGGGCACACAGCACTGCAGCTTGATACTAGGAACTGGTTACTGGTGATTTTTGTGGTATGTTCATCTATTCTGTTAATAAAATTACTAAAATGGTGGTCTTTGACTTAGGCTGTGTGTTCTCACAAAAGTGACTTTCTACTTCTGTTTCTCAAATATTAGAAACGTGCTAAAGTTAACGCATCAGTCAATAGGTCAACATACGTACACAGGGCTGTGCTAGGAACCCCTTCGTCTGTGGTAGACTGTTCCATGTCGGGTGCTCAGCCTGGTCAACAGAGAGTGGGCTGAAGTTCCTGCAGGGCACACTTTGCGGCACAACCTGCATAAGTTTGTGTGACGCTCTTGTCTGTAAAAGTGGTTAGAACAGTGTCTGGAGCATAGGAAAGGTTATATATGTGTGTGTATATATTTTATATATCATATAAGATATATAGTATATATTATATAAGATATGAATATATACTCATATATGATATGTCATATAATATCATATAATATATAACATTTTATATTATATATAATATAATAATGTATATCATTTATCATCATCATCATATCATATAAAAATATATTGTTATATATTATATAACATTGTATATTTTATCTACTATAGACAATTTTTAAAAATGTTATGTAATATAAATATATAAATATACACATGTATTAGTCTGTTCTCACAATGATGTAAAGAACTACCTGAGACTGGGTAATTTATGAAGAAAAGAGGTTCAGTTGACTCACAGTTCCAAAGGTTGCACAGGGGGCATGGCTGGGGAGGCCTCAGGAAACTTACAATCATGGCAGAAAGTGAAGGAGAGGCAAGCACATCTTCACATGGCAACAGGAGAGAGAGAGCCAAGGGGGAAGTGCTACACACTTGCAAACAACCAGATCTCATGAGAACTCTATCACGAGAACAGCAAGGGGGAAGTCTGCCGCTATGATTCAGTCACCTCCCACAAGGCCCCTCCTTCCATATGTGGGGATTATAATTTGACATGAGATTTCGGTGGGGGCATAGAACCCAACCATATCAATATATAACTGTTGGTTGTTATTAATATTATCATTATTGACTGCATTGCTTTCAGAGTAGATCATTCTAGTAGTCGCAATAATCTGGAACAGAGGATTCAGGTAAACTTAGCGCTTATAATAATGTTTGCAAAGGTAAGTAATTCATTTAAGGTTTCTTGTTTCGCTTCTGTCACAATTCTCTTCCCATGATAAAAACGGTTAACACTGATGGAGCCCTTAAATATGTAGCAGGTACTCTGCTTAGTGTGGTATGTGAGTTCTTCATTTAATCAGCACAGCCACCTTAGGAACTGTGCACTCTTATCATCTGCGTTTTACGGATGAGAACGCTAAGATTTAGGAAGCAAGTCAAGGTCAGCTAGTAAGTGGTGTAGCTGGGCCTTAGTGCACGTCTGCCTGGCTCCAGGACCTGAGCTCATGACTTCTTTGCTGTCTTTTCCAGCATAAATACTCATTGAATTGGCAGCCTGGAAAAGGTCTTTGAGTTCTGACATGCAAACATTGATTTTCCTTACAGTATTGTATTTGTCTCCATTTCTGGGCATGATGGAGCAAGATAACAAAATAATTTTTATCAGAGGGTCTGCTTCAGCACTTTTAATGTATAGGTTTGTGTATGTAGCTTTTTCTAGCAGCTCAAAAATGCAATGTAGAGCAACATCTCTGTTTAACATCTAACTTCCGATCAAGGTGTTTGGCAGGCATGTTACAAGCAGAAAGTATGAATAAGATCGAGTGTGTGGGTTGCAGAATATTAAGGTATTAAGGCTGGAGTCAGCCATTCATGCATTCATCTATCAAACATTTTTATGCACCTGTTCTATGAAGGTACTCTGCCAGACACTGCAGGGAATACCAAGATGTGAAGACAGTGCAGGAGAGAGGAAGGGTTTGAGACTTTGGTGGTGGACAACCTGGGGTTTGAATCCCAGCTCTACTCCTTACTGACTAGGGGGACCTTGTTCCATTACTAAACATCTCTGAGGCTTAGCTTCCTCATGTGCAAAATGGGGATAATAACATCTTATAGGCTTGTTGCAAGAATTAAACGAAAGGTATAGGTAAGGTTCCGAGCCACCAGGAAGTAGTAGGTACCAACCAATAGCAGTGTCCGTTTTCTTCTTCTCATCTGTCTCCTCTCAACCTCTCCCTTCCCTTCCCTCTTCCCCGCTGCCCCCTACTGACAGAGTGGTGGTAGAGATAAAAGTATCTAAAATCCAAGGCCGAGTGTGATCAGTTCCTTTAGAATGTCGTTTTCTGGTTCTTCCACCAGAGGCTGGGACAAACCTGACAGCAGTGTAGGGTCCCTGTGACCCTTTGTTGTTACCTAAGCTGGCCAAAGAGGATGGCCAGGAGGCAAATGGCAGCTTGGAGCCCAAGAGAGGTACCTATGGTGTAGAATAAGGTTTGGGTACAAGGGGTAAGGGAGAAGCTATTTTAAGAAGAAGTCAAGAACTCAGGTCTCATGGAAGTTGGAACAAGTCAGAAATGAAGTTGGAGGTCAGCTGAACAGAAGCGGTTGGGGATCCAGGATGCAGGGGGATATAAGTGACCATTTCTTGAGGGGTCCAAGGCTGGGTCAGAGGCTCAGCTGTGCTGCACCAGCTGGATGGCTTCTGCTAAAAAGCTCAGAGGAGAGCTGCAGCCTGGTGCATCTCCAGATTGGTGCATTGCCTCTTATGGACTTCTGGCTCCCTGGCCTCCCACTGCAGGATTTTTCCAAAAGCAGTACATCCCCTGTCAGTGAGTAGCTAAGTCAAAATTATTAGTTGTCTGGCAATAACTACTGGAGCTCTTTAAGGGGTAGCTATTGTCACAGGAGAAATGAGCCTCTCCCTGACCCCCTCTGAGCTGGGGATTTGGTTAATTACATCCAGGTCTGTTTCACTATGATGCAGAGAGCCAGATCCATGGAGGCCTGTATAGGGCCCTGCTTGCAGTTCTGTAGACTAGCCTGTGTTGTTAGATCAGGGATGGTCTTTAGAGAGATGTTCCAAGTGGTTTTATGATACTGAGCCGCCTTGTTTGGTGACCAGGGTAGATGTGTGTGGTAGGGAGGGAAAGTGGATTTTACAAAATCATTACAGTTCAGAAACGTCTACCTCAGCCAGGAGCAGGAAGCCTTAACTCGTTATTTATTATGCCATGGCACATAGGCATAAACCAGCCCTTCTGTGAATAAGCAAACAGAACCTGCCCAGGTGCAAGAGAAGCTTGATTCAGGCTTTTTTTTTTAAAGCCAAAAATTTAAAAACAGTATCGAATTGGAGAAGAGTTTGTTTCAAGCAAGTTACTGTAATTTTCAAAAGCCCATTTTGTGGAACTAATACAGTGTATTAAAATGAATTGAACAAGCAAACTTAAAAAAAAAAAACACAGAAGGACAGCTTAGTGGGAAGAGGAATAGTCCTTGAAATGAAACCCAAGTTAGTTCAAATGGTTCTTGGGAATATTAGTATCATGAGTACATGCAAAGCACACAAATAAGTGAAAAAATCTCGGAATGAATGAACTGGATAAGGAAACAGCACCCCTGGTGAATGGGCCTGGGAGACGGAGTCATGCACAACGACCTCACTTTTTAACTCTGTGAACTTGGGCAAGTTCCTTAATGTTTTTTTTTTTTTGAGATGGAGTCTCACTCTGTCACCCAGGTTGGAGTGTGGTGGTGCGATCTCGGCTCACTGCAACCTCTGCCTCCCGGGTTCAAGCGATCCTCCTGCCTCAGTCTCCCAAGTAGCTGGGATTACAGGCACTCGCCACCACACCCGGCTAATTTTTGTATTTTTAGCAGAGTAGAGGATTCACCATGTTGGCCAGGTTGGTCTTGAACTCCTGACCTGAGGTGATCCACCCTCCTTGATCTCCCAAAGTGCTGGGTTTACAGATGTGAGCCACTGCGCTCAGCCTACTTAATTCTTTAGATTCCTGTTTCTCATCCATAAAATGGAATAATCATGCTTATTTTACTGAGGGGTTTGCTGAGTCATTGAGCTAATGTACGTAAATGCTACAGCACATGGTAAATCCTTAATATATGTGTCAACTGTTATGGCAGAGAGGGACGGGAAAGAAACATGGAAAAGAAAACGAGTGTCAAGGAGCATTGGGAAGATGAGGAGGAGCATGCTATATTTGCTTTAGGCCTTATATCTCCTATTTCTATTCTTAGTTTTTTAAATGTGTAAGTTCTAGATTATTATAATCAAATATATCTTGAATACCTACTGTGTACCTGTCGCTATGATAAGGTGCTTGGGTTTGGAAACTAATCCCAGAAATCCCTTGATATCTTTGAAGTTCTAGACTGACAGGAATGACTAGAACTTGCTGTTAAAGGATGAATTCCTAATGTCCCCTGGCTACTTTAATTAGTTACCGGAAAGGTAATAGTTTTTCTTTTATTATTTACCATCTGCTCTTTATACAAGAGGATAGGAAAGAAATACATCTTCTTGGACCTCCATACGTATAAGTAACTTAAAATTTCCAGGTTACCTTTGAGCAACTTATATGCATAGAAGTAAGATTTTTTTTGAGTACGTTTATGGCTACATAATGGGTGAACAAGGGAGGAGACTTGTATTTTGCAGGGATATTTCTTTGGATATACCTATGACCTCCAAGTTGTCTAAAGCATACTTTTTGGCAGGGAGATTTCTTTCATCTTTTAACTAAACTTATGGCCCATTTATTTCTGGGCCTGAATAACAGGAATAACAGGAGAAAGCTGAGTTTGAGTCTTTATCTTTCTTTTTTTCTTTTCTTTTTTTTTTTACTTCTCCTCCAGTTGGAGGTGTAGACAAGTTTCTACAGTAGGAAACTAGCTTGGTGGAGACAGAGCTCTGTAGCTGACTCACTCTGTAGCCCTGGGCAAGTTCTTAATCCATAAAGTAGGAATTTAATCAAATGCAAAGCAATGAAATTTGTGGACTGTGAATTGATTCATCAGTCCAGAGGGTGGCTGAAGCCGAAATCTGAGCAGAAAATAGTCACTTTGTTGGATCGAGTAAGCTGGTTCAACATTTTGGGTCTGGGGTGCTCTCAAAAATAGCTTTCCTTAGTAGAGAACATATTATTCACTTAAGTAACTAAAAATCCTGAGGGTTTTCCCCATTAATATATCTGGGTATAAAAAGGAATTTATCCAGCTTCACTGGACTTAGCTTTTTGCATTCTTCCAAGAATGAGTCTGCACCAGTGCTTGGGGCATTATTAGTGTGGATAACAGAGGCCTCAGGGAACGCCTCCTTAGACCCTGTATGTAGAACCAGTATCTTCACGTTTGGTGTTCTAATGGAAAATGAAGTTGGAAATACCGGCTTTTTTTTTTGCTTTCTCTCCTACTCAAGACATTGACCTCTTGAACCAACTGCAGGAATTATTTGCTGGCTAAGTACCAGGACTGCATTTTTCCCCTGTCGTCTCAAGATGATGAATTTTACTGGTGCACAGAGGGTAACCAGTGACTTTTTGCACTTTTCACCAAGGTGGGATGGGATGTGAATGTGGGACCCTTGTAAAATTGTCTGGTTGCTTGAAAGCATGAGGAGGGGCTTCTTTGGCTTGTGGAGCTGGCCACCCACTAAAGTGAAGGCATGTGGGAGGCATTGGCTCTTTAAACCCCTTTCCCTGGTGTCCACAAGCGATGGTTGTGTTATTCTTGGGGCAGATGACATGCCAGTGTGTGAAACCACCAAGTATCGCCCTTGCTCTCCATCGTGTAGGAAAGAAGGTCAGAGAATGAATGGCAAAGCTTTGAATAAAGCTGATCGTGTTTGTTTATTTAATGTACATGAGCTAGAAATCTTTGAAATGGCAAAATCATGCATTTGAAAGAGATACTTCATTTCTGGAGGACTTGTAGGCTTCATTTAATAATCTTGTCAATAACATGTTGGAGTTGGAATTAATGAGAGAACCAATGATTAGCAAAAATATATCAACAGAAATAATAGCATCTCTGAGATCATTTGATCTAACAACAGTATTTTGCAGAAATAATAGCAGGTTTGAGATGACCTGTACTATCTGTCTAATCTGAAGATGAGCAACAGAGGCTCAGAGAGGCTAAGTGACTTATCTAAGATGACCCAGCTACTTAGTGGAATGAATGATGTTGTTGAGAATAGAACCCAGGTTCCTTATTTTCATCAATCTGCACGTGATGGGCTCTGCAACATCATTAGGTACCATGGCCAATAGGCAGATAGTTTTAGGTGCCCCTTATAATAATGAACTACCAAGATGCCTACTCTCAGGTTGTTCAGAATCTAGTTTTGGACTTCTACTGTATGCCTGGCATTGTGCTTGATGCTGGAGTTACATAGATGAACAGACAGTGGATTCTGACCCCAGGAGCTCACAGGAGACTGAAATACAAGGAAAGGAATATATTACTACGCTAGGGCTTACTGACCCATGGAGCATCTGAAACTGGTCCAATTTTCCCATAGAACTGATGTTTATTGCTTCTTTTGAATAAACATAGAAAACTTAAGAAACTTCCATTTGTGTTATCTGAGTTCCTTTCTCAGAAAACCAACCCTCAGGTCTCCCAGATATTATCAAGGAGCTGAAACTTAACCAGATCACCAAGTCTGAGCAAACCCCAGACCATTCATCCATCGTAATTGCCTAAGTGACCACCTGCTTCCTGTTGGCCAACTCCCCTTCCTTACCCCTCCCTAATTCCTGTTTTCCGATGTGTACTTATATTCCTTCCCTGCTATATAAACCCCTAATTTTAGTGGGTCAGGGAGATGCCGTGTGATTAAAACCTTCTTCCCTTGCAATACGCGTTTTCTCTGAGATCGACTTTCTGTGCTGTGAGCAGCAGGACCTGGACATGACCCCCTGGCATTTCAGTCACAGATATTCCCTGGGGATGGTGAGCCCTCACTGCGTACTTCAAGGCAGAGGGATGTATTTTTATTTCCTGTTTATTTTACAACATCAGAAATGGAAATGGTGGCAAAAAGCTTCATGAATCAAATGGACTCTAAATGACCTTAGCTTCATCTGTGCACATCCAGCTAGTGAATTAAAGTTTGAAATCCTTTTTTCTCTGTACTTCAAATCTATGATCTTCCTGGAAACACTTGGTAAGATTAGTTCTGAGGAGTTTCTTTAGGGGCACAAGTGAAAAATTGGATTGTATGCCTTGATTTGATAATTTACACATTGTGAGCATGTATCAAAAACCAAATGTACCCCATAAGTATGTACAATTATTATGTATCAAAAGTGGGATTGTATGTACCCAAAGAGAGATAAGATGTGGATATGGGTATCATTGTATCTAAGTCAAGGGGTGAATAGTTGGTTTTTCAGTTAAATTAAGGCTCGTTTTTCTTCTGGTAATCTGGAAATGGCAGCAGATTAGGAAGTTTTACTATGTGCTAAACCCTATTTGAAGTATTTTATTTGTAGAATTTATTTTTTCAACACATACAAAAATACTTGAAGAACTGAGATTCACATCGATGGAATACTTCGGGTCAGACGACTATGACAGGCTGAACCAGCATTGGAACAAATGTCTGTCTGTCTCTAAAGCTTTTACTCCCAAGATTGCTATGGTACCTTTATGGGTACCAAGAGTAATACGTTACGTGGCAGTGGATGTTTTAGCTGTGTTTACATTGTATTTGGACCAAATTATAGACTCCTGGAGTATAGGGACCATAGTTTACACAATTTTATAATGTCTTCCCAAAAGTGTGGCAAGTATAGTACAGTGTGTAGACACAGAAGGTTCTTGATAAAGGTGTATGGAAAGAGTAAATGTAGCAATTTAATAGTCAACATGGTGAGTAAAAACTGTGTTCGTGAATAGACAAATCACATTCAAGGATCCCCATATTTGAGTGTAAATCTGACCTTGGAGAAACCAAACAGAAAACTCACCTTTAGAAATCTCTTTTATTATAATTTTCAGTTTATAAGCATGCCTGTTTTCAACTATATTCCTACATACTATGTGTTTTCTTAAAAGTTACCTATAAATAAATTATATATTCATACTCTTGTGGCAGGCTGGCTGGATTTAATAGGGGCAGGAAGGCTTCCAACATGTTACGTGTTCTTGAAGGTAATAAAAAGGAGGACTAATTACCTAGCTGAAACGATTATAAGGGACGTGTTGGACATCTGGACTCTCTGGGATTCTGACATCAGCAAAAGTGGTTAAGAAAATATGGTTTTTGAGAAACAGCAAAGACCATCTATTTGAACCAAGTTGTTTTATTCAATCTATGACGTGGGTGTATCTGTGGTCCGCTGAGCATGAGGACAGGACTAAATAATGCATTGAGCTTCTGTGGTTGAAGTGGCAATTTTAAAGAACGTGGCTGGTGTTCACAGTTGGAGTCTGTGAGGTCTTACTTTTAATGATTATACCTTTCCCGTAGCCATCTGTCTTTCTTTTTAATAAGCAATACTCCTTATCGAGCCTGATTTGTGCACATTGATTGCACCATTATACTTGTTAAATATTAAAGAGTTTTTTTTCTCGTGTGAAGTCTAATTAGGCAAAGTATTCAGGGCAAGCCTGGCATTACCATTCAGAATAATAGTCTGGTCATAACATACCTCAGCTTTCTGGATCATTTGTCTTTTTTTTTCCTTTCTTATTAGAGTGCCAGTGTAGCAAATATATTGCATAAAAATTTGATGAAGGATTCAGTGCTATTGGGCCATTAAGAGAAATTATGCTACAAAGATTATGAAACCTCTAAAAAATGTGTGGAGAAATTTATCATCTATAGTTTGCATTTTTTATGAATCAGACTTCTGAAAAGATATATAGAATAGTTACTTGATGGCATTAATTTTATTCAATGGAGCCATCTTAAAGTTGCTTTAAATCATAAAAATATAAATTACAATGATGTTGGGAAGAAGAAAATAGCAATCAATAAGTAGTTACATTTTATACATGCTGATGATGAAAAGAGTATTTTTAGATATCAAACCACCATCACTGAAAGTCCATGTGGTGAACCCTTACTTACTTTCTCAACTTATCTGTTCTGTGCAGTCTAATTCAAAAGTATATTCGCATCGCTGATTTAGCTGCAAGTATTTTGTCTGTATAGGGCCAAAAGTAAGATTATGACTCACTCTAGTATCTTTGATAAGTTATCTGATATCATTTTGAGATGATCATCATAATGAATATGGTCCTTTCTTGAGATGTTCATAGTACTTTCTCATTTGTGCACACACACTCAGGCATACACATACACATGTAATCTGGGCTGACTGTCATGAACCACATTAGGAATAGGACCAGTTTATTGCTGCGTACTCTCAGGAATAAAAGCTTCCACTCCATACGTTTCATGTAATGTATGGTTATCGGACTAATAGATTTTTCCCTCTCAGTGGTTCCAGCAGCTCATGTTGGGGTTTTGAAAGTGGCTTTATCCCTTCACAATTGCAAATAGCAACAGTGTTCCTTTCCATTTATGCATTATGGAAATCAGCGTGTGTGTATCTCCCTAAAGTGAGAGTTTATTGTGAGTTGTTTTTGAATGTGGTCAAATCAAAATGAGATCTGGCTCTGAATGAAAACAGGGAAATAAAGATCAAACAAGGGAAGGGAATGTATAGATCATCTAGTCCAGTGTTTCTGCACCACAGAAGGAGAAGCCAAAGCTCAGAGAGGCAAAGAGGCTTCTCAGAGTTCACGTGGTTGCCAGTGGCAGAAGTGGAACAGGAGCTAGGCTCATTCCCTGTGCATTTTCTACAGTACAGTGGAGGCCCCTGATAGACGATGACATTTGGACCATTTCCCAGTTTCCAGACCCTTCACAGATATAATGTATTTTGGCCTGTAGGTTAGAAAGATGTTGAAGGAAGGATAGTTGCCTACGGCCTGCTGAAGACAGGGTTGGGATCATCTGCATCTGTCTAGGGTGATATTTTTTCATTGGCATATTGTTAGAAGCTGAAATCTCAATGATGAAAATTCCCAGGGCAGCCTTTGAGAATTTCAGGGTTCAGTAGCTAGTCAGAGAGGGCAGCAAACAGCTGTCGTGGGGGATGCATTGGCTGCAGCTGGGCCAGACCAGGTCTCAGCGGAGGAGTTGGGTGTTCTGTTTCAGAGGCCTGGCATCTTGCATATTCAGCCTGCAAGGGCAGTGATCAGGTCTTAAGTAAATCACCTAGCCAAGAGAGGCCCCACGGTTGAAAAGGACCCAAGAGATAAACAGGTTAATTTACCTTTGTAGGTAACTGTCACGGCAACTTGAATATTCAGTTTATACGGCACTGTGGTTTGGCACATTGGGTCTGAAGTCTAAGATGTCTGGGTTAGACCAGCTGCCATTTACTAGCTGTGGAATTTTGGCAAGTTACTTTACCACTTTGAGCCTCAGTTGTTTTGTCTATAAAATGGGAATGATAGCAAACATTTATATTGTGCTCACTGTGTGCCAAGCGCTGTCTCAGTTGTTTTGTCTGTAAAATGGGCATTATAACATTTATATTTTGCCTAGTGTATGCCAGTTGCTTTAGGAGAAAACCCTGTGAGGCAGGCACTACCATTATCCTCTCTTTATAGTGAGGAAACTGAGGCCCAAAGGGGCTTAATGTCTTGCTCAAGGTTACGCAGCTGTTCAGGGTTGAGCAGGGATTTGAATCTTGGCAGTCTGTTGCTTTTTATCACTTTCCTATGCGGCCTGTTGATAGGATTAAGATTATTGTGAGGATCGAATGGGATAAGCACACCAGAAATATTAGCTCTCATCATTATTAATTATAATAAAGCTAGCATTACCTTAATAACAAGAATAAAATCCATATGATCAGCCGTTTCTTTTCCTGTAGACAAGTTCCTTAAGTAAGAAGCCAGATCATAATTAGAAAGTTGCTTTGGCAATTACTGAAGTAATGTGAAAAGAATTCAGAAGCCTTTATTAAATGTCCCTATAGTTCATGGAGCCTTGGTCTAGCCGAGTAGACTGCCAGCAGGATCAGCTCCCCGACTCTTTTGGCTAAGACTCCCTTTTTTTTTTTTTTTTTTTGATGGAGTCTCACTCTTTCGCCCAGGCTGGAATTCAGTGGTGCAATCTCGGCTCACTGCAACCTCCGCTTCCCGGCTTCAAGCGATTCTTCTGACTCAGCCTCCAGAGTAGCTGGAATTACAGGTGTGTGCCACCACGCCCGGCTAATTTTTGTATTTTTAGTAGAGACGGGATTTCACCATCTTGGCTGGGCTGGTCTCAAACTCCTGACCTCGTGATCCATCCGCCTCAGCCTGCCAAAGTGCTGGAATTACAGGCGTAAGCCACTGTGCCCGGCTAAGACTCCCTTTTCACCTCTGAGGGCTTGCAGACTTTTCCTACTATAGGGAGCTCTGGAGTACCAGTGACCAACTCTGTGATGGTTTTCTCTGATCTATCCATGCAGATGATTAAAGTAGATTAGATAGGTTATGGGCATTGTCTGTGCCACTGGACTGCCACTGTAGAATTGTCTAAGAACAACACCCCAGTCTTGGAGGAAATCCTTCAACCTACGCACAAAAGTCAGTTTTTGACTTGCTTCCTCCATTTTGTTGAGTTCATGACCTCATTCTCAGAGTGTGATCTTATTTCCAAGTTGCTTTGCTATGGAGTTTAGATATTATCTTGTGTCTCTTCTTTTGCTTAGTTTTAAATTTATAAATTGTGAATACATATGTGGGTATGTAACATGTGCATCCATTTTAACTTATGATAATAAAGCAAATAACTATCCATAAGCATCTAGAACATTCCTTTGAAACCCTTCACATGTGCTTCCTGGTCATATTTCCTTCCTACCTCCCACTCCCTCACCCCAGGGGTAACTGCTTTTTCAAATATTGTTAACTATTTCCTTCCTTTTCTTTCAAGCTTTACCAGAAATGTGCATCCACAAATAATTTGTTTTTGTTCCAGTTCAACAGGCTGTTGAATGGGAAAATTTGACTAACCCTTCAAGATATATTATATAACAGTTACTAAAATAAGTTGCAAGAAAGACCCCAGTGGAATTTTTCAAATGAAATATCCAAACACCAGGCTCAAGCTCTTGAAAATCCTCCTCACTCTGAAGATACAGTAAAACACTGGTACTGGATGTGTGAGGGGATTTATTTGAAGAAGCCTCTGCTGTGCGCCCGTCACTGTCCTTTCATCCTGGAGGAAGGGTTGTGGGGGTGCTGCCCCCACCCCAAGCCTAGAGAGAGCAGCTGCTTTGAGGCTGCCTGGACAGCAGACTCTGTGTCCCTTGGGACTTGGAGTGTGGCAGGCTGTCATGTGACTCGGGTGAGACACTTTGGTGGCAGAGTGAAGGGGAGCAGCTGGGATAGGGCCTCCCCGCTGCCAAGCGTGTTGGAGAGATTTGTGTGTGCTTCCTGTGGACCAGATGTGGCCCAGGTGGGATGGAGAGCCAGGCTGGAACAATTTGGCCTCTGCCCAGGAGGCACAGGCAGCGGAGAGCTTGTGGAGTGAATTTTAGGGGCTGCAGGGGTAGGGTTGGGGGCAGTACAAACAGAAGACTTAAATGCATCATCCACATCACAGGGATTTTGGTTAAAGGGGCCCAGCAGGGAGCCCCTGGAAAACCTACAAAAGTACCCATAAGAAAGAGAGAACATTGGTTTGAGTATCTGCTGGTCTACAGGATGTGAAGCCATTTGCACTAGTGAGGATTAAGTTTCCCTGCATATAAATGAAAGAACAACGGTAACACAAAATAGGAGTTTACTTCTTTCTTACATAGAATAAGTCAAGAAGTAGGCAATTTGGGAATGGGGTGGTGGTTCCACACAGTTATTAGGAACAAGTCTTCTACTTCACTGCTCCCACATCCTAGGAATAGATTCCTCGTGCTCATGGCGCAAGAGAGCTGCTAAAGCTCCAGCCATCACATCACGTTCCAGGCATAGAAGGAAAGGAAGGGCAGAGGAACGGTCTGCCCCCTCCTATTTAAGGAGACTTTTGGGATGCCCCACCTAACATTTTTGCTTATTAGCCAGGGTTCACTTGTGTGGTCATGCCTAGCTCTAAGAGAAGCCAGGAAATATAAACTTATTGCTGTGATTCTTTTTGTGAAGAGGAAGGGGATATAGTGAGGCAGCCAGCATTTTCATGGCAGTGGCAGTCATGTGGTCTTTCTTCATCATGTGTTTCAAACCCAGAGAGAAGAGTAACAGCAGCTAAAAGGTGGGTAGAAAAGAGAGAAGAAGCCTACAGGCTACCTGTACAGATCCTAGCTGGGGATGCAGCAGGAAGTCTTACTGTTTGTTTGATCTTCTTTAGAGTCAATGTCATACATTGACTTGAACGTTCTATTTTCTGAATCACAATTATTTTTTGTGACTTAAAAGTAACTTTAGGACTTTCTGTTACCTACAAGTGGCCAGAAAATTACAGGGCCTACTAGATTTTTCCTTGAGTAGCACGATAGAAGCATACCCCCTAAATATCATATATATTTCAACTTGATAAGGTCTTTATTGTACATAACCACCATGCTGTTTTCATACCTAAAAATTATCATTCTTTAAAAATTACTGAATACCCAGACCATGTTTAAATTGTCCTTATCTCAAAAAGTATCTCTTTTTGTTTGATTAATGTTGTATAGGAGGGCCTCACATTGCATTTGATTGTTTAGTCTCTGAAGTCTCTTGTAATTGAAAGTCCTCTTCCTCATATTGTCATTTACTTGTTTTGTGTCTTCTATATTTTCTATCAACGTTACTTATATCTAGAGGTTTAATTAAATGGAGGTTCATTTTTTTCAGACAAAAATAATTCATAGTTTATATGAATAATTATTTTTGCTCCTATCGCTGCACAGTGTCTTATGGTTCTGCTTTTAGTGATGCTTGGCCAGCCCTTAACTTTAAAACTTCCTTATGTTTTTATTTTGTGTATTTGTGTCTTAAAATTTTTTTATCATGGTAAAATATACATAGTATAAAATTCATTATTTTTACCATTTTTAGGTGAACATTTCAGTGGCATTAAGTGCATTCATGTTGTTATGTAACCATCACGAATGTTCATCTCCTGAACTTTTTTCATGTCTCCAAACTGAAACTCATACCTATTTAACTATAATTCCTCATTCCTTCATCCTCCAGCCCCTGACAACCACCATTCTACCTTCTGTCTGTATAAATTTGACCAATTTAAGAACTTCATATACATGGAATCATATAGTGATTTGTCCTTTTGTGAATGGTTTATTTCACTTACTGTAATGTCTTCAAGGTTCATCCATGTTGTAGCATGCGTCAGAATTTTCTTTCTTTTTAAAGCAGAATAATATTCCACTCTATGTCTTGCTTTCTTATTTCCCCATTAGGAAAAATATGTTTTTCTTTATGGAGATGAGATCCTGCTCTGTCACTCAGGAGTACAGTAGTGTGATCATAGCTCACTGCAGCCTCGAATTCTTGGGCTCAAGTGATCCTCTTGCTTCAGCCTCTCGAGTAGCTGAGAATTACAGGTGCAAACCATGGCGCCTGGCTACTTCATTTTTTATTGTTGCAAAATACACATAACAAAATTTATCATCTTAACCATTTTTAAGTGTACAGTTCATTGGTAATAAATACATTCATGTTATGCAACTATCACCACTGCCCATCTCCAGAACTCTTTTAATATTGTCAAACTGAAACTCTGTATCCATTAAACAATTAACTGTGTGTTTATCCATCTCCTAGCCCCTGGCATTCTACTTTCTGTCTTTATGATTTTGACCACTCTAAGTACCTCATATAAGTAGAATCATAATATTTTGTGTATCCTTTTATTTTGAAGTGAAAATAGCATTTAGCTAGATTTAGAACTATCTATGTGATGATCTCAGTCTTTAAGTTAGAGCCTTAGTACATTTACATTTATTGTGATTACTGCTACTTATGTGCCTTATTTATTCTACTTCTTTTATGTTTCATTTTCTCTCCTTCTTTTCCTTCCTTTGAATTGAGTGCTTTTTTTTTCTTTTTCCAATTTTTTTCTTCTACTGGTTTGGAAGTTACACATTCTATTGTTTTTCCAGTTGTTCTCTTAGAAATTTTTCCGTATGTGTGTAACTTAACAAAGTCTACAATTAACCACTAATCAATATATTTATGTTTCTTTTTCCTAAAAGAAAGTATTAGAAAACTGTGATCCCCACCTGTTTAGTATTTTTGCCTTATCTATCTTGTAAATTGACAAATTAGATATTATTGCTATTGTACTAAATGGTGAGCATTCATTTGGGTTTAACCCCATTTATGTATTTTTTTTTCCCAGTCACAGTTTCTTCTTGCCTCCTAGACTCTTTCTGGGAGATATATACTTCCCGAAATACATTATTTAGAAGTTCTTTTAGTAAGGGCCTGTTGGAAGTAAACTCTCCTAGTTTTATTTATCTGACAGTAACTTCATTTTATTCTAAGCTTTCAAAGATAGTTTCATTAGGTGTAAAATTCTAGGTTGGAAGTTATTAACTTTCAGTACTTAAAATATAGTATTTAACTGGCTTTTGAGAAGTCAGTTTTAAATTGAATTGATATTTATAGAAACATGCCTTTTTTATCTGGCTGCTTTAAATATCTTTGTTTTTCCTATCTCTACTCTCTCCTTTCTGCTTTTATTTTTAATGTGGTGAGTGAGGATTTTTTTTTTATCCTGTTCAGAGTTTTGTGAGATTCCTGAACTCAAGGATAATTGTCTTTCATCAATCTTGGAAAATTCTCAGCCATTATTTCTTTGAAAATAACCTCTTTCCCCAATGTTTCTGGTGTTTCCTTCTGGAACTCTAGTGAGATGTGCTGTAGAGTTCCTCTCTGTTCCTTAAATCTAGTTCATATTTCTATCTTTTTTCTCCCTCTGTGCTGTTCGCTGGGTAATTTTTTCAGCTCTATTTTCTGTTTTACAAATTCTCTTTTTAACCATGTCCAATACAACATGTAGACCATCTATTCGGTTTCTAATGTCAACGTACAGACATACTGTGCGTAAGAACTGTTCAGTTAATGGCTTTTTGAAAAGTAATGCCACTCTTTGGATGATTCCTGGTTTTATTTTTTTTTTTTTTGGTTTTGGGACCTAATGACTTTCTCAGTCCCAAGCACATGAGATAAAACCCTATAGGAAGTGATATTTAGACATTAGAAATTCAGGAAAAGACATAGTCAGCAGTGTGTGAGAGACTATCCTATAGAAACTTTTTCTGTAAAGGGCTGGATAATAAATAAATATTTTAGGCTATTGTGGGCCATTCAGTGTAAGTTACAACTACTCAAGTCTGTCGTCATAGGAAAAAAGCAGCCATAGACTACAAGTAAATGAATGATATTCTAATAAAACTTTATTTATAAAAACAAGCGGGCTATAGTTTTCTGACCCCTGCTAAGGAAATTTGAATTCTGCTTTGTGTTGGGATGAATTAAAACATTTGCTGTGCACACATTGCAAACAAAAGACAAGAAGAGATGGCTGTTGTACATCTCTTTAGTTTGTTGTGATCGCACTATTTCCGTAAGTTTTGAAGCATTTTTTTGCCTTAAATGTGTTTTCCTGTGTTGCAATATTATTTTTACATGCAGATTGAATGTGAAATACCCATAAACTTACCAAATGTTGAAAATTGATAAAACACATTGATAAAATTGATTGTATAAAAAGAAGAAAAAAGCCTTTATGTACTTTGTATTTTTTCTATGCTATATATTTGTTCACTTTTGAATTGTTTTTAGGATTTGAATTTGTTTTTAATGTTCAATTGACATATTATTCTACCTGTCAAGGTTGTCTGGATGTCTTCCATGGAGATAGAATGTATTATAATTTTTCTCCATTGAAGTTATTGGAACTATTTTTATATTTAACAATTTTTCATGTAAAGTTGTTAAATAAGGGTCAGATCTTCTGTCTTTCAATACATAAAATTTTATTTTTTTAAGTCTATCTGATAGTTCTTCATAGTCTCTTTGTCTTTTGCCATACACTTAAAGATAAAACATTTTTATAGTTTTTCTTTGATAGTTCCAATATCTGCAATTTTTGTGCATGTAATTTTGCAGCATGGTTTTTTTTCTGTTACTTGCTCATGACAGCTTTCCCTCCTGAGAATTTTGTGGTATTTTGATTTGAGCTTATGGTCATTGGAATGTTATCTGTGGGAATGTTAATGTGAGAATTTTTTGAGGCCTATATTTAAAGTGTATTTGTTCAGAGAGGACTTATATTTATTTCTTGGAGGCATCTGGGAGTACTGTCATTCCAAGGTGTTTCAAAATGAAATCTTTGATATGGAAATTTTGGGGCCCCAGAGTGCCAATTTCAGCCTATACCTGTGTGAAGGAGGCCTTATATATATTAGGCATTCTCAGGGCACCTCTTTTTCATTTTTCACCCAGAGCCAATGCTGAGATGGGCAAGCATCTCCACTTGCTTTCTTGAATCATATTTTTCTAATTTACCTCCTAAGGCTGCTGCATTTTGGGGGTTCTCAGTTCTGTGCATGGGATCTCTTCTGGCACTCTGGCCCCAGCATATGCCCTAGACATTGCCCCTTGTCCCTTCTAAGTGGCTCACTACCATTGATTTCCTGGATAGCAAGATCAAACCTGATCTTTCTTATCTGTTTGGATCCATGCTTTCCTGTTATTTCAGGGCTCTGACAGTTTTCCTTATTTACCCATCATCTCAACCGTGCATTCAGATATACATTTATAATGTATATGTATATTTATAATATACATACACACATATATACATATACACATATATGTATATATTATGTGCGTGTTTTGACATTCAGTAACTTTATGTATTTTGTACAGGTTTTCTTCAGCTATCCGGTCTGCCATATTACTGGCAATGGAAGTCTGTGTTTTCTTCTTCCTCAGATTTTTCTGTGACCTCTCAGACATTCAGCCAAGAGTCAACACTAATAGAAGAAGAGAAGAGTACTTCAGAATTCTTCTCTTTCTTGTGTTAAAAGAAAAACTTCAGACAAGTTAAATTTAGTGGAGTTTATTTGTGCAAAGAATAATTCATGAACCAGGCAGCACCTTGAAGTAGTAGAGGTTCAGAGAGCTCAGCCCAGCAATGTGCGCAGGCAATATATATGGACAGAGAAAGGAAGTATAGGCACAGCTTGATTAGTCATGGCTGGGCATTTGTCTTATTTGGGTGCAATATCATGAGGCATTTACCTTATGATCTGATTCATTGGCAGCCTGTGATTGGCTGAAGCTTGGCTGCTGTGATTGGCTGAGACTCAGCTTTTTGTTACAAGAATATTCTCTTAAGTTATGTGGCAGTTTGCTGTGTAAGGATTCAAAGTATTGAAGCAGATTTAGGCCAACTTCATCCAGTTTAACACTTGGTACAAGGTGTAGATTTCAGGTTGTGTACAGGAGGCTGATACTTTGAAATTTTTTATCTCTGATTCACATACCTTGATTCTGAGATGGAAGTGATATGGGGAGTGGCCATTCAGGTTCTGTTATAATTCCCAGAGCCTGGCACTAGCCTGGTCCCTCTCCATCCCTTGATTGAGGAGCCTCAGCGTTCATTGTTGGGGGGTGAACAGATAGCCCTGGCTCCCTGGTGTGCCATGAAGCAGCTGGGTACACTTCTTAGAGTGCATTCTGGCCTCCTCTATGGTTTGGGCTTGCACTCCTGGGCTTGGTCATGAATTCTAAGCTGGAGATAAGCTGTTCCTTCCTTTTCAGTATTCAGGGATGGCAGCAGAGGTTCCCTTCTGGCTACTTTCATGTACAATACGGAAAAAAAAAGGGCCTTAATGACAACAAATAAAACTCATATGAGCAGAAGCAAAATGTAGAATTCTCACCTTAGCTAGTCTGCCTTGGGAAAGGTCAGTGCACATGTAGACGTCTTTCAGGCAAAGAGAAAAGCATGCATAATTTAGCACGGGCATTCTTTTAGCAGCAGAAGGACATAGACCACTCGGCACACAGAGTGCATTGTGCATTGCCTTTGTTACCCTCTGATTAAAATTCTGTCTTAGCAGTTGTGGAGGAGGTGAGCGATAATCCATATTGGCGTAAAACTTCATATGTCACACAGCTGCTGGCTCCTAACTCAGAAAGTTTGAGACAATGGTGTTGATTTGGTAGTTATCCTGCATAGGGAATTGATTTATTCTTACTAATAGAAAATATAGGTTTTTGAAGTAGGCAATAATGGAATCTCTTTTATGCTTAAATAGAATTCCACATTAATAATTGGTGGAGTGTGGGCCTTGGCTGTGATCTTGCAATGTGAACATACCACAAGGAGCAAGTTCCAAATTGACAAGAGTGCTTTATAAAATGTGAACTTGGAATATAGGGATGGGATTTTATTCTTATTTAACTCATATTTCTGAGATACCTTCCATATAAAGCACTGCTATGTAAAACAAAAGAAACAGAAAACAATATTTTGTTACATTGATACTGATTGTTCTTTTCACTTCTGTCCAGAAGTTCTACTCTTTATCAAATTATTTATTAATCCTCAGAAATCCTCTTTCAGCACTGTACCATTTCTAATATAACAGGGTAAAGGGATGAGTTAGTAGTATAATCCTTTGAAATTATAAGTACTCCATTTTTCACCATTTATATTTTATTCCCTTTGTATTGCAAAATAAATTTGAGACATTGACATGTTCTACTTTTAAAAAGAACAAATCAAGAACAACATATCCATTATCATCAAAGTTACAAAATAGATAAATTAGAAAATTATTTGCATTCTAAAAAACCACAACAACAATTAAACTGCCCTTTGTAGGATGCAGCAATGCAAAGTAATACAGAGGGTGATTCATATGGCAAGGGAATGGATTTTGAAATGACGTAATTTATAAAGATCCATATATGTAACTTTTCTGCAACTTGATCTATTGCCTAAAGTGTCTGTGGATACTTCTCACTTCTCTGTATGTTGTTTTAACTCATAAACCTTGATGCTGTTTTCCTGTTTATTTTTTTAACACATACTCATCGAGCCACTACCATGTGCCAGGTGCTGTGCTGGTGATATGGGGTGAAAGTCCCATGAAGACACATATATGGCTGCTTTTTATTCTATTTTCAGGATCAGGGAAGACAATATCAAGTGAAAGGTCAACTATCGGTGAGTCAGAATTTCATGTTCTTGTTTTCAAGAGATGGTCCTTGAACACAGCGACTGATCCTGGTGCATATTTTATGGCAGCTGATAAATAAAGTTAACCACAGTAGACATTGATTGATTTTAATTGGATGTATTTTATTGTAGAAATACTGTTAAGAAGCTCTTTAACTTCTGCATGTCAGGAAATTAAAAATAGTGTTTTTGAGGACAGATTTTTCTTGTTAGTTAATGTTCATCAAAGACAGCAGGAGAAACACAACCGTTATGCTAGTTTATTTGATAACGTGCCGTTTTAAGCACACTAATTTCTAGAAAAAAGGGAGAACTGATTACAGCCAGATTGATTCACATTGCAACTTTAGCTTACGTTACCTAATTCTCTTAACTTGGAGGATTTAGAATTGATTGTAAGAAAGCATTTGGCCAATGACACATTTTTAGAAATGGTCTTGTTTTCTGCGTGCTATCAACTCATTATGCAGATCAAAGCTCTAATGCCATACATAATTGAAATGCCAAAGATAGAGTTGCAGCACGGCCTGACAGCTTGGTTATTATTTGACTCAATATTTTAATTTATGTTCTAAATTATTAACCATGGCAACAGTTTAAAAGAGTTCTCAATATACAATTATAGAGGATGCTGGCAAGTAAGTATCTGCTGTTTCTTGATCAAGAATTAGAGCCTGAGATGGAATTATTTTCTATTGTGGTAAAATATACATAGTGCAACTATTTTAAAGTGTACAGTTTGGTGGCATTAAGTACCTTCAAGTGGTTGTGCAACCATCTTCTATCCACAGATCTCTTTCAGGAGCTTATTTTTATTGCGGTTGTTTGGAGGTGTTGTGTTCAAGATGGAGATGCATTAGGGGAAAGTGGCATCAGTTTCTCAGGTGTTAGTTTGTAAGATGATGTGTCAGTAAACAGCCATATTTATTTATTTATTTGAGATGGAGTCTCGCTCTCGTCCAGGCTAGAATGCAGTGGTGTAATCTCGGCTCACTGCACCCTCCACCTCCCGGGTTCCAGGGAGTCTCGTGCCTTAGCCTCCCAAGAAGCTGGGATTACAGGCATGGGCCACCACGCCTGCCTAATTTTTGTATTTTTGGTAGAGACACAGTTTTATTATGTTGGCCAGGCTGGCCTCGAACTCCTGACCTTAGGTGATCCGCCTGCCTCAGTCTGCCAAAGTGCTGGGATTACAGGCATGAGCCACTGCGGCTGGCCAAGGAGCTTATTTTTATTGCTGGTTGTTTGGAGGTGCTGTGTTTGAGTGAGCCTAATGGAGTTGCATTATGAAAAAGTGGCGTCACAAGTTTCTCAGGTTTTAGGTTGTAAGATGATATGTCAGGAAACAGCCATCTTTAGCAGCTGTTTAGGCTCATGATTCCTTTTCTTTCACAGAGCCTCACACCCCCTAATTCCAGTGGGGATCCCTGTCCTGGTTAATTCTCCATTCTCTGACGCTTCAAGGAGTTCCCCACCTCTCCTCCCAGGGTGTTTGCCAGCTGTCCTCGTGGCATGAAGAATGCAGGAGGACGCATTCTGTTCTGCCCAAGCTTGGGGCAGGGAGAGCTGGTTTCAGCTCTGGCCAGTGGCCATTGGAGTCTGGTTTGCAAGATGATTAGAGTGATGGAACACAAGAGAGCTATTTCAGTGTTACTGACAAATACCAGGGACTTATTAAAGGACATTCTACTCTAAGAACACAGTCAGAGGGATGATCAGGGGCCATTTCGCTCCTATCCAGGAGCCAGGCAACTCCGTCACTGGATGGACCTGGGAGGGGTGGCTGTCACCTGGGAGGTGGGCATCACCCCTGTAGCTCTGCACACAACGACAGACAGCAGGCAGCTGAGAATGATGGCCTAGTTATTCCTTCCGGTGGGTTCACCTTACATACTTTTTTGCTTATCCTTAAGTACATTTTTCTTTATTGGAAAAAGTCCATTCAGAATAGCAGGCCACTTAAACATCATAATTCCAACCTCAGCATGGACATAATACCAGTTTAACAATACAGAACATTTTTAGTCACCTAGCATAAGCAATTTCTTTATTAGCAGCTTGACTAGGAGTCCTGCAGTGTGCAAATTCTGTTAGTGGCCGCATTTTCAAATCCCACCGCAGCCAGCCAGGGAGCTACGTGTCCTATTCCCCGAGTGTTGTTCTATCTTGGTCTTCATGATCTCTTGGTTGGTTCTGAGCATTCTGATTTAGGAACGGGGACATTGAGTGTAAAGAAGGGAGTGTGATGGCTTTTAATGTGATTTTGACTTTGCATTTCTCAAGGAATGAGCTTTCTGCTTTTCTGTAACTCAGGCAGATGAGAGTCGTGATTATAGATTGGGGATCTTGAAACATTGCATGGGCGCTATCAGTAAGATTGTAAAGGTCTCTAGTCTGGTGGGCTCCACTGTCACCCTTTGTCTGAGATCGCTCCCTCTGAACATGGAATGGCAGGTGACATCAGCACCCTACTTCTGCTGGTGAGCTGATTTCTCTTGCTGAGAGCTGAAGGTGCTGGGGAAATGAAAAATGATGCTTTCTCACAAAAAGGTGACAGTTCCCCAGTAAAGGAGGATGGGAACTTCTTCATGGGACCCCGTTCAGCTCTTCCTTCTAACTGCTGTGGAGCCCAGGAATCCTCCAGGCTCAAGGTCATATGGGACCACCCTTCTCTGTGTGGTCAAAGCAGAGGATAAATGAGGGGGAAGGGCATTCTTGTGGCATTCGTAGCATGTTCTCCATGTCTTCTGTGGCAGATTATTTCTGGGCCAGGAAGTGCAGGAGAAAAACAATGTTAGATCAAAATGAAATGAATTAAAGCCTTTCAATTGGCCTTGGTGAGGTCCTAGGCTCTCTAAGTTAAAAGGAACCTGTATCTACTCTAACTAGCCCTCTGATCCTTGAAACCTCTCTACAGCATCCCAGGTTGTCCGGTCTGTGTTTGAATACTCCTGGGACAGCAAACTCACTACTTCACAAGGCAGACCATTCTGCATCTGTATGGCTCAATCTGGAAGTGTTTTACAGCTTCCACCCATTGGTCTTAAATTCTACCCTTAGAGGAATGAGGAACCATGCATAGGAATGGTTGCTAGTTTGCATGTGAGCACTGTCTGCAAATATACACGCAATCACTTAACAAGTAAGCAAGCAAACAAACAAATGAATAAGCAAGTATTAGAGTGAGCTGAGAGTCCTTCTTAACTCCATTATTTAATTCCTTTGGTTTAATGTGCTCAGAGACTTCTGAGTGTATGTATTAATTTTCAAAAGACATGACTTTCTTTCCTTACAACAATGGTGCATTTCAGTCTTCACTTAGTTGTATCTAGTAGGTCACATTTAACTGGTTTATATTGTTAAGGACTTATCCACGGAATATTTTGTGAGAAGAAATAATAGGAAATTTGTGATAATTTCCTTGGGGAAATATATCAGCTTAAAAAACAGTAGGAACCTTTGAAAATTTTCCCTTAGTAAACTTGTTTAGTAACATATTTGTAACCCATAGCTCCTTAGAAATCAGACTGCCTGCTTGAAGGACAATTTTATTTTAATTTCACCTTCTCAAAGGTCTTATGCCAAAGGTGGGTGAGTTACGCCTTTTGGGGGTTGAGGAAAAGGTTACCATTTTTTTCCACAGTGCAGTCATACACACCTAAAAATGTTCGAGAATTTTTGGTAGAAATTCTAAGAAAGTATTAAAACTCGAGAAATGAATTAACAAGCCACCTTTTTATGCAGAGGCAGCGTGCCTCTGCATTGAATGAATAGTACTTTATTCCTACAACTGCATAAATCGTGGGCTGAAATGTGGAATGAACATGTGGCCTGGAAATCAATGAGAGTGTGTGTGCGTGTGTACTCAGATTAGAACAAGTCTGTGCAAATAGGATTATAAGTCTGACCTAAACTCACAGAACCCTGAAATAGAAGAGTTTAAAATGAAATTCTATCTTCAGCTCACACCAGTGAGTTGAAGCATTTCTTTGAGCTTCTCAAACAGATCCTTCTTACTGTATGTAGCATTAATAATTTCTATTGCACAAAGAATGCTTGATATTTTAGCCTGCATTCTTATTCACTTTTTATTTTTAGAGCTGACCTGTAGATGTGTTAATTTTTTCCATAAAAATTGTTAAACCGTGGCTGTGGAAAAATGAGCCTACTTCTTTTGAATCATGTAGAAATTATCATAGTGTTTCCTTTGTGTGAGTCACAGTTAGATTTTACATAGAAGAATTTTCTTAATCCTCATAACAACCCTACGAGATTTTACAGATGAGGAAACGGAGGCACCGAATGTCTAAATGACTTGCCCAGGTCATGCTGCTGGTAAGTGCTGGAGCCCAGATTTAAGCCCTGGCAGCCTGGTCCCTGAGTGTGGGTTCTTAATCATTACATGACACAGCCTCTCAGAGCATCGCGCGTAGAACTCCAGTCGCACTTGGAATGACATCTTGCTGCTCTATTAAGATAAGGCTAGTCTCTTAAAGAGACTCAGCAATAATTTTAGTTGTTTAAGGAAATATATGTTTATTTCCCTCTCATGTGGTCTGAGGGGAGCATTCCAGGTGAGCAGGCCTAGGAGGCCTCAGGGCAGAGGCAGGACTTTTGCTAACTTTCCACTGGAGACAACTGAGGCCCACCTTGGTCCCAGGGTTATACCTACGTGTCAGGAAGGATGGGAAATGTCACCCAGCCATGGTGTTAGGGAAAAAGGGAGGACACATTTTGATGGGCAACCATCAACCATGACCAAAAAGGAGAATATCACCGTCTTGATAGAAACAATTTGTGGCCAATTGCAGTGGCTCACACCTATAATCCCTTGGGAGGTTGAGGCGGTTGGATCGCTTCAGCCCAGGAGTTCGAGACCAGCCTGGGCAACATGTTGAAACCCCATCTCTACACAAAATACAAAAATTTAGCCAGCTGTGATGACACGCGCCTGTAGTCTCAGCTGCTTGGGAAGCTGAGTTGGAAGGATGACTTGAGCCTGGGAGGTGGAGGTTGCAGTGAAAGCCGTGATCATACCACTGCACTCCAGCCTGAGTGATAGAGCCAGACCCTGTCTAAAACCAAACCAAACCAAACCAAACCAAACCAAACCAAATCAAACAAAACAAAACACAATTTTGTAATTACTAGGTGCAGCCTGTCAACTAAAGAAAATAGTTAAAGGGAGAAGTCACTCCTAATTCCACTGGACATTTTTTTTCTCCTTCATGCTGCTCATCATCCACTCCTTTCCATAAGCCCTCTGATTTCCTTTTGGGGAATCACATCTCTTCCCGATAAGGAAAGTCTGGTGTGATTGAAAAGCAGGTCGGGTGCCTTCCCTCAGCCCCAGGAATGGATGTGTGACCCAGGCTGGACCAATAGCAAGCTTCTTCCCAGGGATTTGAATTTTGAGGGGAATAAAAGTGCTGGAGTTTATTCATTCCTGGAAGTGGCACCTTGACTAGTAACTCTGTATGAGGATGTTCCTAAGGTTGCTGTCTAGAAGCTTCTAGAACTGCCTTAGTTCTCACTGACTCACAGGTGTGGCTCCTCAGCTTTCAGTCCTCTGAGCTCTCAGTGTCCTAATAAAACCCCTTTTGTTGAAGTTAGTCAGAATCCGTTCCTGTTGTTTGCCACTAATGATTTTTAACGGATATACTTGCTATCCAGAGGAAATTTCTGCCAAAGTTTGATGTTTTCCTTCCATTGTCTTCTAGTATATTTTTTTCATAGTCAGTATTATATTGTTCATATGACTTTATACTCATTCTAAAAATATTTGTACATGGTGACTATAGTTAATAATAGTGTATTGTATCTTTTTTAATTGCTGAGAGAGTAGATCTTAAATGTTCTCACCACCAAAAATGATAAGCATGTGAGGTGATGATATGTTAATTAGCTTGACTTAACCATTTTACAATATATTCATGTATCAAAACATCATGTTGTACTCTGTAAATGTGTACAATTTTTGTCAGCTATACAAAGGAAAAGAAACAAAAAGTAAACATGAAAACAAAAACATAAAAATGAATATTTTTTCATTTCACAACAGTAGTTGTATAATATTAGATTGTATGAATGTTCTGTATTTATCAAGGTAGTTAACAATTTTTTGTGTCATAAACATGTTTTTTTAATTACGTATCATTTTAGAACCATAGGGCTATTTCATTTATCAAAGGCTCTATATATTATTGTTTTAAAATTTAATGTTAACTTATCTTAAAGTCTGTAACTATTTACAATAACTTTTTTATCCAAATACATGGAGCTTATATTATTTCCAATATACAGGCGATGCAGGCAGAATTATCAGTATTTTGTTAGGAAATTCAAGGCCGCATGACTTTCCCTAGGTAATATGGCCACAGAGACTTTGCAAAAAAATTTAAGCCTTCAGAACACAGAGGATTTTAAGTGAAACTACTCTGAATGATACTATAATTGTGGCTCCATGTCATTGTACATTTGTCCAGACCCATAGAATGTACAATACCGAGAGTGAAGCCTGAATTATGGACTTTGGGTGATAATGATGTGTCCATGTAAGTTCAAGTGTAACAAATGCACCACTCTGCTAGGGTATGTGAGTAATGGGGGAGGCTGTGTATGTGTTGGGGGTAGAGGGTATATGGGAAATCTGTGTATCTTCCTTTCAATTTTGCTGTGAACCTAAAACTGCTCTAAAAAAGTGAAGTCTTTGGCCAGGCTTTACAGGCTTTGGTGGCCCACTCCTGTAATCCCAGCACTTTGGGAGGCTGAGTCATGTGGATCACGAGGTCAGGAGTTCGAAACCAGCCTGGCCAACATGATGAAAGCCCGTCTTTACTAAAAATACAAAAACTAGCTGGGCATGGTGGTGGCCTTCTGTAATCCCAGCTATTAGGGAGGCTGAGGCAGGAGAATCGCTTGAAACCGGAAGGCAGAGGTTTCAGTGAGCCGAGATCACGCCACTGCACTCCAGACTGGGCAAAAAGAGTGAAACTCCATCTCAAAAAAAAAAAAAAAAGAAAAAAGAAAAAAGAAAAAAGGTGAAGTCTTTAATGAAATTCAGGTATTTTTATGCATTGGGTTCCATCTTATTTACCAAGCTACTTTCCAGAGCCACACTGGGTGCCCCCTTGCCTTGGGCAGCCAGGACGCAGATTCTTATAGCTATGCCTTCCAAAACTCAGCCATCTCTTTAGAATGGAGGGTGGGCTGCACTAGCAAAGCGCTCGCCAAGGCTTAGTGCCTTGGACTTCCGCACCTGCCTGAAAATGGACAGTTATCCATAGTGTCAGAGGGAGACTCGGTGCTTACTTCTGATCTTCTGTAGTTTTTTTGGGTAAGGATGAACCCTGCATCAGGTTAAACAGCAATAGTTAGAGATGAGTAGATGGAGGCATGGGCAGGAGCAAGGTTGGAGCTCATGAGTCAGACAGCCACAATGAAGCCAGGGAGGAGAGATCAGGGGCAGCAGGGCTCTCAGAGATGCTGAGGGCGCAGCTCTCTGCTTACGTGGGATGGTGGATAGTCATCCATCACCAGCCAAAGAAGAGAATGCGGGGCCACCAAGCACATGTGGCACTCTGTGTTTCCCACTCCACTCTCCCTGAAAGGTCATGACACATGGCAACAACACGCAGAGGATGCACTGTGTCTGTGCATGAAACCCACAAGGCTGTGGGACTCAAGTATCTGAGCAGAACAGATTTCTATTTGCAACTTGTATTGACTTCATTGCACCTTCGTTGTATCTTGTGAATCCTTATGTATTAGCTGAGGGTGCAACAGCAGGCAGAATAATGGTCTCCCAAAGGCGGCCATGTCCTAATCCTTGTCATTGTAATCTGTTATTATATGCAGCAAAAGGGAGTTTGATGTGATGAAGGGAGGGATCTTGAGATGGAGAAATTATCCTGGGTTATCTGGGTGGGTTCAGTATCACAGACTTCTTGAAAGAATCAGAGAAAGAGAGGTGGTGATGAAGGCAGAGAACCAAAGTGATGCCGTGTGAGAAAAACTCAGCCAGCCATTGCTGGCTTTGGAGATGGATTCAGGAGCCACCAACCACAGCCTCTGGAAAAGGCATGGAAATGGATTTTCTGGACACTGGAAAAAGCAAAGAAATAGATTCTCCTAGAGCCTCCAGAGGGAATGCAGCTCTCCTGAGCCCTAGATTTTAGCCCAGTGAGATGCATTTTGGACTTCTGACCTCCAGCATTTTAAGATGATACACTTGGGTGGTTTTAGGCTGCCAGGTTTGAGGTAGTTTGTAGTCGCAGCCCTGGGAAACTGATACAAATGTGCTGCTGGGCAGCGGTGGTCTTGCTTTCCTGGACAACTCGTGCTCAGCTTATTGGATATTGGAAAATCAGCATGGAGATTTTATACAAAATCTCTACTTTAGGGAGGATTTAGGCACAAATCTGAGAGCCAGAAAATCCTAGGGTTTTCGAAATGAGAGATTTGAGGCCTCCCCTCCTTGAAATAAATGGTAATATGTTACTACTTCTATTGATTGAAAAAAGTTTCCTAATCTTTAAAAATAGACCCTTTGGTTAAGCAGGGAACTATAGGTCAGAGCTCTGTTTTCAAGCAAACTGTTTATATTTTCATTTGAATTTGGGACCAGGACTGTCTACAGATTGTAATATAGCCACTTGCATTTTCCAGAGTGTTTTTAGCATTTTCTCATGTACGGTACCATCAAATGGTGCAATGTATCACTAGACTTCATTATAAGCTTTTCAAAGGAGGCACTTTTTCCAAAAAGTACATCCTAGTGTGGGAGGAACTAGCCATGACCTCTGTGTCCTTGTACCAGAAAGCAAACCTGTTGCTGTGCCTTCCTCTTCATGCCTTCATCTTATGTCTCTGTCCCAGCAACTTCCGTTCCTTAGTGGATCATTTTATAAATTCCATTCCCTTTTTCTTCTTTTGATATCCTGACAACTAACAAAGTCAACTAGTCATGTGGTTTGTGGCAAACACTGATTTATTCTTTTTTCAGAATGGTACCTTGCATTTGAATAACGTGAAAGTGATGTGACATTTTACATGATGTAAGTGTAATTACACTTTCTAAGAATCCGCACCTCAAGATGTTTTGGGTTTCTATTACGGCCCACTTGTCTTTCGTTAGCACGTTAACAATATTAAACACACACATATGATATTGTTTTCATTTATTTGGGTGTATACCCCAAATATAAGTTCCTTCAAATATAAGGGCTTGAAAATAAGGGAAATAAGACTGATCTTAAATTTTAGTATCAATCCGTTGGGTCTTTGGGCCAGAGCCCAAAATAAGGTGAAGATTTCCCAGGACAGAGGCTTGAGGGTAATCTGAGAAAATAAATTAGCATATACAAATAGAGGAGGCTTGCTCTAAAAAGTGGAGATGATTGAAAAGGGAGAATCTTGAGACTTTGGAATCACTTATCTAATCTTTGTCCCTAGAATAAAGATCGGTGGCAGGTAGTAGTGACAGCCAAGGAAATCCAAATAGCCTAGTTGCCCTGAAAACATTTGGGAAATCGTTGTACTTGCTTCTGTTTTGGTTTTCCCAACAACGTTCTGATATTTGCTGGGCTTTACCTGTTGCAGATCTTGCTACCTGGGGAGAATATACTGGTCCCCAACATGTTAATTCCTATTGCAAAAGAGGAGCTGGTGCTGTAGTCATACCCAGCACTTTGGGCTTGGTTAATGTGAGTCTCTCCGAGGGATGACCCTGCCCTCGGTGAGAGTGCAAGGCCAGTGCCCATCCATGACTCTGGTCAATGCGCCAGGGCTGTGAGGTCCCCTGCAGAGTGGCCAGCTGGATTGAATTTGGTGGACCACATGCTCCCATCTGTCCCCTTCTCCAGTAACCACCCATGACCCTAGGCTGGGGAGACCATGTGCAAATGGTGTTGACTTTTGTGGCCAGACCTGGATTTGCATCTTGGCTCTGAAACCTAATACCTATTTGAGTTGACTTTGCTGGGCCTCTGTTTTTGTATCTGGAAACTGAAGAGAACACCTACATTGTAGGGTACCTGGCAGAAAGTAAGCATCCAAGAAATTATAACTATTATTTTAATTTTAATTAGCTAAAGGCATCATAAAACATTGCAAAAAGCTAATCGATTAATTCATTTATTTAAATAAAAAATACTGATGGAGGCCCTTTATGTGCCATACACTATACTGTGTACATTTTAGGGGAGAGAGCAGTCAATGGGAGAGGCAGGGCGGTCTCAAGCGCCAATTTCTTTTGCTTCCTTCTTGGTTTTAATGTTCTTTTTCTCATCTAATTAGGAAAAAAAGATAGATAACTAAATGCTTATTTTAAACAAATTTGAAATGTAAGCAAAAGGTTTCTATTGAATTTAAACCAACATGAATTAATCAGTTTTAAATCACAGAAAAAAAAATTCAATATGAAATTTCTTTTTTTTGCTTGAGTCGAAGACTTACTAGGTATTGGGAGCTGACACAGTAAATGTTTTACTGTAGCAACATTTTAGATTTGAATCTTTACATTGGCTACACCTGGGAATTTGTTTTTTTAGCAATTAATTTTTCTTTTGAAATTAATATGAAAGGAATACATTTAATGATCCATAGAAGTATTGACTTTATGTAAAGGAACAGCTAAAGCCAATTAGCATGTTTTAATTTGCATATATCGTGCAGTTCATTAGGCATAAATGTGTTCTCAGCATAATGCGTGATATTTCTCAAGTATGTGATATGATGAGAAGACTTTGGCGGTCTTTTCAAATTTAACATTTTCCATGACAGACAGAATTCTGTGTTTGTCATGGAATGTGGTATTTTAGTGTGAAGTGGCCCAATTTAAATGCTTTTAGCTAGAAGCCATTTCTCCCTCCTCTGAACTCTCTTGAGCACCCCAGCTATGGCTCATGTGCTTGTCATGGTCCATCAGGCTTTATGATTATTCCTCCGAGTTTCTTATCTCCCCCTGATACATGAGAACCATGTGCGGACTAGGATCGTGTCTCATGTGTTGTTGTCTGTGCCTATGTGTTTTGGGTAAAATATTTTTGAAGTTGCAGATTTCAGAGTGCAAACAGTGATTTCTGTACTTTGTTGATTAGAATCCTTCTATACATGGTGGGTGGAGTAGGCAGAGGGCTTGAGGTCTTGGCTGGGGACTTGGGCTTGTTGCATGGGCCTGGAGATCAGTTTCACAGTCTCCGGGATGTTGTTCACAGCAGGTTTTGGAAATGGTGGTGACAGGACTAGGACTCAAGAGAAAAATCTGGCAGATATCTCCAATGTGGTTCTGGGGTATGAGCCTTGAACTGAGAACCCAATGGGGAACATTTCAAGGTGACTGAATTCCAGCAGAAAAGGAGAGGGCTGGCTATACTGTTTGGTCACTGATTCTTGGATCTCATGTTTATTGTCACCTAGTGTGGTCCGGGAAACAGTGCTTTAAAACCCAGTGTGTGTTTTCTTCTCTGTCCTGGCTGTGCAGCTCCTATAGGAGATGAGATCTGAGGTCTCAGGGCCTCTGCACAGGGCCGTCCTTACCACTTCAGCAGGCCCCCTTGGGGACAGGTATCTGGCTCAGATTCTTCATCAGGGGCTTCGTTGTGATGTTTTAAAACATGCAACCAAAACCCTCCTCTGGGATGCTGCTTGGCCAGGACATTCTTGGGCATGAGCCAGCAGCACCAGAGTCATCCAGAGAGCGATGGAGGAAAGCTTTTTCCCTTTTGGGCTCTGAGAACAAGCAAGTGGATGGGAGGTAGAGGGGAGGGAGGGTGGAGAGAGAGAATCAGCATGATGTCTTCCCATGCCACGCCTGGCACAGCCACACTCCTTAGCCCTGTCCGGGGAAGGGAGCCACTCCTCGAAACTACCTCCCAAGACATGTAATGCATACAGTTCTACCAGGAGAGGTTGATTCTCTTGGATTGAACAGTGTCTCTCCAGGTAGGATAAATGTGATATTTTAGTGTGAAGTGGCCCAATTTAAATGCTTTTAGCTAGAAGCCATTTCTCCCTCCTCTGAACTCTTTTGAGCACCCCAGCTATGGCTTATGTGCTTGTCATGGTCCATCAGGCTTTATGATTATTCCTCCGAGTTTCTTATCTCTCCCTGATACATGAGAACCATGTGTGGACTGGGATCGCGTCTTATTTATCTCTCTTATTATTAAGCACGCTGCCTCCCTACATCACTAGGGATTGACTTTGGCTGCCTGTAATGGAAAACCTAAAATGCTGGCATGAATTGCGGGGTTTCACTTCTCTTGTGCTAGGAGAAGGACAGGGGTAGTGGCTCCAGACTGGCACAGTGGCTCTTCCATGTCACCAGTGCCCTTTAGCTTTCTCCTCTGCCTTTCTCATCATTCTCAGGTTTGCAAAATGGCTCTTGTACCTCTGTGATTACATCCACCTTCCAGGAAGTCTAAAGGGCAAAAAGTGAGGTCAAAAGGGATGAGCCAGCCTAGTGTGCTCCTTCTATTATTAGAAAAATGATAGCTTTCTTGGAAGACCCTAACTAGTGAGCTTCAGCTTATGTCTCACTGGCCAGAAGTATGCCATGTGGCAATACTTAGCTGCAGGGGATCTAGGCGAGGGAGGTGTTTTTTCATTGTTGTTTTCTCATGAGGAAGAATGTATGGCTGCCTGGAGCAAAATTGGGGTGCTACTCATAAAGAAGAGAGGTGAATGTAGGCAGCTGGCATTGTCTGGCATCCTCCCACGTAGAAATGACTCAGACAGACACTTGCAGAATGAGTGGCTTTAACTGTGGACGTGAAGCTTTATACCAAGAGGGGAAGATCAAGGTCTAGAATCCCAGTAAGAAACAACACAGGGATTTTTTGCTGATTTGCTCCTACCATCATCACACAACTATTTTGGACATTTAGCTCCTGGCATCCATTGTCTTGTTGTTTTTTTCTGAAAACGATGGGAGATTCCTACATCAAGACCTTTGTGATGTTTAATGTACCCAGGTTCTGAGGCCTCCTGAGTTTTGGTTGGTCATAACAGAGACAGATTGAAGAATGTGTGCCTATTTCCAGACATACCCCTTAGATAATGACAAATATCGGCATAAGAAGATCCACTTGTCAACCTCGCATCACAGGGAGTACAGGGAGTCTGTGCCAGGCATGGGAAAGAATTCTAGCTTTTTCTCACTCACTTTCATCCTACCTTCCAAAAAAATGCATGCAATGTGGCAAGATAAAATATAAATCAGAAAGACAAATGAGTCCAAGAGAAAACAAGGATGGGAAGTGATAATTTGAGCCAGGGTTGAAGTATAAGTTACTGTTTTGTATAGTGTATGTGTATATTGTATATGTGTGGTATCAGGTCCTGTGTACTTCGTAGAAATAGGGTACAAATTTAGCTCTCAGGTTTTAGCAGTCAGCAGGTGGAGGGAAAGACTCTGTTACACAGTTCGCAGTGTCTACAAGACAGAGATAGATGGTTACTTAAGGGAAGCTTAACTCTTTACAACGGTGAGAGATCTTGCAGGGCGTATGTTAATAGCCATAATACGTCAGGACATCTTAGCATGATGGGGAATTTGGGTTACAGGAATCCAGATGAGAGAGGAAGTTCATTCCTGTGGTCTGAGAGGGCTTCACGGTCGTGGTGATCCTTGCAGAAGAGGCAAGGGTAGAGTGGATGCAAATAAGTCCTGTTTGGCCAGAGCAGAGCTTTGTGTGTGGGAGGCATGGGAGGCAATTTGGGTGGATTTAGAGATGGCTAAATGGCAAACAACTGCAAACTGGGTAATGTTTTGGGCCGGGGAAGTGACATGATCAAAGCAATGTTTTTAAAAAATGACTAAGTGTTCATGATGGGAAAGCATTGCATATAATAATTATCAGTTCATATGAAATAGAAACAGTACATTGATGGCAAGAAAAAAGAAAAGAGAATGTGTTTTAAAAACACAGATTCACTTGCTGCAACTGTGCGTTTTGTTGCTATAGCATAAGAACTGTGCAAATTCAATCTTTGGCTTCTAGTTTTTAAATAGGAAAATGGAGGAGAAATAGAAAGCCTGTGGCCAGGCTCGGTGGCTCACGCCTGTAAACTCAGCACTTTGGGAGGCTGAGGTGGGTGGATCACTTGAGTTCAGGAGTTCAAGACTAGCCTGGCCAACATGGTACAACCCCATCTCTACTAAAAATACAAAAATACAAAAATTAGAGGGGTGTGGCAGCAGGCACCTGTAATCCCAGCTACTTGGGAGGCTGAGGCAAGGAGAATCACTTGAACCTGGGAGGTAGAGGTTGCAGTGAGCTGAGATTGTGCCACTGCCTTCCAGCCTGGGTGACAGCATGAGACTCTGTCTCAAAAAGAAGGCCTGTTATGCTTTGGACCTTTTAGGTATCATAAAAAGGGACTCTGGGCCCCAAGGAGAAAGTCTGCAGAGGCCCCAGCCCATGATGCCCAGCCCTGCGATGGCTTGATGGCGGATGGTGGATGGGGCAGGGGTAGTTATAGGGCATCTTGGCCTGTGGATCCTTGGTGCCTGCCTCTGAGCAGTGCCTGAGGCTAGCCTAGACTAGGTTAGCAATGCCGCAGACTAGTCTAGACTAGGGTTGCAGTGCCTGAGGCTAGCCTGGACCAGGGTTACAGTGCCTGAGCCTAGCCAAGACTAGGGTTACAGTGCAAGAAACTAAAAATAGTCTCTAGTCTTGCAGAACATAACCTACAGAAAAAAGCTATGGGTTCACAGTCACTGGACAACCAAGCTGGGGTTGTTAAACTGAGTCCCATTCAGGAGCTCAGGGCAGTGGGTCCTGGGAACCGGAGACCCGAATAGGGCGTATTAGCTGTTTGATTCTATCTTAATGTCTAAACCACATAAAGGGGCAGCATGAGGGAATTTCTGGAGTGGTGGGACCATTCGTTATGGTTCTGTGGTGGTAGATACATGACTCATTGCATTTGTCAAAACCTGTATAGCTGAACATGTGGAGTCTCAAGGCTTGGTGGTGAATTCACTGCTTTGGAAGGTTACTTGTCTACCACCTTCCTAAGTAACCTTTTGGTGTGGCTATGTTATGTGTCTGTACTCCACAGAAGATATTTTCTGCAGTCATAAGAAGAAAGTAATAGTTCACAGCTACATAGGCTATGTCAGTGGTGACAAAGGAACTTGTTTGCACCTTGCCTCTGTCACACGAGGTTAATGATAATACATATGCCTTTTAACTGGTGTGGCTTCACTAAGATGGAGACTGCAGAGGCACTGAGCATTGTGCGTAGGACTCAGTAAAAGTTAATTCCATTCCTCCTCTCTGCCAAAAGCAACTATTTCTTAAAATGATAATTTTACAAGAAACTAACACCTGCATAGTGCTTATCACATGCATTATCTCATTTAGTTTTCACAGCAATCCTGTGAATTAAATATGAATTTTTGCCTCGTTTATCCCCACTAAGGCTTAGAAGTTTAAGTCCTTTGCCTAATGCCATGCAACAACTGAGTGGGGAGCTGTGGCTCTAGTGTAGGATTGCAGACCCTTAGTCATATATAATTATAACTCTATTTGGAGAACTTGCAGAAAAGGATGAGGTCAACTTTAATTCTCTATGCTATTTGTGTATTTGGAGGTTGAAGGAAGTATAAGAAATTGCAAAAGGGAAATATTAATTTTTTTTTTTTGAGAAAAAGTCTCACTCCGTCACCCAGGTTGGAGTGCGGTGGTACGATCTTGGCCCACTACAACTTCTGCCTCCCATGTTCCCGTGATTCTCATGCCTCAGTCTCCTGAGTAGCTGGGATTATAGGTGTGCACCACCTCATCTGGCTAATTTTTTTTTTTTTTTTTTTTTTTTTTTTTTGTAGAGAGGGTTTTACCATGTTGGCCAGGCTGGCCTTGAACTCCTGGCATCAAGTGATCTGTCTGCCTCAGCCTCCCAAAGTACTGGGATTACAGGCATGAGCCACTGTGCCCAGCTGGAAATATATTTTTTTTTTAAAAAGGGAAAAGTTTGTACTGTATTATCAAAGAAGAAATGGTTTTGGTTGAGATAAAAGATAAACCATGTATAGAACAAATATGTAATAAAAAGCCAAGATTGACAACACAGGAAGATCATATCTTCTATTAGGCAAGATAAAGTATATTTAGAAGTATACTCCCTACCACACAGGATATGCCGAGTGCACAGAGAGAGGTACAAAGGCGGTGCTCAGAGCATGGAGGGAGGGGAGTTGGCGTATGACTTTCCCCCTGTGTCTCCCCTAGAAGACAAAAGCTTTATTTTGGGACGGGAGCAAGATTACAAGCTAGATTCAGGACTGTGTTAGAGGAAAGGGCGGGATTATTGAAGGATTGGCAGGATCACTGAAAATGCCATTTCCTTGGTTTCTGGGGATAAACTGCCTGCCCAAGACTGAGGCTTAATCAGAATAAGAGAACAACCTCCGACCCTCATTCCCTACTACAAGGCTGACAAGCATGGATTGACAAGTAATATGCAGGAAAGAGACTTTCTCTGAGACATGGTGCACAGGAAAGACTGAAGTCTGAGAGTGCAGCAGTCACTGGAAAATAGACTTGGCAATCAGCCCTTGCCCTGAACACAGGGTATCACTAGAGGAATGTGAGGCTGGCAGGTCACTGAGAGTAACCACAGAGACAACAAACCTCCAAGTCAGCCCAACTCCTAGTTAGATCAACTCAAACCCTTACACTAGACACCTAGCAGAACTAGCAGAAGGAAAGATGTGCCCATTTCCAGGCATTAAAATGTATTTACCCCCATCTTTATTCTCCCACACTTTCAATATAAAAATTACTAGGCATGCAAAAAGGCAAGAAAAAGATAAAATCGTTCTATTATAGAGACACATGCACCTAAATGTTCATCACAGCCCTATTTACAACAGCAAAGACATGGAATCAACCCAGATGACCATCAACAGTAGACTGGATAAAGAAAATGTGGTACATACACACCATGAAATACTATGCAGCCATAAAAAGGAATGAGGTCATGTCCTTTGCAGCAACATTGGTGGAGGTGGAGGACATTATCCTAAGTAAACCAACACAGGAACAGAATAGCAAATCCCATATGTTCTCACTTATAAGTGGGAGCTAAATATTGAGTACTGATATGGTTTGGCTCTGTGTCCCCACCCAAATCTCATTTTGAATTGTGCTCCCATAATTCCCACGTGTTGTGGGAGGGACCTAGTGGGAAATAATTTGAATCATGGGGGCAGTTTCCCCCATACTGTTCTCGTGGTAGTGAATAAGTCTCACGAGATCTGATGGTTTTATCAGGGGTTTCCACTTTTGCATCTTCCTCATTTACTTTTGCTGCCACCATGTAAGAAGTACCTTTCACCTCCCACCATGATTCTGAGGCTTCCCCGGCCATGTGGAACTATAAGTCCAATTAAACCTCTTTTTCTTCCCAGTCTTAGGTATGTCTTTATCAGCAGCATAAAAACGGACTAATACAAGTACACAAGAATACAAAGAAAAGAACAGCAGACACTGGGGCCCACTTGAGGGTAGAGGATGGAAGGAGGATGTGGATCAAAAGCCTACTTATCAGGTATTACGCTTATTACCTGGGTATTGAAATAATCTGTATACTGAACCCCTGCAACATGCAATTTACCCATATAACAAACCTGCAGACGTACTCCTGAAACTAAAAGTTAGAAAACAGAAAAAAAAAAAAATATCCCAGGAGACAAAGCAGTCATCGGGACCAGACTCAGACATGTCACAGATGTTGGAACCACCTGATAGGGGGCTTAAAATAACTATGATTAATAAGCTAAAGGCTCTAATAGAAAAGGTAGGCAATGCACAAGAATGAATGAGTTAATAGAAATTACCCAAACTAAAACACAAAGAGAAAAAATTTTTAAAAAGGAAAAACAAGAATAAAACCAAACGCCTCAGAGCTCTGGGGTAAAATCAGTCTAACATATAGTTTATTGGAATTCCAGAAGGAGACTGGAGAGAGAGAATAGAGATGGGAAAATATTTAAAGAAATGGTGGCTGAGAAGTTTCCCAAAGTAATGACAGACACCAAATTACAGATCCGAGAGGCTCAGGGGGTTACCAGGCAGGATAATTACAACAAAAAAAAAACATACCCAGGTATGTTATACTCCAACAGTTGTAAACAAAAGAGAAAGACAAAATTATAATTCAGCCAGAGGAAAGGAAGCTAAGTATAGGCTGCTTTTCAAGGAGAAAAATTAGAGGGCTGGAGTTAGGTTACACAGCAGACAACAAAAGTTTGAAATTATTGGAGCAAGAGATCAACAGGAGTGGGGAATAATTGGATAAGGTTTATAGATGAGAAAATTAGCCTTTGAAAGGAGAAACAGCTCCTTCTTTTAAAAGACAAGATCAAAAGAAGAAGGGTGAAGCTGGAGAGTGCTTTGGGTGCAGAGAGGAGGATGTGGAGGTGAACTCATTCCAGTGCCATGCATCCATTGAGTAAAGTAGGACACAGGTCTTCAGCAGGATCAGAGAAAGGCATTTCCTAAACGTGTTCTGTGGTTTCCTTTCACCACAGCTTGGCTTCTCTCTTTCTTCCAGTCCCCTTCTCCATCTGGGGCTGCCCTGGCAAAATACCACAAACTTCATAGTAGCAAAAACGTATTGAAATTAATTTCAACTGAAATGTGTGGTCTTGCAGATCTCGAGGCTGGATGTCTGGAATTAAGGTGTCCTCAGGGCGAGATCCCCTCTGAAACCCATAGGGGGTCCTTCCTTGCCACTTTCTAGCTTCTTGTCGCTTGCCAGCAATCTTTGGTGTTTCTTGGCTTGCAGCTGCAGCAGTCCAGTGTCTGCCTTTTTCATCACATGACATTCTGTGTGTGTCTCTGTGTTCTCATAAGGATACCATTCACATGGGATCCAGGGGCCCACTTGCTCCGGTATGGCCTCATCTTAACTAACCACATCTGAAGCAACCTTATTTCCAAAAAAGGATGCATTGTGAGCTACTGTGGGTGAGGACTTCCACCTATCTTTTTTAGTGGGGACACAATTCAACGCATAACACTTACTAAGTCTTCATCCCTCTTTATACAATTTTCTTCTAGGGAAATCCAACTCACTCTCTGAAGTGCACTTGAGTCCTGCCTCCTACCTGAAGCCTTTCATAATGGAATTCCCTCCTCTCAGCACTCTGTCATGCCCTTCAAACAAGTTATATCTTTTATGTGGTTCGCTATTCCTGTCTGCCCAGCGCGGCTCACCATCCTGAGAGTGGAAATGATTCAGCTGCTCTGTGCACCCTTCACAGGGTCCAGAGGCACTTCCTAGTGAGATGATTTAGGATCTTGCAGTACAGAGAAAACCATTACAATCAGAGGAAATGGGGATGGAGAGTAATCAGGCAATGTTTTCTGAAAGAGGTGAGATAAAGCACTGGAAAGATGGGAGGAAGAGAGAATATTCCAGGCTGTTTTGTGAAAATAGTATTTTTTCGTTTTGAGGGTAAGATTGTAACCATGCTTCCTTACAATGATGTTTTAGAATGTTCTGCATAGGGTCCACCAGGAGCCTTAACATCAGTCAGGATTGGGTTCATTGTTTCCAACTGCACTTGGATGTTTCTTGCCAAGCTTGGCCCTCTGCACATTTTAGATATTCCATCTCTGTTAACTGTCTATGCCTTTAGCTGCCTCAGTGAGATGCTCATCTGTCTTTAGCAAGGTAACAGGTGCTGTCCATCCATGCATTTTGGTTCTGTTGTGTTCTGGTGCTGTTTTGGCCAGGAAGGCACTGCATTTTAAGAAACGCAGTGGTTGGCATTTCTTTTGTGTAATGGCGGTAGTTAGAGTGCAGAGACTTGGTGGCAATAAGGAAGAGATTTGCAGGGATGATTTTAGGATATGCTGAGTTTGGTAGAAGCACAGCAAGGCCTACTTGGGCCCTTGGAGAACAAGCAGAGTGAATGTTCAGGAAGAGAGTACTCAGTGGCTAGAGGTAGGCACCATGAGTTTAAAATGCTGCCATTATATTCTTTTCCTGGTTCCCTACTACAGACAGCTAAAATCTCTAGGTACTTCCATCCTCCAACTGTTCCTGTGAAGCTTGGTACAACAATGAGCATGAGTTTTAGTGTTGAAGAGCTCTGAGTTCTGGCCAGGCGCGGTGGCTCACGCCTGTAATCCCAGCACTTTGGGAGGCTGAGGTGGGCGGATCACGAGGTCAGGAGATCGAGACCATCCTGGCTAACATGATGAAACCCCATCTCTACTAAAAATACAAAAAATTAGCCGGGCGTGGCGGCGCGAACCTGTAGTCCCAGCTACTCAGGAGGCTGAGGCAGGAGAATGCCGTGAACCTGGGAGGCGGAGCTTGCAGTGAGCCGAGATCGCGCCACTGCACTCCAGCCTGGATGACAGAGCGAGACTCTGTCTCAAAAGAAAAAAATAAAAGAGCTCTGAGTTCTAACCCCGGCTTCACCACTTATTATTTCTGTGATGCTGGGCGTGCTGCTTCCACATCTGTCCAATGGGTTTAGCACCACCTTTAGAGTTAGTGGGAAGGTTCAATGAGATAAGATATTAAGATAATTGAAAAGTGACCATCCCAGTAGTGCCTGGCATGTTGGAGGTGCCACACACTGTTCGTTTATCCTTTCCTAGTTTTGAAGAGTATGGGACACCACGACAAAGAGGAGTGAAGTGGCTACAGGTGGGCATGTCAATGAAGGCTGGAATGGAAGTGAATTATTGGGATGATGCTCTGGTCACCTGTGAGATGTCATATTGAGATTCCCTTCTTCAGCTGCAGGCATCTGCCAGGTGTTAGGCTTTTTGCTTCTCAATGTTCATTCTTTTATAGCCTAAGATCCATTTGGCAAGTACATTTCTGAAATATATTAATTTTTACATGGATAATAATGCTGATTTAGGGGGTTATACTGTAAAAGCTTCCATATAAGTTTGCTTTATTTGCCATGTTCCCTTAAATAGACGCCACGCTGTTGAAATACATTAATTCCTGCTACTTGGCACACAGGGTTTGGTCTCCTATATTTCATCACCAAAGTGAATTGTCTTAAAATTTATTGTTGAACTTGTTACACTCTCTTCCTTTGTCTCTTTTTCTACTTCTTCCTTGCCCCACCCTCCTGCAGGAGGGAAATGTTTTCCACTGCTTTAAAATTGATTAATAAATATTTCAGGATAAAAATATCGGTTTTAAAACTTTCAGCTTCTATCTTTTTTTCCTCCCAGCACAACTCGACTATCACTGTTGATGACTGCTTACTTTCTATTGGGCCTGACTTAGCAAAAGGACTATGAATTATCCTTTAAAGACATATAAAAATCTAAAGCTATGTTGCCTTTGGAAATATATTTATATTTAAAGCATAAATTAAGAAAAAAATGAATATGTAAAGGTTGACCAAACAGTTCTAGAATAGCAGCAGGGGGTGGGTGGGGCAATGAACCACAGGGCCAATCTTCCTTGAAGCATGTGGAGACTGTCTTACTAATCCTTCTTTCAGGCAGTACTTTTGAGGAAAAAAAAAATCAGAGAGGAGCATACGGTAGTGATGCAATCGAATAAAGAAAGAGAATGTGAAAGAGACAATCTAGGCTGTGTTTACCAGCACCTCCTTGGCCTTCATGTATAAATATAACAGGAGCGCAAATGCTTATGATGATTTCAGGAGCATTGCCTCTGAAACTGGCAAACAGTAATGGTAAGAAGTAATTATAGGGTTTCTACTCAATTTCACACATTATGCAAGAAGTGTTAAAGGAAGGATTTTTACCCTTCAAACATGTTCTCATTTCTTTTTTTTTCCATCCAGAAAAGTACAGAGAGTAATAAAACAAGAACTCGTGGACCACTCCCTACCCTAGAACTAATACATATTAACATTGTGCCCTGTTTGCTTCAGATTTGTTTTTAAATGAAAGAAATAAAATATTTCTGACCAATGTACTCTTTGTTCCTCTCCCTTCCCTCCTCAGAAGAAGCCACGATTGTGAACTTGGTGTGTTTCGTGTCACCAAGCATAGCGTTGTTAAGGCGATCTATTTCTTTTACAGGAACCATCCTTTTTTCAGATGATTTCACTGCTTTATCATAGGTGCTATAAAACAAACTAGATGACTGCAGCAATCTTGCTGAACTGACTCTCAGCTGGTAATTAGTTCTTGACAAATGGATTATAGACCCTATTCACTCCCCATATATAGTCATGCTGTGTTAATTTTTAATTATGCGTTTTATGGAATGACAGAGAAAATTATAATTAATTTATGGCTTTTTGGGTTTCTTTTTCTCTAACATTTTGAATCAGAAGTCACAGATAATTTCCAGGGATACGGATGAAACTGGTTTTGTTGCAGTGTTTTCCTAGAAGTATTTCTTAAGGAGGAAAAATTAAGCCTGTGGGGAGTAAATATTTCACACATGTCTTGCCTCCTTCCAAGCTGTGAAATGAAAGTAAGAAGTAATTAGTCATTTACATCTGCTGTGGACCCAACCCAGCTTTGACTTTGCATCTGGTCTGGTTGCAGACTGGAGCAAATGTTCTGTAGGGGCCTTTAGGAGTGGAAGGCACTCAGTCCCAGAGTGCCCTAGAGCTCTGTCCTGCGTCCACTTACAATCTTACCTGACCTGCCTGTCATCCTGCGCTGTGCATTAGACATACCTGGGGGACTTGGAAAACTCCCCATGCCACACCCAGACAATGACATCAGACTCTGGGCGGGGGGGCAGGCTCAAACCTCCATAGTGCCTAATGCCCTCGTGGTGATACCACTGAGTGCCAAGTTGAGAAGCACCACTTGGAAAGCAACAAGCTATTTTGGCCTTCCTCTAGGTTCCAGAAGTCACCAAGGGCTTTCCAGCCTCAGGAGCACTTGCTGTTCCCTCTGTAGGAACCACTTCATTCTCTCAGTTCATTTCTCCTGAGAAAGGCCTTCCTTGATCATCCTTTCTAAAACAGATCCCCACCCTTCACCAGCTAACCCAAAGCATGACATCCTACTTATTTCCTTGCTAGCCCTAGACTTTTGTGAAATCATCTGTTAATTTGTTTGCTTTCTATTGTCTCTTCCTCCCTTCACTAGAATATAAGCCCCTTGAAGGCAGGCCTGATGCCTACGACAGTGCCTGGTATAATATATACATATAACGTATTTGTTAAATGAGAATGAATTCTGATATCAAGATGCATTGAAGGGATACTGAGCATAGGCTTGAGTCCTTTTTCTAAGACCTGGAGAAGAGTTAGCTTCTTTCCAGCATAGCTGTACCCACCTCTTGGCAAGTATGTAATCGGAACACAGGCTGGCAGCTCGTTCTTGAATCCAGCCCTGTTCCTGTTTCCTGATCTTGCCCTCAGCATCTCCAAATGAGTAATAATAATAATAACCATAAAAATACAGACATAAATATGATAATAGTCAGCTTTAAGGTACATTCATGTACTTTATCTAATGTGATCTTTCCTGTGGAATGGGGATGATCATACAGATGGTGAAACAGGCTCTGAGCAGTTAAATGACACGTGCAAGTCCACATATGTGGTACATGATGGAATTAGAATTTGTACCTCCTTGGGACACCATGAGAGGGACAAGAGAGGGCACCAGACCTTCCAGGAATAGGGAGCACTCACCTGCCCCTCCACTCAGTGCTAACAACGGCACTTTTTCCTCCTGAAGCTCTGTGTTCTTGTTGGTTTAAACAGTCCCGGGGAGTGGACAGAACGGCCAGTGGAATGGGGAGAGGATGGAGCAGTAATGAGGAGGAAGTCTTCCCCATCTCCTGCCTTGCACATTTGGAACCTGGTGCTGAGTCCTCAGCTCATATTTGCTGAGTTCTTTTAATGGAAGGGTTCACACATACCTTGAGGATGTGATCTTCCTAACTCGCTGTGACCCAGCAGGCAGCAGGTTTTGTAGCTGAGTAGTTGGAGCTATGCTGCTTTATTTCACTTGGTTGGCTTGTGAGGACAGCCTCCCCTCCACAGTGTGCCGCTGTGAATATATTACTCATAATGGAACCCATGTGACTTTCAGGAAAATATCCTAAAATCTGGGGTAGCTGTTAATCAATGGATCAGTTTTGACATGGCTACTGATGATAGAGGTGAAAATACCTCACGCTGATGGGCATCCCAGGTGATGCAGTGGGCTCCTAGGTGCTGAGTCTGCTGGAATGTCCCATAACTCAGACCTACGTGCTGTGCACATTTCTTTGCATGTAAGAAACATTTGCATAATTTCACCATTAGAATGTCAAAATAAAACAGGGCAATGTGACCAGTTACCTTGACCTCAGAACCAAATTAAACTGCTTTCCTCCCGTTCTCAGTTCCCCCTCCTTAGCACCTGTCTGTGTTCCTTCCTCTGCTCAGCTCATCCTTTCTCAGGGTGGAGCAGCAGTGTTTTTTTGTTGTTTATATCTAATATAGTTTTTCTTTTTTGAGATGGAGTCTCGCTCCGTCACCCAGGCTGGAGTGCAGTGGCGCCATCTCAGCTCACTGCAACCTCTGCCTCCCCCTCCTTGGGTTCAAGCGATTCTCCAGCCTTAGCCTCCCAAGTAGCTGGGACTACAGGCATGCGCCATCACGCCCGGCTACTTTTTGTATTTTTAGTAGAGACAGGGTTTCACCATCTTGGCCAGGCTGATCTCGATCTCCTGACCTCAAGTGATCCACACACATCAGCCTCCCAAAATGTTGGGATTACAGGTGTGAGCCACCACACCCGGCCTTATAGCTAATATAGTTTAGGGGTTTTTTTGTGGATTAAAAAAAGCATATTAGTTAAACATATACTGTTTATCTAGTCTTCCATTGCGTGTAGCTCTTGTAGAGGGTGATTTAATACCCTGATTGGCCTGGGACAATCTCAATTTGTGTCAGTGGTCCCAACAGTTATTAATAGTGACTTCTTTTACTCTAGGCATGTACTGGTTCAAATGATAAATTGTAGAGGATTTCTACTCCAGAATGATTTTCTCCCTAATTCCTTCCTTTTGATCAATGACTTTAAATAAAAATGGCTGCATGTCTGATACTGTATTATTTACATGCAGTTCTATTCGGGGTATCAGAAATAACTAGTAAAGAGGTTGGCTACTGTGGTTTTATCGGGTCCCTTAGTTCACAGAGCTATTAATTGAGATTTAAAAGTTGTAATTTGTTATGCCTAATTATAGAACACTTATGGATGTAGAACTGCTTGATCTGTCAACCAATCAAGAATTTCCTGGCTTTAGCACCAGTATTTCCATGGACACTGTTGGTGTTTTCAAATCCTGTTTACACCCCATGCTACTTTTCTCTTGAGCTACCTTCTGGAGTTACCTGACTTGGATTGTCTTGGTGAATAGATCAGAAAGGCAGTAACCTCCTACTAGATGAATCCCTGGGTGCTGGTAAGAGCTTCCCGGCCTCTCTCCTTCCCCCATCTCACATATCCTTAGTGTTACCAGCTTCCCTTATGTGAAATATTTTTAGCTCTAGGACTGTCCTGGTGTCGATTTTGATCAGATACGAGGCCAAAGAGGTGTAGTTGCTCACACCTGTAATCTCAGCACTTTGGGAGGCCAGGCAGGGAGAATCACTTGAGGACATGAGTTCAAAACCAGCCTGGGCAACATAGCAAGATCCTGTCTCTACAAAAGATTTAAAAAAATGTAGCCAGGCATGGTGGTGCATGCCTGTAGTGCCAGCTACTAGGGAGGCTTGGTGAGGAGGATTGCTTGAGCCGGGAGTGCCCACACCTGATGTCTGGGGTTTGGGCTTCACACACAAGGAGGAGCCTGACCTGCAGATGCTCTGGTAGGTATCCCACTGCCAACATTTATTATTGCTATTTACTTGTTCCCCATTAAAATGATTCCTCTTCTTCCCTTGTGGTTGGAGGCTAAAGAGATGTCCTTCTGGGTGTTTTGTGGACTTGGGGCTAGGAAAAGGCACTCCTTTAAACCTGATTCAGTGTATTCCAGTGTCTGATTTTAGTGCCTGTGTTATTCAATTCCTTGACCTCATGGGCTGCCGTGGCTCCACTGCTCTCTTAGGTTTCCCCAGCCTCCGCCGCAGTTTTCCTTTTAGGAAGTAACACTTCCTTTGAGGATGTGGAGGAAATTCTCTTTATGACAATACAGATACAGATTGAGCCTGGCTTCAGTTCACAAACCACAGGGACAATGACTGCCTTTTTGTAAAATACCTTTAGAGCATGAAGCAGAATTCTCCCTAATCTAAATGAATTAACTATGACATTGGGGAAGGCTTGGTGAGTTCACAAAGACATAAGGCCTCACACAGCTGTCCCCCGTTGTCATCCTTGCATGCTATTTGCTTTGTAAGGGCCCTGTATGATTGGGAGGTGGAGAAATCTATTTTAGTTTTTATTTGATCTGATTAGTATTTTTCCATGTCTGGGTTTATTTGTAGCTACTGCACCTCCAGATTTTTTTGCCTTTGTCTTCATGTTGGAGGGGAGGTTCGGGGATTCAGATAATCAAGTAATACAAGGTAATTGAAGATAATCGAGGAAATGAAAGAAAATGAAAATTAGTCGTGCCCTGTCATTCGATTATTCAGCTTTAACTAGCATCAACATTCTGGAATGTTGCTTTACTTTTATGTTTATGGTTGTATTTATATATTAAACATCTATTCATAATATGTCATGTACAATTTTTGAAACTCTAGCCTTACATTTTTTTCTCTGGATTTTTTTTTGAGACTGGGTCTCGCTCTGTTGCCTAGGCTGGAGTGAAGTAGTGCGATCTCAGCTCACTGCAGCCTCCCCCTCCCCGGCTCAGGCAATCCTCCCACCTCAGGCTTCCGAGTAGTTGGGACTATGGGCATGCACCACCATGCCCGGCTAATTTTTTGTATTTTTTGTAGAGATGGTGTTTCATCATATTGCCTAAGCTGGTCTTGAGCTCCTGGGCTTAAGCCTCCTGCCTCCTGCCTCAGCCTCCCAAAGTGTTAGGATTACAAGTATGAGCCACTGTGCCCAGCCTTCCCTGGATTTTAAAATTCAAATGATGAGCTTTTTCCTTCTAAATATTATTCAAAAACATGTCATTGAATGGATGCATAAAAATGCATTAGAAAATAATTATTGAACATTTAAATTGTTTCCAGTTTTTCCCTGAGTTAATGGAATTCTTGATGTAAGTCTTTGCATAAATAGCTACCCTTGAGTTACTATCCTTAAGGTAGAATTACTGATTTACTTTCTATTTGTTTTTCCCCCAAGTTTATTGAAGTATAATTGGCAAAAATTACATACAGTTAAGGTGTACAATGTGATGCTTTGGTATATGTTGTGAAATGATTACCATAATCAAGCTAATTATCACCTCACATAGTACCTTTTTGTGGTGCAAATACTTAAGATCTACCCTCTTAGCACATTTTAAGTGGGCAATACGTGTATTAACTACAGTCACTATGATGTAGGTTACCAGAACTTATTCATCTTGTAATGGAAAGTTTGCATCATTTAAGCAAAATCTCCCCATTTCCCAACTCTGTTTTCACACAGTAACTACCCTTTTAGTCTGTTTGAGTTCAACTTTTAAAACTTCCATATTGAAATGAGATTGAGCAATGTTTTTCTTTCCATGTCTAGGTTGTTTCACTTAGCATAATGTCCTCCAGGTTCATCCTTGTTATCACAAATGGCAGGATTTTCTACTTTTTTAAGGTAAATAATATTCTGTTTTATGTATATATCACATTTTCTCCATCCATCCATCCATTTATCCACCCATCCATCCATCCATCCGTCTATGGGTACTTAAATTGTTTCCATATCTTATTGTGAATAATGCTGCAGTGAAAATAGTGCAGGTATCTCTTTGAAAAAGTGATTTTATTTCCTTGTGTATATACCCAGAAGTGAGAGTGCTGGATCATAGAGTAGTTCCATTTTTAATTTTTGAAGAACCTCAATACTGTTTTCCATAATGGCTATACCAATTTACACTCCTATCAACAATGTATATGGATTCCCTTTTCTCCAAGTCCTCGACAACACTTGATATTTTTGACTTTTTCATCACAGCCATCTTAAGGTGTGAAGTGATAGATGACTGTGGTTTTGATATGCAAGAAATTTATTTTTAAAAAGTATTAATGGTACTTTGGAAAAATTCAAAATTTCTTCTCCATCTAACAATATAATATCGGCCTGGAAGGGTCTGTGATTCAAATGCCCTGTTACCTTTCTTCTTTCTCCTTTGGCAGCACATTCGTTTAGTGCCTTGTTTTTCCAGGGACTGGGGGAAATGGAAGAGAGGAAAGGAGGGAGAGAAGAGAATAAGAATGATCCATGTAATTATGTAATTAACCATCAAGCTTGGTTAATTCAGAGCATTCTCATTCTTTCATTCATTCAAAACTTTAAAAAGTAAGATCTCCCATGTGCAGTGTAGTGTGTTAGGCTTACTGAGTGGGGCTGGAAGAGCAAATCAGACATAGATGATACCCTCAAGGGTCTGACAGCTCTCAGGAAAGATGTCACTGCCAGATATGCACCCGTACTATGTAAGAGGCTCCTGAGAGCTGCGTGTAGGATAAGGGAGGAAAGCCAGTGCATGGGCAGTTTCCTAAAAAACACTGTTAATTGTAACGTACTTTGTAGAGAACTAAACTTAATCACAAAAATTACTTGGTGTAGAATATGTTGTTCTGAGTGAATGAATCTGATAACTTTGTATCAATCAGGGAGACATGCAGACCATGAGAGGATTTCTTGTATTGATTAAACTTTGTTTTACTGTGGAAGGTGCTGTGCAGTCAGTAGTAACCAACTCTCCAGTTACCTGAAGGTCTGAGGAGCACTAAAAACAAAGAGAGGGCTGGGCATGGTGGCTCACACCCACCGGTAATCCCAGCACTTTGGGAGGCCCAGGCGGGTGGATCATGAGGTCAGGAGATCAAGACCATCCTGGCTAACATGGTGAAAACCTGTCTGTACTAAAAATACAGAAAATTAGCCGGGCTTGGTGGCAGGTGCCTGTAGTCCCAGCTACTCAGGAGGCTGAGGCAGGAGAATGGCATGAACCTGGAAGGCAGAGCTTGCAGTGAGCTGAGATCCCGCCGCTGCACTCTAGCCTGGGTGACAGAGTGAGATGGCGTCTCAAAACCAACCAACCAACAAACCAAGAGAGGTCAGCCTGTTCTTATTATGTAACAACTTCGAGTGGCTCAAATCCCAAGTCACATGCCACGTCAATGGCTCCTTCTGAACAAGGGCTGAGCTGCCATGGGTCTAGTTGAGAAGGAAAAGCTCTCGATTTCAGGGTCTTGGGTTATTTTGGTAATAGATCAGAAGACAGTAGCATCCTATTGGAGGGACACTAGTGAGCACTTCCCAATGACCTCCCTTCTTCCCCTGCCTCAGACATCCATAGGGTTACAGGTTTCCCTTTTGAGCTTGAATTCTGTCCACGGTGATCATGTTGATCAGATGAGATATAAAGGGAAGTGAACCCACACCAGGAAGGGGGCTAAGAGGGGTGTAGGGGAAGAAGTGGATCTAGTCATTGGCCCTGGTCTAAGTGGGGGCTACTGGGTGGGGGGCTGGGCTACACTGATTCCCTTTAGGGGAGACCCTGAAACCCAGAGCTTTTCCTTCTGCACTAGATCCATGGCAGCTCAGCCCTTGTCCAGAAGGAGTCATTGACATGGTATGTGACTTGAGTCTTGAGGACGAGGTCTGGTATAGACACATGGAACTGGGTGATGGATGGGAGAAGATGGGTGTCTGGCCAACAGAGCAGTCTGTGACAAGGACTGAGATGGAGCATTCCAGGTGCATGCAGGGGACAACCAGTGCTTAGTTTGGCTGGAGGGTTTTGCTTGGGAAGGGGAGTGCTGGAAAGGTGGGAAAGGGCTGGGAGCAGATGCAGGTTGAAGAATTTGAATTTTAAAAAATTAATTAAGTTTTTTTTTAGAGACATAGACCCTGACACCTAAACTGGAGTGCAGTGGTGTGATTATAGCTCACTGCAGCCTTCAACTCCTGGGCTGAATTGATCCTCCAGCCTCAGCCTCCCAAGTAGCTGGGACTACAGGTGTATCCTCAACTAATATTTAAATTTTAATTTTATTGTAGAGATGAGGTCTCACTATGTTGCCCAGGCTGGTCTCAGAAGGAATCCTTCTGCCTCAGCCTCCCAAAGCATTGGGATTACAGGTGTGAGCCATTGCACCTGGCCCAGAGTTTGGCTCTAGGGATCCACTGAATACCTTTGGGAAGGGCTGTGAGGGGCTCAGAGCTCCACTGTAGAGAGATTCATCTTGCAATGGTGGTGTGATGGATGGTGAAGAGGAGGGATCAGAAACAAGGGCATCTGTTAGGAGGCTATAATGATGGTTCAAGCAGTATTTAATGTAACAGGTAGGCACTTATGAAGCCAATCAAATGTTTGCCAGACCTGTAAGAATCTCAGTTCCTAAAGGAAATAATTCTCAAATAAAGGAGCAATTTGGGGATGGCATATAATAAGAATTTTCATTAATGAATCAACAAAGCTGCTTTAAGATGAGTATATCTGTGTTTATTCATTTGTGCAGTGTATATTAGTTTGTTCTACTTGATATTATCATCTTGTAGTGGTTAAAAGCATGGATTCTGGAACCAGATTGAGTGGATTGAAAGTCGAGTCTTACCACTTATTAGCCACAAGATCTTGGGTAAATTACTTAAACTTTCTGGGCTTCAGTACGTGACATGTAGGATGCGCTGCATAGATATTAACATTGTCATCATCATTATCCTTGTGATCATCGTCATCATTATCCAGTAACATTTATTCATAACTTAATTGTCTATGTAGGGTCTTTTCAGGATCTTAGGTGTACCCCTGAGGAATTGCATTTGGCTAAGAGTGACAGACCTTCCACTGTGTGGTCTTAAACTCCAAGGGTTAATTTTCAGAACATAACAAGAAGACTGGAGGTACACAGTTGCTGGCACTGCTTTGGTGTCTTAAGATATCAGAGTAGGCTTGGTGCAGTGGCTCACACCTGTAATCCTAGCACTTGGGGAGGCCAAGGTGGGCAGATCACTCAAGGTCAGGAGTTTGAGGCCAGCCTGGCCAACATGGTGAAACCCCTTGTCTACTAAAAATACAAAAATTAGCTTGGTGTGGTGGCACATCTGTAATCCTAGCTAGCCAGGAGGCTGAGGCACGAGAATTACTTGAACCTGGGAGGCTGAAGTTGCAGTGCATGGAGATCACCCCACTGCACTCCAGCCTGGGCAACAGAGTGAGACTCTGTATCAAAAAAAAAAAAAAAAAAAACGGATAATAGATGAACTGAAATTTTCTTGGTCTCCTTCCTTCATGAACTCAAGATGATTGCTGCAGCTCCAGCCATCATTTCTGTCTTGATGGCATAAGAGGGAAGGGTGGAAGGTCAGAAAGGCACCTGCAAGCTGAATAAGCTCTCTTTACATTCCTTCCTGCAAACCCCACCTAAGGACTTCCACTGACATTTCATTGGCTATCCCTGTTTTCAGTGGATATTGGGAAAGGTAATTTCTCCAAAAATTTTGCCCCCTTCAAAAATACAAATGTTCTGTTACTAAGAGAAAGGGAAGGATGGATATGATATGGGAAACTAGGGGCTACTGCCACACTGCAGGAAAGTGACCTCAAGGGTTTCAAAGAATTTTATAGAGGTTGATTGCCTTTTCTTGGACAGACAGATTTTGGTGGTCTATTTGTTTCATTTTTAGCATATGTTAAGATTTGCCTTTAAGAAGTTTGTTCAAGAGAGGAAGGACAATTACAGAAAGAGATAGGAACATCGGATGTTTTCAGTTCAATCAATTGTAGGTGCAGGGATAGAGGGAGAGACTTGGTTCACATTCATAGATACCACCATGGATCATGCACTAAGTCCTCCCTGATTAATGGTGAGGAAGGCTGTGTCATACGGTCCGTATCCTTTCTATCATATTTTCACCCATAACTACTTTGTCAATAATATAAAAACACCTTAGTACCATTATGAGAGGCATAAAAGGAAGGCTATTAGCCTGATTTTGTAGATAGGAAAGATCACTGGGCCAGGTTTATTAATAAGGAAGGACACCATGGCAACACATTATAATGACTTCCTAACCTCAAGTCACAGTCGAAGTTGAAAGCAAACCTGTGAGTGCTGTCTAGGAAGATCACACACCCGGAAATAGGAGGTTTGGTTTCTAGGCCCAGGTCTGCAGTAAACAATTTATATTACTAAAAAAAAAACCTGACTTAACATCATTGTGCCTTATTTCTTATTTTAAAATGGGAAATAATACTTACCTAAGTTTTTTTTTTTCTTTTTTTTTTTTTTGAGACGGAGTCTCACTCTGTTACCCAGGCTGGAGTGCAGTGGTGTGATCTCAGCTCACTGCAACCTCTGTCTCCTGGGTTCAAGTGATTCTCCTGCCTCAGCCTCCTGAGTAGCTGGGACTACAGGCACGCGCCACCATGCCCAGCTAAGTTTTGTATTTTTTAGTAGAGACAGGGTTTCATCATGTTGGCCAGGCTGGTCTCAAACTCCTGACTTCGTGATCTGTCCCCTCTTCGGCCTCCCAGAGGGCTGGGATTACAGGCTGAGCCACCGTGCCCAGCCCCTAAGTTCTTTTAAAAATTTTGATGAAATACACTGAACATAAAATTTACAGTGTTAACAGTGTTTAAGTGTACAATTCAGTGGCAATAGGTAGATTCACATTCTTTTGTAACCATCACTGCCATCCATTTCTAGAACTCTTCATCTTGCAAAATTGAAACTGTACCCATTAAACAAGAACTCCTGTTCCTCATTAACCATCTCCTGGCAACTGTAATTTTACTTTCTAGCTCAATGGACCTGACTACTTCAGGGACCTCATGTGAGTAACATCATATAATTTTTGCCCTTTAGTGATGGGCTTATTTTACTCAGCATCAGATCCTCATGGTTCACTTGTGTTATAGCTTGTTTCCAAATTTCCTTCCTTTTTAAGGCTGAGTAATATTCCACTTCATGATCAGAGCATTTTATGTATCTCTTCATTTGTTGATGGACAGTTGGGTTGTTTCCACCTTTTGGCTGTTGCAAATAATGCTACTATGAACATGGGTGTACAGAAATCTCTTTGAGATCCTGCTTTCAATTCTTTTGGGTATACACTTGGCCTTGTGGGTTCTGCATCTGTGGATTCAACCAACTGTGACCTGAAAATATTTGAAAAAATAAAACAAGAAAAATAGCAATGAGTCATTAAAAAACTAAAAATAAAAAACGAGGCTGGGCGCGGTGGCTCATGCCTGTAGTCCCAGCATGGGAGGCAAAGGCAGGCAGATTGCTTGAGTTTGAGACCAGACTGGGTAACATAGTGAGACCTCATCTCAAAAAAACAAAGCAAAAAAAAGAAAAAAAGAAAAAAGCAATACACTGCAACAATTATTTACATAGCCTTTACATTGCGTCAGGTATTATGAGTAATCTAGAGATGTTTAAAAAATAAGGGAGGATGTTCCTAGGTCACATGCAAATCCTATGGCATTTTATGGAAGAGACTTGTGCATTCAAGGATTTTGGTATCTGTGGGGAGTCCTGGAACCAGTCCCCCATAGATAATGAGGGATGATTGTATACTTAGAAGCAAAATTGCTGGATCATATGGTAAATCAATGATTTTTTTTTGTGGGTTATCCATTCTCTTTTCCATAGCAGCTGCACCATTTTGCATTCCTACCGGTGATTCACAAGAATTCCAATTTCTCCACATCTTTGCTAACACTTGTTATTTTCTGATCTTAAAAAAATAGTAGCCATCCTACTAAGTGTGAGGTACATAGGTAAGTTTTAAAGCAGTATCAGTAGTGCCTCCAGATTAACTTCTTTGAGAATCACTGCTCCTCTGCTTAATTCTTCGGCCTTATTGGGCAAGTTACCTTAGCCTGTGAGCCTCCGTGTCCTCTTCTGTACAATGTAAATGTCTGTAAAAAACAATTGTTATGGGTATTAATGAGATAGTAGCTTGTGCTATGTGCTTATTCAAATATTAGTTTATTTTCCCATGAGAGCAAAAGCATGAACAAGTGTGCATCGTATTCATAGTTAATATTCTCAATGTTCACAGCTGTTGGTTTCCTCCCATATCCTAACCCCAAACACAATGTTTCCAAAGTGTATGATGGAAAGAGCGTTGGTTCTGGGGCCAGAAGGCAAGGAACTGAAATCCAGCTTTCTGACTTTCTGGTTGAGGGACCTTGGACAAATTTCTTATTTTTTAAAAATCTGTATGAAGAGCATATCAAGGGGACCTCATGGGACTGCTTTGTCCAGTGACTTCTCCCTGCTTCCCCAGCAGCCTTCTCACTTCCCATTCACTCTTCAGCCCCCGCAGTGGAGCTCCCATGAATAACACTGTGACCCTTCTCACCATGACTTTCTAATTGACAAATCCGAGGATGCACTTACTTAACTTTTTGGCAGCATTTCAGTGTTTACTTCTCTATTCTTGATCTTCCTCCTTGCTTCCTGGGACACCATCTCTTTCCCCTTTCAATAGCTCTCTTTTGCAGTCGTATTTCTCACCCTCTTCTAATTCACGTTACCCTCTCTGGGTGGGACGTTACCCACCACCTCTCTCTAATGACCTTCCAATCTCTGTTTCTAGGCCTCTTTTTCTGAACTCCAGAGTCCTGTTTACCACTGCCTCTTGAGCTCCTTCAAGTCCACATGTCCCACAGTGGACTCATTGCCTCTGACTCTGCTCGGTCCCAGCAAGGGCCCTGAAGCCGCTGGACCCATAGCATGGAGCTTGCTGGGTACCTTGTACAGGGGGGCTCTGGGCTACTCACTCCCTCACTCCCCAGGTAGCATTTGGTCCAGTCTCTAGATTTTTCCAGCCATTTATCTTGCTTTTCTTCTGTTTTAGCTCTGCCCGGCCCTGAGATTTGGTGCCCAGTCATCTTACAAGGGTAGTGGCCAGACTTTCCCCAGGTGCTAATGTGACTTGTGGTTCTGTCTGGACATTTTCCCTGAACAGCCCCGTACTGTTCTTCTGCCTGAATTTCCATCATGATCAACCCCACTGTTCATCATCTGCCAAAGCCATAGACCTGGATGTCATTCTGGACTCCTTCTTGACCCTCTTGCTTGCAACCCTCAGTTCAGGGTCAGTAAGACCATGAAACTGCCTCTATGGCTCCCAAGTGCTTGCCTCTGATGTGTCTTCACTACCATTTTTCCTCTTCATGGTGGTCATCTCTCTCCATTGCTATTGCCTCTTATTTGGTCTCTTTGTCTCCATCCTTGCCTCTTTCTGGCCATCCTCCACTCTCCTGCTAGATCTGACAATGCTCTTACCTACTTGAAACTCACACTTCCCGTTCTTGTGGGAATAAAGGAGAAATTCCTATGGATGGCACACACAGGCCCTCTGCCATCTGTCCTTACCATCTTTACCTCCTGCCTTGCAACCCCTCACATGTCACTTTTGAGCTACACCAAATCACGTGGGGTTGCTTTTCATGCTAGTATTCATTGGCATGCACTGTTTTCTGCCTGGGAGGCTCTGCCTATACTTGTCTTTCTGGGAAATGCCCACTCAGCGTTTAAGATTCAGCACCATCTAAGCTTTCTCTGTAACAGTGAGAACAGTCGACACTGTGTGTGGTTCCTGTGTACCGACCCCCATTCTAGATGCCCCACATGAACTTGTGTGCTGAAGCCTTGCAACAGCCCTGTGTGGTACCTGTAGGTAGGCACCATTACTATCCCTCTCATTTAACAGTTGGGAAACTGAGGCATAGAGAGGCTGAATGTCTTGCTCGGAGTCACACAGCTAGCAAGTAGCAAGCTGCGGTCTGAAACTGGGGAGCCCCATTCTAGAGTTTGGGTTCATAACCACTGTAGCTACTGTGGTTTTTCAGCCACAGGTGGTTGCTTCCTCCTTGCACTTCCCTGCCCCCACTTCCCTTTATGTACATCTGCATCGTGGTGTTTCATATGCCCTGTTCCAATTATGTATTAAATGTTGTTCTCTCCTGCTAAACAGTGAGCCCCTTGAGGGAAGGCCTGCCTTTAATTCATGCTTATATCCCTGGAACGAAGAGTTGGTTGTTTTCAGTTGTTTGCATGACTTAAAAAAATATGACACACATTATCTTGCTTTACTGTAAGATGCTACAGTGGTGTTTGAGGCAAATTGCATAAAATGTAAGTTGGATTGGGGACAGAATCTTTTTCACATTGTCAAGTTCCCCAAAGTCCTGATGGCAGTAACCTAGACTGCTGGATGTCTAATTATTCATGATGTCCTGGAGAAAGGCAGAATTCAGCCATAGCCGTAAGCATTCCTGCCTATCCAATTTGTTTTTAAAAGACGATTTGTAGGACTATGTCTTCATACATGTTTTTGCTACTGGTCTTGGGTCTTTAAAGTTTTTAAAAATTTATATTCAGAGTGTTTTCCTGTTCATTTTTTATTTGATTAAGAAAGAACTATAAATAAACCTTAACAATACCATCGTTTTTCATGAGCGCTAATGGCTTTGTGACAGGATGATGGCTTGTGTAGTGTAGTGTTTGATTTTTTTTCTTCCTCCAATGTTGTTTGGCTGGATCATTTAGAAATATTACAAAATCTCCTGCGCTGAAGGAGAAAGCTTTTGACTCCTTTTTGACTCCACAAACTCTTAAACAACATGTGCATGATATCACATGAAAGCTTAGTAACTTTCGGAGGCCTTTCTAAATTACCCATGTTCCTTTGTCTTGACATTGTTGCTTTTCTCTTAAATTCACAATCTCTACTCCAATCTGCAGTACAGCCTCTAAAATGATGTTAGAAATCTAAACGCCATGTTTTTATTTCATCATGCTTTAATTTTACTTTGAATTAAAATATGCATTTCTTAGGTTATTTTCCTGGAGTCAATTGGAGCATTTTAGGCTTAGAAGGGATATTTGACAGTATTTAGTCCAACTTCCTTGTTATAGAAGGAAGAAGTTGAGGCCAGGAGAGAGATTGTGAAGTGCACTCTGGCCGCACAGCTAATTAGTGGCAGAGTAGAGATAAGACCCAGGATGAGACCCACAGGCTAAAATTTGCTATTTGAGTTATTTCCCCCTCATAGGCTTTCAGGAATGAAACCATCCAGAAATGAGTGGGAAGACCTAAGAAACGTCCACGTTTTATTTTTTTAATGAAGATCTTACAATTCAAATTATTTCCAGTTCTGTAGAAGCTTGAAATGAAGTCAGTGGTTTTAGGAAAATAATAACAATGCACTGTGAAAATATATTGAATTTCACATTGATGTGAAATTATGTAGGGAGATTTTGTTGGAGCTTAACATTATTGTGAACAATGTTGGGTGCTGTTCAAATACTAGAATCTCTCAGCATCCAAATACAAAGTGAGCAGAGGAGGAGTGAGCTGTAGATGGGGGGCCTGTGCTGCCTCATGACCCCTCAGCATCTGTCTCCGGGGCTTGTTGAATGGAAAGGGTCTGGGCCGTTTTGCAGACATGGGGCCTCTGTGTGCCATCTTTGCTGCAGAGGCAGCATGGAACAAACTTTTGGGGACCTTATGCATTAGTGCATTGGATCATTTTAGAAAATAACCTGCAGTATTGGACCTGTTTCTTTTCTTTCTTCTTTTTATTAATGTGCTTTACCTTCAGGTAGCTGCCTGCATTTCCTTAAGGGCAGACTGGGAATAGCTGAGCAACTAAAGAAGGGCTCAGAAGCCCTTATTAAGGTAGTTGATCAATTCTAGAAGTTTATTTAGCATTAAGGGAACCCATGCCCTTTCCTATTCTAGAAGGCCTCGTGAGCACTAACTGAGTATTTCCAAAAGCTGTAGTGCAGTATGCAACACCTATAAATATAGTGTGTGTAGGCTTAGGAAAGCCATGGCGTTTGCCAGTCCTGGCTCCAATCCTAAGTCAGCAACACTGCGATCTTCATTATGTGCAATTTTCTCTATTTTGTTTAACTTTTTAACTTTTTGAAAAATTAATTAAAGGAATTGAGCTTTCTAAGGTTGGTTGTTAAGGATAATTCAACAATGTATTTTGGAATGCGAGACTTGAAATGAGGGTAAATCTCTCTACAGAACAAGAAGCTTCCAGGGAGGACTGTCATTATACTGTACTTACTACACTTATGTGGGTAGCTGCCAAAAGCATAATCATTTTCTGGAACACTGTGTTCTCTCTTTAGTTTGTACATCTGTTGTATCTTTGTAGCCAAAAGGAAGTGGAAAGTTGTGAAAATATCAGGTGAGTTTGGGCCAGTTAGTTATTTCAAGTCACAAACTTCCTTTTGCCTGATTAAATTAAATATTCACTTAATCTTATAATTCTTATAATGTAAACTCAATAATATAAGTATTATGTATATAGTATTCAATCTTAAAAAAAGATTAAAATTGCTGTATTTGATGATATGGATGAACCTGGATGGCATTATGGTAAGTGAAATAAACCAGACATGGAAAGAAAAAAAAATTCACTTAATGTTATATGGTTGCTCCAGGAAACATTTTTAAATAGAAAATATGTATTGAGATCCTCAGAGTGTGTGTTAACTTATTATGGCAAAAACCGTAATTACTTTTGCACCAACCTAATAGTTACCGAATTCAAGAAGGGGAAGGTAGCAGATACCAGTGGAGACTGGCTTGTCCCGAGAAAGCTGGAGTTAGGTGAATATTGAGTGTGGGTGGTCAGGGCTTGGGTTGGTGTCAGGGCACAGTTGGATGAACTGGTATCAAAACTGGTTGATCACAAACAGGTAAGAACTAAAGCTCTGTATGTGAACAGGGGCTCCCTGTAGACAGGTCCAGAGAAAATCTTGGATAGGGAGCTGAGTCAGTTGGGTGGGCAGCAGGTAAGGCGTGATCAAGATTGAAGACATGAGAGGAGGCTGCATTAGTCATGGCCCATGCAATAAAATAGGAGCACTTTAATGAAAGTACTTAGTTACAAAGATCTTTAGAAGATGCGAAAAGCCAAATAGGGGTGATAAACTCACCCAGATATTAACAGTAGCAGGAAACCGTTACTATGACAAAGGCTGGTAGAACAGAGAGAGGATGGTGGTACCACAGGTGAAGAACTGCATCTGCATGGGGGTGTTCAGAAGCACCTGGGACTGTAGAGGGAAGGTCTGTCTGCTGGGAGTTGGAATCATGGAGAAGAAAAGGCCACTGCTGGAGATATCACCACAAGCAGAGAAAGGCAGGGGAGGAAATTCTCTGGCTTCCTCTGGTCCTCCAGTCTTCCACTTAAACCCAGCTGGAGCCAGTTGGCAAATAAGCCTGGAAAAGGTAGTTTGCAGGTGAAGGGTAGGGAATGAGTCAAAGAGCAAATAGGCAAATGACTGGCACATAGGCACAAGGCTGGGTCAGGGATGGAGCGAGACTCCTGGCAGGTGTGCTGATGGGGGCTGATGGCATCATGGATTTCACCTGGGTAGCAGAGCAAGCCTGCGAGAATGTTGAAGGCCTCAGAGCATCAGATGCATTGCATTTTCCCAGGCTTCTGCCAGTGCCCTCATCTGCCTGAGAGCCCTTCCTGTGCCAGGTGACAGTGCTTATTCTCCAGCCTGTTGGAAGCTCAGCCAGATTCTGGGGAGGTTAAGGATCTAGGCACTCTTTTTTTAGATTTCTATTGCCACGTGAAGCCTCAGCAGCTAGACTTTTGACCAGAGCTCCACCAAACCCTCTTGAAATTGTTGAAACGTTCTGGAAGGAAGATGGAAATTTCCATTACCATGATTATAAAATAAAGTTCTGTATTAAAAAAGCTCATTTTCTGCCTTTATGTCCTGGATGGCCACAGAAGCAACAGCCATGTGAGTTAGTCACATACATTTTTAGCCATGAATGAGGATGTCTTCTGTTCCTTGTCCCACTTCCTGTCACTCGATAAAGAAAAATGATCATTTTCATCCTCCCCATCATCATCATCACCATCTATCTCCCTTACCATGAGCGTAGACATTGAACACACCAGGTAGAACATTGTGTTATCTTCATTGCAGAGAAGGGAGGAGCTATTTGTTACAATGGTAACTATGCTTTAAGACAGTAGCTCAGTGGTTCTCCAACTTTAGTGTGAATTAGAAGCACCTGAAGGGCAGGTAACATTGCAGGAGGCTCTCCCAGCCCCTTAAGTTCTCCCACTCCATTTTTGTTTTAGTAGGTGATATGGTTTGGCTGTGTCCCCACCTAAATCTCATCTCTAATTGTAATCCCTATAATTCCTGTGTGTCGAGGGAGGGACCAGGTGGGAGGTGATTGGATCATGGGGGCGGTTCCTCCATGCTGTTCTCGTGATAGTGAGTGAGTTCTCAGGATATCTGATGGTTTTCCAAGGCAGTTTTCCCTACTCTTGCTTGCTCTTTCTCTTCTGCTACTTTGCGAAGAACTATGTGTTTGTTTCCCCTTCTGCCATGATTCTAAGCTTCCTCAGGCCTCCCCAGTCATGAAGAACTGTAAGTCAATTAAACCTCTTTTCTTTAGAAATTACCCAGTCTTGGGCAGTTCTTTGTAGCAGTGTGAAAACGGTGCAATACAGTAGGTCTGGGTGGGGGCTGGAGATGTGCATTTCTCACAAATTTCCAGATGATGCTGTTGCTGCCAGCCCAGCGACACACTTGGAGAATCACTACTTCAGTGTGTGGCTCTTACAGTGTTCCAGACCCGTATAGTTAGCTCCATCTTACAGCAGAGGAGCTGAGGCTTAAAGAGGCTGAGTCACTAGTTCACAGCCACAAGGCTAGGAAGCAGGCATGGAATGTCATGGCTTGGGTCAGCTGTCGATGTCCCCTAGGCCGTCTGTGAATGAAAGTCAAGCCTGCGTTATCGTCAGGGCTGTGGAGCTGCAGGACTGGGTGCTGCCCCACTCAGTGGGCCAGGCTGTTAACCACCTGTGGAGTTAGTTGTTTGGTCTAACAGGCCTAGTGATTTTCTTAAGTTCTTTTCTAATGAGAAGGCAATTGGTGTTTGTTTTTGTTTTGTTTTGTTTGTTTTAAGAAATTGGGCCCTGTTTGATTAGTGGTATTTTCCCTTTTGGTCCAAATGACCCTGGTAGCTGAGGTTGGCTGTGTTGTCAAAAACAGTGAGATCTAGAAGCCCTGCTCAGCGGTGTTTGGGAGGAGGCCTGTGCATCGTTGGCTGAAATTTATGGGGAACTTCCCAGGAACCCAGCTTGACCCCTTTGCTCACCACCTGCTGCCTGGAGCATTACCCCCACACTCAGACCTATCTGTTTTCTCCTTCGGGCGTGGCCTCTTGCCTTGGCTGACATTTCATTTTATGATAAGCCGCAGAGAGTTTTATTTGTGTTTTTCTTCTTTTCTTTGAGACTAGGTCTCACTCTGTTGTCCAAGCTTGAGTGCAGTGGTGCAATTGCCACTCACTGCAGCCTTGAACTCCTGGATTCAAGCAATCTTCCTCTCTTGGCCTTCCTAAGTGCTGGCATTACAGACATGAGCCACAGTGCCCAGTGCCATGGAGATTTTTAATAAGGCAATCTTTATTAATGGTTGCTGTGGTCATTGCCAGTGACCTTCACAGAGTCGTGAAATCTTTTGCTTATCCCTGATCTCAGACATCTGAACAACAAACTCTAATTTCCCAAATTACCCGTTGAGCAAAGTAGTCCTTAGGAAGACCTAGGCTTGCAGGATAGAAAGGGTGGGATAACACACCCCCTCCTTCCATGCGGAGTTTCAATCACATATTATTAATTCAGAGTATCGTTATTGCTCCATCTGCAAACTGCAAATGTGAATTCCAGCCATGTATTTTTAAACAGCTCTATTATGATCAAGCAAATTTGAACCTCTCATGTAGTTTATTACAAGTGGGCTTTGGTTATAGAGGAAAAAAATCTGTTTTATATATGTTTTCTATTTTGTCATTTTTGGTAAGCTGTAGTCAAACTCTGAGTTAGGAGAAAGATGAGCTCTTTGACTATTTAATAGTTCTATATATCACACTTGTGGTAGCTTTTGTCATTTTTTTTTCTTAGCAGAAACAGAATGTTAAGGCCCAAAGTAGAGATATCTAAGTCCTGGGAGCAGGATGATATTAGAAATACTGATGAATTTATAATAGTATGGAGAATTAATCTGGATAACGAAGATTTTAAAATAGCATTACTTGGCTATAAATGCAGTTAATGTTGCCTTCTGGAAGGAAAAGAGGTAAAATTATATCTTCTGTTACTTTAGCAATTGATTTGAAAAGTATTCATGTATTAATTGTCCACTCAATATTAGGAAATGTATTAGAATATAACTGCTTTGAACCTTTTCCAAAAAAGTTTTATCCAGATTGTAGTAAATTTATACCTGCAGTTGTCTCTACAATATAGTGTTTTATTTGTTGAGTCCTGTTAAAATTCAACACATTTAGTTTGAAACTCAAATTGGCTTTAATGATTAGTGATTCATGAACTGGGCATCATTTCATCTAAAGATGCAGAAAAGGGACTCTGGATCAGGCATTGGCGGTTGGTTTTTAAAAGGTGGCTTGAGCAGGAACAAGAAAACAGCATAGCGCAAAAAAGCAGATTGTTAATATCAGGTTACTCTACGTCACTTTCCTTGTAAGGGTTCAAGCACAGGGGACTTCTTTATGCTAAAACTTGCTGTTTGGGGATTTAACTAGCATCTCTCTCTCTTGATTTCTCAGGTCAGATAAATAGCTTAGTTTTGGTTTGGTGATGTGGAACTTTAGCATGAGTGACTCTATTTTGGTTGGATCTGTTGAAGCCTAGAGCAGGAGCTCAGTCTAAATCAATGGCCTCCTATAAATCTTAATAGTTTAATACATAGAAAATTCTCAGCATCTTTCTCATAGAATTTTTAAGCAGAAGCCAGAATCTTTTATAGTCGTGTGTATCAGTTATTTATTGCTGTGTAGCAAACCTCTTCAAAACAGTGGCTCAAAACAACAGTTATTGAGTTCGGAAATAGGCAACTTGGGCATGGCTAGGCATGGAAGGTTTGGGTTCCATGCAGTGTCAGCTGGGACCGTTCAGGGGGCTGGAGAATCCTCTTTCAAGATGGCTGCTCAAAAGGCTGTTGACCAGAGCTCAGTTGGGGTCCAGGGCCGGGGTCCTGGTTCCTCTCCAAATGGCCCTCTTCATGTAGAACACGCCATGGGCTGCCTGGACCTTGTCATACCATGGTAGCTGGGTTATAAGAGTGATTGTTCCAGGAGAACCAGGTGGAGAACTATAATACAGTCTTTTATGACATCGTCTTGGAAGGCACATGGCATCGCTACTGCTGTGCTGTACTCCTTGGCCCAGATTGCAGAGGACGGGGCAATAGGAGATGGATTAAGAGGAGAATCAAAGATTTTGGTATGTTTTAAAACTGCCATACTCCATTAGAAGCCTCTCATTAACATTTACCCTAGCCAAACTGTGGCTTCTAAATGAAAGACTGATCACTTGTTGCTAAGGTGACACTGCACTGTTATCCATAATTACGTGGACATGCATGGCTGCACGTCCAGATAGGAATCAATTTTGTCCCAGTTAGGCGAGTCCTGAGCAGTGTTCATTATCTTCGGACCATGGTGCATGTGGAGGAGGTTGGCGAGGGCAGTTCTGTTGGGATGGTAGGGATGGAAGTCAGACTGCTGGGCTGCTGGGAACAACTGGGAGATGATGATCTGGAAGCAGCAGGTGTAGACGATGCTCTCAGAGTGCTTAGCTGAGACAGGAAAGAGGGAGAAGGATACAGTGGGCTGAGAGAGCTTTCATATTCCTATCTATTTTATCAGCTTTTTCTTTTTTTAAAATAAAGATGAGAGAATAGGGTGAAGGGAAGGAGTCAATGCAAAGTATAAGGTGGCATTGTTTCTATCATGTATGTGACATAATTTCTGGATTTTAAGTGCAGGGCTCCTGGCACAGCACATATACAATGGGCACTGGTTAAACATTTGCTTTAGAACAAAGGAATTCCACCTTTAGAAAAATGTCACTTAGCAATTGCCCACCACCTGCGTGACCCCTTGCCTTCCCCTTCAGGGTGTGGCCACTTGTCTACCATTTTGTTTTATATTAGACCAAAGAGATTTTTTTTTACAGAATCAATCTCCCATGTGGATGGATGCTGCAGCAACCCTGGTGACGTCCCTATAGGTATGAATTGTTCTCCTCACCCTGATCTCAAAGATCTTACCAATCAACTCCATCTATTTCCCTAAATTACCCATTGAGGAAAGCAGCCCATGGGAAGACACAGGGCTTCAAGAAGGCCCCACCGATGTCTCCAGGGACCAAATACTGATCTAGTCAGAGAGTTGTTCACTCTGGGGGTGTCAACTGGCCATGTGTAAAATGGGAAATGAACACCTACTTCAGAGGGATGTTTTGAGAGGAGGGCTGTGAGATTGATGACTCCTATAAAGTAGATTCTAAACGGTAAATTGTACCTTGCAAACCACAACACGGATGTAAGAAACTGATTATTTGTCATCCTGTAAGTCAGTGGCTGTTTATGTGTTCTCAGAAACTTGATTCTTTTTCCTCTGAGGGTTATACAGTATCTGCTTCAGTCACTTTTCCATTTACTGACTTCTACAAGAAATTGTCCTGGAAGTGTCAGCCATTGAAAAACAGCAATAATTTTTGCTTCATGATCTACAGTTGTAATGGACATAGTAATAATAGTATTGTCTTTATGTAGTCTTTTTCTTTATAAGGAGTAAAGATCAAAGACTAGAGTTGATAATAGGTGAATGGAGTTTCATTTCTGGAACTGCATGTCTTTAAAAGCCAAATTTTCTCTGACATGTGAGAAATGGTTGATATTTCAGGAATTATATTAGTGTGGTAATGGACCAAGGCATACAACATGGACGGAGTAACATAATCCAGTTTATACTTTGTGCTAATTAACTTCTATGTGAAAAGAACTTCCATTTTAGTTAATTTCATTTTTTTTTAGTAATTTGCATCACATCTGTACGGCATTGTACATTGAGATTGTTGTGATATGCACATATATAATATATTTTAGTGGGGCATCTCTTTTGGAGCAGCTATACTCTTTTTCTAAAGCAAAACTTCTGATGGGTCAGAGGATGAGACATTGATTACCTAAGTTTTTCTGCCTAGTAGAGGAAGTGTGTGTGTTTAAGTGATCATAGATAGAGATTGATGGTTAAATGTCTTGCTGAGGAATTTGTCAAGAGGTTGGTAGGATGACCAACTAGAGAAAAAGCTCATTGGTGGTTTTGAGGTCTCGATGTATTGACTGCATTGTGGTAAAACAAACGTCACAAATACACTCTCATACTGTGCACATTTTTTGCAGTTCTTAATGCAAACAAGCCCCAAGACCATGAATAGATCCAAACCGCAATCATAACATTTAAGTTATACAGGGCATTTGAAAAACAGATCTTTGTTGCTTGTGTTTCCTAGCATATGGGCATCTATATTGTGTATGATTTGGTCCTGATGGAAAGCTCTGTGCCAAGGCTGAGAGGGAACCATTACGTTAAACTGTTGGCCATGGAGTCAGAGAAGGAGAGAGAGATGTGCCCCACCAGAAGTCCTATCTCTAGTCCAGCAACCATGATGACTCTGTGACGTCACCTGTTACTTTCCCAGGGCAGTCAGAGGATGGATGGTATCCCTGTCTGGGGTGGTTCTGAATGTTCCCTTCTGAGGTTGTTAAATTTCTGAATGTTCCCTCCCTGTCCAGCTTCTATTATTTTATCCTATCTAGGCACAAGGGAGAGGTGGTGAAAAGCTCCAGTTTGCAGAGGAATTGAAGTTCTATGTGGCCAATGTTTATGCCCAGTGGAGTTTGTTTTTTGGTGGCTATTATTTCAGTTCCTGGGACTTGCCTTCTATGTGTAGTCTTGGTAGGAGGCAGGCATTGGCTCTGCCTAGGCACAGACAAACCCCCAAGGACAGCCAGCTGGGTGCATTTCACTGGAACTTTGAAACTGGAGCGAGCAGTGCAAAGAGGAAGGTCAGTTAGAATGCGTTGGTGGCTGTGGCAGCAAGACTCCTGTAGCTCCTGAGACCTGGTGGGCTTCTTTGAGCCCCCTGAATGCTGTCTCCTATAGATAAAGTGAGAGTGAGCTTTTTCTATTCTTCTAGTTTTTTTTCCTCTAAGCTGGTAAGTGTTCAGTCCATCCGTTGTTATCAAGAGTCCTGGCTGACATGGAGACCACCCTGTGTGTCCCCTGCATGGCCATTTGTTTTTAACTCTCTTTGGCTCTGCTTTTGGGGGGTCCTTGTCAGTCCGCTGGCTGGAGAGCAAAGCAGAACCCTGAAGTTCCCATTTCCATCGGCCAAGGTTGATTCACTGGAGAAAAAGAATTAACTGTGCCCTTGACTGTGCTGTGTAGTCATTTGTGTAAAGGCAGCTATCACTGTAATCTTCCTACTTGAGGAACACGTCACAGTCCACCAAGAGTGTGTACTTACGCGATTGTTTCGATACATGAGTATGGGTAGATGGCACTACCCAAGTTTTACAAGTGATCAGGTGGCCTTAATGAAGTTAAGTCATTTGCCTGAGGTTGTACGGCTATTAACTAGCAGAAGTAGAACTTAAACTCAAGCCTCCTTACTCCAAAACTACCTCTTCCCACTCCTTCTCGTTGGTATGTCAAAGTTAGCCTGGTGGCAAAATGCGCTTCCTTGAAATACCTGCCTGTCAGATTCAGAATATGAATGATGGCCTAGAAGCAGGATCTGTACTGAGGGAGGGACCATCGTTCCATCTCATCTGAATCCATCAGGGGCACCTTCAGCCTGAGAACCCAGCTCTCAAAATCATATTAAGGTTGATAGTTCAGGGCACTGTACTTTGAAACCGTTCCTTTTAAAGAACCATGTAACACTAAGAACTAGTTAATGCTAATTAGGAGCATCCTCAAATAATTTTTTTCTTGTTTTATTTCTTTGTTTCTTGTTTTGTTTTTGGGGCAGGGTCTTCCTCTGTCTCCCATGCTGGAGTGCAGTGGTGCAATCGTGACTCACTGCAGCCTCTGGCAATCCTCCCATCTCAGCCTCCTGGTTAGCTGGGACCACAGGCACATGACACCAAGCCCAGCTCATTTTTGTAGAGACAGGGTTTTGCCATGTTGCCCAGACTGGTCTCAAACTCCTGGGCTGATGGGACATAACTGCCTTATGTGCTCATTGCTGGTAAGTTAGAAAATAGAAATAAAAAGAAGAAAAAACTCCCATTATCTTGCCAACTGGGAATAAGCACTTTAACATATTTGTTCAGGCCTTGCTTCGTCAGGTTTTTATTGCCATGTATTGGGTACTGTTCTTAGCATTTTTACATACCTGATCTCCTCATGCTTTCCCAAGTTCAAATTTCAAAGTTTGTGCTCTTTACCATAGTCATAAATGCACCTGTTACAAATGTATAGTTATTTAATGTGAACTTAATAAGATAGATTGAGGGCAAAATCTGTGAGTGCTGTTACAGTAGAAAGTGTGGGAACAGGGATGGATCCAGGTTTTGTGGAGCCTGAAATTCACACATTTTTTTAAAGAAAGCATACAACATGGATATGAAATTACATACCAAAGTGAATATTTACTTAGAATGAGAAAAGAAAAGTGAACAAATGACTGACACTTTGGAGATTCACGTTCTTTTTTTCTTCTGAGCTCTTTTTAGGTGGTTGGCCAGAAAGGCTTACACGGAGAGGCTTTTTGATTGGAACCTGGCTTTTCTTCCCTTTCCAGAACTCCATGCACTCCCAGGGGCAGCACAGGGAGGGGCCCTGCTGTTTAAGCTTCTTTGGCCTCCCAGGAGGAGTGGGAGGGAGGGTGGCTCGATACCTTCAGGGAGCAATCCCTGGGTCCCAGGGGAGTGAGGAGGGGAGGAGGCATCTGTTCCCTTTTTCTCTTTGGAACTGAGAGCCCTGGGGTTATGGGGAGTCACCCCAGCAGGAGTGAGACAATTCCTATCCCACTGCAAGATAGTATAAAATATTTATTGATATTTTATTCTCATAATCTTATGTTTATTTTTATTAGGTCTACAGTCTCATATGGTGAATGTTTGGGAGCAGAGATAGTTATTTTCCAAATCTTAACCCGTTGCTTCAATACCTTTGTCAATGAACGTACCTTTTCCCATTGATTTGAAATGCCACCTTTACCATATAATAAATTATTTATTCTTAGATCTGTTTCAGGATTTTCTGTTCTCTTGCATTGATCTGCCTGTCTGTTGCTAGATTATTACTGAATCATTGAGCTTTATTATGTATTTTTTTTTTGAGATGGAGTCAAGTTCTGTTGCCTGGGCTAGAGTGCAATGGCACTATCTCTGCTCCCTGCAATCTCCGCCTCCCAGGCTCATACGATTCTCCTGCTTCAGCCTCCCAAGTAGCTGGGATTACAGGTGTGTGCCGCCATACCCGGCTAATTTTTATATTTTTAGTATAGACGGGGTTTCACCATGTTGGGGATGTTGGTTTTGAACTCCTGACCTCAGATGATCCACCTGCCTTGGCCTTCCAAAGTGCTGGGATTACAGGCATGAGCCACCACTCCTGGCCTTACTACATATTTTTATATTTGGTAGAATGTGGTCTTGCCCTCTGTCCCTCAATAGCTTTTCCTTAAAAAAAAAAATACTTTCTTGACTTTTCTTACATTTATTACACTATGAAAGCTTAAGAATCATTTTTGCCAAGCTGTAGAAAAAATCCTTTTGGGATTTAATTAGATTAATATTCATTTTACATAAATTTTGAAAGACTTGAGATCTATATAATAAATTACTTTCCAGGTATATGGTCTGTCTATTCCATTTTCCTTTCATGTGCTTGGTATTTTTTGTGTGTTTTTGGCAAATTTTTAATGTTCAGTTCTAGGTAGTTATTTTTAATATCAGTTACGAAAGGGACTGTATAGCCCTCTTCCACAATCTTTTCTAACTGGCTGCCATTGGTGTGTGGAAAGGCTATTTTTAAAAGAACTTGACACCTTACCAAACTCTTAGTAATTCTAATGGTTTTTAAATTGTCAGAGCTTTTTTTGCCTTGCTTCTACTTTCTGAAACCCATTTTTAGAGTGGTTTCTCATGACCAAGATCCTGATAAAATGCCATGACAACTGGCCCCCAGGCTGTGGGAGGTGGCGAGGGTCATGTGGCTATAGGCAGGCTTCCTAATCACAGTGATCGTGGTTGAGCAAAGTAGAGTAAAGGTGATGCCGCACAGACCTTGTAGAATTTTACACATCGTGGAAAAGCCTGACCAAGTGTGAACTCTGTAGCACAGATTGAACCATAGCACAGATCAAATCCTAACACCTGATCTGACATTTCATTCCATTATGTCCTGTGATCGCACACAGTTGCCTATCTGTTCCCGTCCATCCTGTCTGGCAATGGCAAATCACGGTCTCCAGGGTCATTTAAAGGGATGCTGTGTTCAGGGTGAACTCGTTCTACCTGCTCTTTGGTTTACGAAGGACTGCAGCGAAGTGAACTAGCGATGGATAAGTACAGGTAATTGGGATTTCATATATGGTCATGGGGTTGCTTGACAGCGGTCTGCAGTTGGACCTGTGAGGGCTGCTGACTGCAGTGTCCTGGCCCTGATTGCAGAACAGGATAGTGTTATCTGTGCTGGCCGGAAAGGCTGCTTAAAACCAGACCTCAAACTTGGGCAGACGGGCTTGTTCTGGGATCCGCAGCCTTGCTCAGGCTGTGCATTGGTGTGGCCCCGAATTGCACGGAGGTGAGTAACCCAAGACTTGTGTCAATGGCTTCCTTGTGGTTTTGGCTGTTGTTGCCTGAATATTTTACACAATCTTTGGGCTCTGAAGTCCCAGTGTACATCAGTGAGTGCTCTCCTTAGGTGGAAACCCTGGGAGTAGAGTACTGACAGCAAAGACCGGGAAAGACCATACGTCCCCGGGCAGGGGTGACAACAGGTGTCATCTTTTTGATCTCGTGTGTGGGTGAGTGGCAGAGGGAAGTTTCCTTTATTGGGTGTGAAATTTGCTGCAACTTTCTGTTTGGGGAGTGCTGGGAGCTGTTTTGTTTCTAATTAAGAAGAGCCCTAGGAAGGGAGGTAAGTGAGCTTGCCAACTCATTAGCAAACACTCTGATTAGACCTTCTGGGCACATTGCCTAGCGGCCCAAAGCAGGGAGAGGAGAGACAGGCTCGCTCCTAACACTTGCTGGACCCGAGGCAGGAGTACAAACAGAGGCTCACATTCCATGTGTCTAAGTAGCTGTTTCCAAGTTCTAAGTCAAGCTCTCTAAAAATCAGGTCCTATACTGCCATCCTGGTAAATAAACACGACCTTCACAACAACCTGGAAGCCAGGCTCCAATGTAGAATTCTCAGACTCCTCAAGTTTCTTGTCCAAAATCTTTCTGTGGTACAGGGAGACATCCCTGGCCACAGGTCCCAAGTCTGTCTACACCTCTGCAGACAACCTCTCTTATGCAAACTGGTGAAGTGCTTCACCCTTGAGAAAATGGACACTGGCAGGTAAAGCAGCAGGCCCAGGGAGACCTGGAGTGTGACCCAGAAGGTGGGGTGGTGTCCAGGTGAACATGTCTTGGGGGCCCTGTGAACTCTGCCCTATGACATGGTGTGGCTAGAGAAGGTGTGAGCAGTGCCTTCTGAGCATGGTGCTCAGGGCACGGGCCCAGACTCTGGCCCAGCCTGGCATTCCCAGGGCAGGGGACAGAGATGGGAGGAGTTGAGGGAGCAAGTGGGAACTTGGAAGCACATCCAGGCCAGATGAGGTGCTGCAAGTGCCGAGGTCAGGCACTTCAAGCGTAGGAACCCTTGGACGTACCAAATTATGGTTTTAGAAATGTCTGTTTGTTATTTTTAGATTTGGGCAGTATGTCGCCTGCAGATTTACCACTTACCTGATGCAGACCCAGGAGACTTGTCTTGTATCTGCTCTGACCTCTCTCCTCCCAGGTCCCTAGGTCCCCAGTTCTTCCTTTTAATGTTGTGCTGGTGGCGACAGAAGTCTGCTGTGATGGAGGAGCCAGCGATGGGGATGGGGGCGCGAAGGACAGATGCACCATTTCCCCCTTTGCCTCTCTCTCCCGCTGCATTTATGGATCTGCTGGTCTAGTTCTCATTCTTTGCCTCAACCTCTTACACATATCCAATTCCTGCCTTTCTACTGTTTCCATTCTTACTCTGTTCCTTTCCTTGCTGTGAATTTCTTCCTATTGCTTGGTGTTGGTGGCTTGGCAGGGGCAGTGGGGGCTCTGCAGGGAGGTGGGAGATGCTTTCCTAGTATCCCAATGAGCTTCTATGACCTTGTGATAGTAGTAAGGTCGTCCCTTCATATCTTCAGGGGATTGGTTCCAGGAGTTTTGGGGATACTGAAATCTGGATGCCCAAGTCCCTTGTATAACATGGAGTAGTATTGGTGTGTAACCTACACACATCGTCTTGTATACAGTCTGTACAGTCACACGCAGTTTTCATCAACAAGGGACCACATATACAACTGTGGTCCCATAAGATAATGGGGCATATGTAGAAACCTGACATATGGCACTAAATAGTGGCATTGCAGATCAAGTAGGAAAAATGGTTGATATTCAGTAATGGTTCTGGGATATTTGTTTTTCCATGTGAAAACATATACATAAATAAAAACCTAATACCGTGTAGGTTTGTGTGAGTACATTTTGATGTTCACGTGCTGATGAAATTGCCTAATGATAGATCTCTCAGACCTATCACAGTCATTCGGTGACACATGACTACTTTAAATCACCTCTTAGATTACTTGTAATACCTAACACAGTGTAAGAGCTATGTAAATAGTTGTTATACTGTATTTAAAATTTGCACTATTCTCTTTTTTTGTGGGGGGGGGGGGGGGTGGGGCGAGGGTGCAGATTCTTCCTTTGTTGCCCAGGCTGGAGTGCAGTGGTGTGATCTCTGCTGACTGCAACCTCCACCTCCTGGGTTCAAGTGATTGTCCTGCCTCAGCCTCCCAGGTAGCTGGGATTACAGGCACCCGCCACCACACCCGGCTGATTTTTATATTTTTAGTACAGGCAGGGTTTTGCCACGTTGGCCAGGCTGGTCTTGAACTTCTGACCTCAGGTGATCCACCTGCCTTGGCCTCCCAAAGCGCTGGGATTACAGACATGAGCCACCATTCCAGGCCTATATTTGCACTATTTTTAATTTTTGTCTTTTTAATTTTTATTTTTCCAAATATTTTTTATCTGTGGTTGGTTGAGTCCATGGATGCAGAGGAGCCCATGGATGCAGGGGGCCAACTATACTATTTCAGGTAGTTTACAAGTGAAATAGGCTTTTGGAGGTTGACATAGAAATCTATAACATTATTCCTGTGGGGAAGTATATTTCCAATTTCAAACAAGTAATTTGTTAAGTAAACTTTCAGAACTAAAGTTTGTCGTGGCTATTTTTAGAATTTTGCTACTGGAAGGGTGCTTTGTCCATTATAACCTGTAAATGAATTGAATCTACTCTAAGCCGGTATGTAGGCCCCCTTCCAGCTCAGAAGGTCTATGAATTCAGTGCACATTCCTCACTTTTATAGGGTAGGAAATTGAGATGAGAGTGTGTGAAGTTATTTCTATAAAGCCGCAGGTAAAGTGTTGCCGGGACTCTGGCTTCCTCTTCCACCCTCTTGTATGTCAGAACCTAAGAGTGGCGTTTTCATAACCCAAGGAATTTGGGCACCAGCACCTGTTTGTGGGTAGCTGGTGAATATTGATGGCACATGACTGTCTTGAGTCACAGCAGGTGGTGCCGGACCTTCCTTTGTGCACAGGTTGAAAGGCGATTTGAAGAAGAATAGCGAGTATCCTAGCTTTTTAAAGGTGGCTACAGGGGTATTTGATCAGCATTGTCAGCATCCTGCGTCAGTACCTTAAAATGAGATTGATCTGTATATGGGTTAAGTTGTTGGAATTTTCCCTTTGTGTTTTATTTTATTTTATTTTTTATTTTTTGAGGCAGGATCTCCCTCTGTTGCCCAGGCTGGAGTACAGTGGCATGATCATGGCTCATTGCAGCCTCGACCTCCCTGAGCTCAAGCCAGTTCTCTCACCTCAGCCTCCCAAGTAGCTGGGACTAGAGATGCACATCACCAAACCCCACTAATTTTTGTATTTTGTTTGTAGAAACGGGGGTTTATCATGTTGCCCAGGCTGGCCTCGAACTCCTGAGCTCAAGCGATCCACGTTACTCGGCCTCCCAAAGTGCTGGGATAAGAGGTGTGAGCCACTGCACCCAAGAGGAAGTTTCTTATGGCTTTGCTGCTGTCTTGAATTTCCTTACCTTTAAGAAGAGTTCCTGTACATAGAATAATTATGAAAGTTTTTCAAGTCTTTATGAAATTTTTCTACACTATTGATTGCATAACGTTTGTAAGACTGTTTCCTTATTCATAGAATAGGGATAATGATATCTCCTACTTAATCTTTATGTCAGGATTAAGTGATACCAGAGGAGACAGTCAAGCTCCCAGCATGGGATGGCCGTTAGTGAGTAACCACTAATTGCATTGGTTTCTATTATTGTTGTAGTTACTGTCATTATAATGAGGGCTTCCTGGTCTTACCTGCTTGGTGTCACTTACCAGGTCTTGTCCTTTTGGATGCCTCCTCCCTCATTTGGACATACTTCCTATTACTCCAGACGAATCTGTTTCATGTGCTGAAGCTCTCCCCTTCGTGGGTCAAAACGTATGGAATTTCTGCTTTGTAAAAAAAAATTCATAAGATTTTGATTAGTTACATTGCAGGATCTAGTTGTGATTCCACTCTGCTGCCTTGAGGTCCCACCAGTGATGACTTTATTGTTGACATTTTCCTTTACACTGTTTGTCTTGGACTTTCTTCTCTGCTTAATGAGCTGGGGACACAGGGACATTCCTGGAGCCTATTTACATTTTCTATTACGTGCCTGACTTGCATTTACGTCAGACATAATCAGTAACTGCTTAGCTATGAGGACAAAATGAGTTCTACCTTTCTGTAATAGTTACCCTTCCTGGTGACTTATCCTGGAATCATTTTTGTACTCTGTCGTTGGTTATTTGAAGAATTCTCAGTCTGGAGTCCCAATCCGAAAACTTTGCCTGTTTGTTAGGTTTCAGTATTACATGCTAATTCTAAAGAGCCCTCTATGCAGAGATGTCTGGATACTTCTTGTTAGGCCTTTTTGCCCCGGTATGCTGAGTGTTAAGGTTAATAGTGATTCCCTAAAACTTGGGATTAGTCCCTGAGAAAACAATTTAGGAAACATATTTGCAGTATGACTAAGTAGCATTTAGTGGGGTAATTTTTTTTTTTGTTTGTTTGAGATAAGAGTCTCAGGGTGGCCAAGGCTAGAATGCAGTGGCACGATTCTGCTCACTGCAGCTTCCACCTCCTGGGCTCAAGCATGTCAGCCTCCCAAGTAGCTGGGATTATAGGTGCCCACCACCACATCCAGCTAATTTTTTGTTTTTCAGTAGAGTTGGGGAATCACCATGTTGGCCAGTAATTGTTTTATTGAAAAACAGTCTTCTAATTGTTTTTCAGACAATTTGAAAATTGCAGTCATCTGTGACCTTTAACATTCCCTAAAAATTCCTACCTATGCCCCTGCTGAATTTCTGCTTTACCTATTTCCCTAGTCCAGAAACTCTCTGGCTTTACCTTTCTCCTCAACCTTCAACATCTCACCTTTCCTTAATATCAGCTGGTGACCCTGCTTCTTACTTCGCTGAAGTAAAAACATTATGAAGACAGTATTTACATTCAATACTAAATTTACAAACCTATCCACATCTGAACTTATAGACTGATTTCCTTCTAGCTAAAATGTGCATACTCTGGCCCTGCACATGCCAAAGCCCTGCCCTTTTTGGGTGCTAGCTCCTGTCCTTCTCACTTACTGAAGGTCATTGTTCTAATGTTGGTTAATCTGTCCTGGTACCATTAGTTTTTCTTCTCTACTGTGTCATCTCATCAGCATACAGAAATATCTTTCATCTTACAAAATGTACTCGCGGCTGGGCATGGTGGCTCACACCTGTAATCCCAGCACTTTGGGAGGCCGAGGTGGGAGGATGACTTGAGGTCAGGACTTCAAGACCAGCCTAGCCAACATGGCAAAATGCTGTCTCTGTAAAAGATATAAAAAAATTAGCTAGGCGTGGTGGTGCATGCCTGTGGTCCCAGCTACTCAGGAGACTGAGGTGGAAGGATCACTTGAGCCCAAAAACTCAAGGCTGCAGTGAGTAGAGATTATAAGACTGTATTCCATCCTGGGTGACAGAGTGAGACTCTGTTTTAGGAGGAAAAAAAAAAGCATTCTCAAAGCCACCTCTGTTTAGCTTCTGGTGCATTCTTTCTTCCCTTTTACTGAAAGAATTTTCTACACTCCCTCTCCTTTCTTTTCTTGATCCTCTTTAGTTTGACTTTTGTCTCTAGTCCTCTACGAGACTGGTCTTGTCAATGCTACTAATAACTCTTTCATTGTCAAATCCATTGGTTGGTTGCTCTCAGTTCTAATCGGGCTTCATTTATCAGTAGTGTTTGACATGATGGTTCACTCCTTTCTTCTTGATTTTCTTCCTTTGGTTCCAGTACCGAGCCTCCCAGTTGTCTTCCTGAAAGATCCTTCCAATCCTGTCTGGGTTGATGGTTTCTCTTCCTCTTGCCAATGTCTAAACAGTGGACAATGCTTGTGCGGCTCCCGAGGCTTTTTCCTCCTGCTGCTTAATTTATAGGTGTTCTTACCAAGTTCCATGACTGTTTCTGCAAATGTTGATTTTTGGTCTTAATTTCTTCCTCTGTTCCTTCTTATACTACACAGCATGTATTACATCTTTTGGTATCATTCCACAAGTTACTGAGGCTGAATTTATTATAATCGTTCAGTCTTTATTCTTTGTTCTTCAGATAGAATAGTTTCTGTTGATGTTCAAGTACTGACTTTTCTTGACTGTTACCTCCATTCTGCTTCAAGACGATTCCGTGAATTTTGGATTTCAGATATTCTGGTTTTCAGTTCTATAATTTCCACTGGGTTCTTTTTTATAGTTCCTGTTTCCCTGCTGGGAATGCCCAGCTTTCCATTTATTTCAAGAGCATTTGCCTTATGGAACATAGCTAAAATAGCTGCTCTAAAGCCTTCACTTGATAATTCTAACATCTGGGTCATGTTGGAGTTGGCATCCGTTGATTGTCTTTTCCGTTGGAAACTGGTGACATTTCTCCATTTCTTTGTGCCTTGAGTAATTTTGCATTGTCCTGAACATTGTGAATGTTATCTTGTGTAAACTCTGGTTCCTTTTGTAATCTGGGAGTTTTTTTTGTTTTGTTTTGTTTTTTAAATCAGACAACCACCATCCATCGTGGTTAGGTTCAGGCTGCAAGTAGTTCTGTCTCGATCTCTATTGGTGGTGTTTCCAGTGTGAGTTGAGATTTTTAAAGCCCTGGCTTTCCACTTTGGGTCTGTCCTGAAATTGTATCACCAGGGATTACTTTGAGATTTGGGCCCTGGTGTGAATCTTGGTTCAGTCCTCAGGTCTCTGTTATATCGCTTTGAGTGTGTCCTGCCCGCATGTGACTTGGATGAACCTGAGACCTTGGGCAGAGTGGGGTGGAGGTTCATATATAGAATTAGGGCGCAGGGCACAGTGGCTTACACTTGTAATCCTAGCATTTTAGGAGGCTGAGGTGGATCACGAGGTTAGGAGTTTGAGACCAGCCTGGCCAACACAGTGAAACCCTGTCTCTACTAAAAATTAAAAAAATTAGCTGGATGTGGTGGCACGTGCCTGTAATCCCAGCTACTCAGGAGGCTGAGGCAGGAGAATCACTTGAACTCAGGAGGCGGAGGTGATAGGGAGCCAAGATCGCGCCACTGTACTCACTCCAGCCTTGGTGTCAGAGGAGACTCTGTCTGGGGGGAGGGATGGGAGGGAGAAGAATTAGAGGATCTCTCTCTCCAGCTCTCTCCTCTCTGTGGTTCCACTCATTTTCTGATTCATAAGAATCCCTTTTCCTCTTTGATTTCTGTAAGATTTATCTGATTGTGGACCTCTGTGACTGGTGCCCACCCTTGGGGCAAGGCCGTTAGAGAAGTAGGAGCAGGGAAAGTGGGGGAAGGAAATTAACCCTATCTTAGGTTACTTTGCCAACATTTGACTCCTCTCTACATCCTGCCTGATTTTGTTTTGTTTTCCTAGTTCTCAGGTAGTTGCTGTTTATATTTTGTTGAGAATTTCTAGTTGTGAGCAGAGGAAGAATGGCTGGGCACTTACCATGATAGCTCCATGACTTTAAATACCCTATTGGCAACTCTCAGATTTACCTGTGTTGCCTGGACCTCTCACCAGACTTTTATTTCTTGCCTGGATTTCTTCCCAGAACTCAGTATCTTCATCTAGATGATGTCAATTGAGCATCTCAACTTTGAGTCTCAAGATGGATTCTTGACCTCCTGCCTTGGTCTTCCCCGACTTCAAGATGGGCAATGCCCTGCTTTCATTGTTCAGGCCAGAAACTCTGGATTCATCCATGACCCCTCTCATTCTCTCATACCCAAATCTAAGCCATTAGCTACTTATGATTTTTTTTTTCAAAATATATCTACAACCAGACAACTTCTTCGCGTTTCCAGGGGATCATTTCTCACATACAGAGCCATCACTGCCTCCTAACTGCCCTCCCTGCTCCCAATTATTTCCCTTCAGTCTATTCTTCACCTCACGGTAAGTTAGAAGGTAAGTTAGATTCTGTCAAGCTTTATTTCACACCACTGCCCTCCACCAATCACTGCTTACCTATCACTGCGGATAAAGGCCAGGGTCCTGGAGTGACTTCTGCGGTGGTAGGGTCATCTCTCCCCATTGCCCATTCCTGCCTTTTCCCACTGTTCTTCTCCCTCCTCTGGCTCTAAACACCCAGCTTCTGCAGTCGCCTTCACCTTTGAATCTGACATTGTCCTGCCTCAGGGTCTTTTTCCTTCTTCCGTCTTCCCCCCTGCCACCATATCTGCAGGATTATCTCTCACTCAACTTCTGATCTCTGCTGAGATACCACCTCCATTCCTCTTGATCCCCTCTTATTGTGCATTATTCACTGCATTCATCAGACCTCCCTTAAAATTTTTTTTTTTGAGACACAGTCACACTTTGTGACCCAGGCTGGAGCGCAGTGGCACTGTCTTAGCTCACTGCAACCTCCACCTCCCAGGTTCGAACAATTCTCCTGCCTCAGCCTCCTGAGTAGCTGTCACTACAGTTGTCCGCCACCACACCTGGCTAATTCTTTTTTCGTATTTTTAGTAAAGACGGGATTTTGCCATGTTGGCCAGGCTGGTCTTGAAGTCCTGACCTTAAGTGATCTGCCTGCCTTGGCCTCCCAAAGTGTTGGGATGACAGGTGTGAGCCACTTCCCAACCAGATCTGACTTCTTAGATATCTCTGTGCCTTCTGCCCTTCACCTAAGCTCTTAGATGACAAGTTCTCTGCATTTATCTTTTCAGTAATATATTTTGGGTGCCTAGAATAGTGCCTGGCACAGGATAGGCACTCACTAAATATTTGTTGGTTGAGTGCACCAAAAGACAAACAATATTTTCAGAGTACTTCTTCACAAAAAGGAATTTCATAGGGTTAATTTCTATTCTTTTAAAACTCTGTTTCAAAAGAACGCTGCAGAAATTGTATGGTAACAAGTGTGCTAAGATGTTGACATCCACACACCCACCTTTGGGGTATGGAACATTAGCACGTGGTAGAAGCAGACAAATTCATTTCTAACTCTTACCTACTGGAACTGGGTTGCTTGTTTCCCATCAGATCATTTCTCAGGATAGCGATGGGAATTAAAGATGGAAATACACGTGGCTTTCACTCTTTTCTCCTGTGGTGCATCTTGAAGACAGACAAGAGTGGTGTGTAACAGTGTGGAAGCCAGCTGAGACCACATAGTGCCTAGCAACTTTGGTCTCATTATCCCTGCCGTCTTGGTTTGCTGTGACCAGATCTCATGATGATGAATGATAAAGAGCTGTCGCATGCATCTACAGTCCTGAGCATGAGCAAGTTGAAACAATCGTTGTTCCTAGAGTCTTCACCTTCTCCACTTTCAGTGCCTTTGAAACACAGCCAGGTTAGTTGTGAAGCTGCAGTAGTTACGTAGCACCAATACTCAAACCTGGAATCCCAGTGAAGGCTCTGAGTCCCATATCCCCTTTGTTCCTTGCATCGGAGTCCATTTTTAGTGCAGTGGATGAATGGCTGTGTGGGTCCTTCTCAGAAAGGACAATGGTCACAGCGGGTGTGTGTTCTCACTGCTGGTGTGTGTAAGACGACATTTGCCCCTTGTTCTAAGGCTACATTATAAATTAGGAAATGTTTTGAGATGGCTCTTTGATTTCACTTCGAACTCTGAAAAGAGGGCCTTGGAAAGAGGATGTTGAGACTTCTAGAAGCAGTGAGATACAGTGGTTAAAACTCAGAGGTTTCCATTGGCTAAACAGTGAAACTCTAATCACTCAGTAGCATGAACCCAGACTGAAGCAGCTTCAAGTGATGAATAACTGATGTAGCCTGTTTTTTTATTTTTATTTTTTGAGTGCAGTATTTTCTTGTTCACTAACTTTTCTACAAATCATTTTCAGGCTTTTTCATCTTGGTGTGACAGTATAAAAAATAAGTTTCTTTTTGATAAGAGCAGCAGCTAAATACTATGGTTGGAATTCGGAATGTTGGTTTATGAACTATTAAAAAGATGCTTTTCATTTATGTTACCAGTGTAAGGCATTATATAAATGTCATCTATAAGTGACTGGAAAGAAGGAAAATAATGCAAGGGTTTTCTGCTATTAAGCATTTATATTAGATAGTCAATAGTATTCTTTAGCTGTCCAGGTTGAATGGTGGTTTCCAGCATCCTAAAGGCATTCAGGGAAATACTTTGCAGTCTTGTTAAAGCGATGCTGAATATGTCTGAGATATGACTCACTCCTTACGGTGAAAGGTGGGAGAAGAGAAACATTGCCAGGCATCTCCCTGGCTGTATGGAAGCCAGAGTGTTTATGAACACTCAATTTTTTTTGTTCATTTATTAATCTAATGGGTATTGCATGTTCTTCTCTGTTCCTGCTACTGTGTTAGGCGTCTAAGGAAGAGTTCTCCTCTGATACATAGAGTATTTGATATACAGAGAAGCTGATGGAGAGATGGGAAAGCCGAAGAAATTCCATGAGCTTGATGGAAAAAATTGCCATGTGTGGGAGGCAGGAACCTTGACAGAAAGAGAGGGAGACAAAGAATCTGAGCACATTGCTTTAAGATACTGATGCCCTATGCAGCTCAAGTATATCATGAGCCTTAACACTATTTGTACCAAATTCTATGTAAATGTACCACTTTATGTTGCTTTTAAGGAAATGGAAGCGTTATTTATAATAGCTTTTTTAAAAAACATCTAACTGCCCCAATGAGTAGAACAGTTAATTATGGTGCATATGTGGTACATTCATGAGATGGAATTCTCTGCAGTCATTAAAAGTTATATTGCAAAAGAATATTTAATGGCTTGGGGATATCCTCATTATATAATAAGTGGGAAAAAAGCCAATAAAACAGTAGGATCTCAATTTGGTAAATCTATATTCTCAATTTAGAGCAAGTTGACTCCCCTAAGTTTGTAGCTCCCCCCACCACCCCGCACTCCCAATCCTTTTACCCTGCTCTACTCTTTACTTCGTCCCTACTACCTTTTAACATACTTGACATTTACTTGTCTTTATCAATGACTTTTGTGTTTCTCTCCTAATAGAATATAAGTTGCGGGAGGGCAGGGAAGTTTGTCTGTTTTTCTCACTATATGTCCCAGAAGCCTAGAACAACATTTGGGGTGTAGCAGATTCTGATAAATACTGTACTTGGTGAATAAATGAGTGAAGGAAATGTGGTTGGATTATGATATTGGTGGGTGTTAACTTTATAAATTTTACTTGTGGGTTTTCCATATTTTCCATAATAAAAATGGGTTACCTCTGTAATTGGAGCTTGAAAACAACATTGTTGCCTGTGAATTTGTCGTGTACACCTAACTAGTTCATCCATAGGGAATGGCTGAATAGAGGATTGAAGAGAGCAGAATCAAAGCCTTCCAGTTGCAGGCAGAGAATATTGTCGAGGGCCATCTTAGAACCTTCAGGGTCTGGCATGGGTTCTGTGCTTAGCTGACTGCTGGGTTTTGAGCCTGTCCTTGCCTTTTCTATTCCCCATTCCACCCTGGCTCTTTCCAACACCCTTCAGGCCAGTCAGTTGACTTAACTCTTCCTGCCCTCCACTCTGGGCTAATTCTGGTAATAACCATCTCCAAGTCTGGCTTCTGTCTCCTTTCTAGGCTGCACTTTTTCTGGTCACCATTTCAAATTTTGTTTTCGTCTAATGTCAGTTTGAGTTTTGACTTCCTTTTAAGGTCTTCTGTAACTACTCTGGCCTTGTCCTCCCTTAAGTCCCCATGGCACTTGTGGAGTAGGCCAAGCACACAGTGCAGTTCTTGGAGCTGGGCTTCAGGGGAGTCATATTTACAATGGACATTAACCAAAGGGGCCAAAAGCTACTTGTGCCGGAAGCCAAGTAGAATCTGGCTCAATCTATTTTAGGACAGAAACCATAGAAATGCTTTAAGCACATATGCTGTACTTGTCTCATGTGTTATCTTTTTTCTACAAGCAAATGACAAGCTGCTTGAGAGAAGGTTTCTATTTTCTCTTTTTTTTTTTTTTTTTTTTTTTGTCTTCAGTAGTGCATAATCAGTTCTGGTCTGAGGGTTGATATCACCTACTTATTAGTCGGTTGATCCTTGGTTTCCTGTGTATAAAATAAATGTCATTTCTGACCCTTCAGAGATGGCATAAGAATAATATAGGGGCAGTGATTCCAGCACCTTAGAAGGCATTATGTATGTATGTACATATATATTTAATGACATTTTCTTATTAACATTTAAAAAGCTAATAAACTAAAGTGAAATGTTCAGGATATAACTTGGCTGCAGTAATCTTCTGTTGTTAAAATGGTACAATTTTTATTCAGGGGATACAGATTGATTTTTGGGAAGGAGGATTTTATGTAACAGATTATTCAATTCCACAAAAGCTCACTGAGATTCTACTAGTTATAAGGTACTGCAATGGGCACTGAAGGAGACTGTGGAGGTCATTTAAAAATAGTCCCTGAACTCTCCAAAGTGGGATTATAAGTGCAAAAACAGTGCCCAGGATGAGTAGGAAAGCCACATTACAGATTGAAAGAAGGAAGAAGTTGCATGCGATCTGGGGACAGGCAAATGTGCAGGGAGTAGGGGACATGGCAATGAACTACAGAATTAGGAATTTTGGTAGGTAGGAGTAGGTAGACCTGGGATAATTGAAGAATTCCAGGTGGAAATAATAAAATATAAAAGAAATGGGAAAGGAGGCATTTTGAGGGGAGAGTGAGTTGTTTGTCCACAGGACTGCAGGAGACATGCAGGTGAGGGGCTGGGAGATGAAACTGAAAGGTAAGTTTGAATAGTATCTGGAGGGCCTTCATGCTGCAATAAGCTGTTTTCAGCATGCAAATTAATGTTGCCACAACATTAGAAATGGCTTCTGAAAGACATGGTTTACAGCTGGGCACAGTGGCCCATGCCTGTAATCCCAGCACTTTGGCAGGCCAAGGCCAGTGAATTATTGGAGGTCAGGAGTTTGAGACCAGCCTGGCCAATGTGGTGAAACCCCCATCTCTACTAAAAAAAACAAAACAAAAACAAACAAACAAAAAACTGGCCAGGCATGGTGGCAGGCACCTATTAATCCCAGCTACTCAGGAGGCTGAAGGAGGAGAATCGCTTGAACCTGGGAGGGAGAAGTTGCAGTGAAGGAAGGTCGTGCCACTGCACTCCAGCCTGGGTGACAGAGGGAGACTCCATCTCCAAAATAAAAACCAAACAAACAACAACAAAAAAATTAGAAACGGTTTACAGTTTTTATTTGGTTTGGTAGAGTAACCATGTGCTTTGAATGTTTGTAGTTTTTATGATAGTGTCCTCCATCTCGGGATGAAATTTATTAAGCAAGGGTACATATTAATAAAATTGAAGAGAAAGTTGTTTGCTTCCAGAAACATAGATGGTAGTCATTTTCCTCTTCTGTGGTTGCATGTCTGCTGGGTTAGACTAGTGCTTGCATTTGCAAATCTACTCAAATTCCTATTGGGGAAATGGAGGTAAATTTTCAATGATTAAATTATTTTCTCAAAGCCAAATAGCAAATGATCAACATACTTTTGAATGAAATCCACATGTCTAGACTCCAAGAAGCCTGCTGTATCTGAGACCTTTTGTTTTACACAGAATTTGTTTGAGAGCCTGTAAATATTCATCTGTAATAAGTTGTTTTTCTGCAGAAGCATTTTGGTGAGAAATGAATACTTTGATCACTGGAAATTCATAGATTATTACAGTATTTCAAAAGGTTTCCTAGTATTTCAAGAAGGGTGTTCCTTATCCAACGTGATTGATCCCATTTTCCCATTTTAAATAAATTGGCAGGCCGGGCACAGTGGCTCACTCCTGTAATCCCAGCACTTTGTGAGGCCTAGTCTGGTGGATCACCTGAGGTCAGGAGTTCAAGACCAGCCTGGGCAACATGGTGAGACCCCATCTCCTAATAATCCAAAAATCAGCCAGGCATGGTGGCGCTCGCCTTTAATGCCAGCTACTTGGGAGGCTGAGGCAGGAGAATTGCTTGAACTGAGGAGGTGGAGGTTGTAGTGAGCCAAGATCATGCCACTACATTCCAACCTGTGTGACAGAGCAAGACTTGGTCTCAAAAATGAAAATAAAATAGATTGGCATTTTAGATGTATACAGCTAGGAATCTTTGGGTTTGAGTTTACTCATGAAGTAATTGATCAGTTATTTAAGAATACTTTTTTCTTATGTTACTTAAGGATTCAACTTCTTAATAATTTTTTAGTTTTTAAATTCTAAAATTACAAAAACAAAGGCTCATGTGGAATGATTGCCTTTTTTGATAAAGTTGTGTGTGTGTGTGTGTGTAACCGTGCATGTATGTGCAAGACAGAGATTGAGCTATGAGTGGCTAAGGAAGCTGAGGGGTGTCTGTCCCCAAACTTTGTCCCTGAGGTGACTGCAGAGATGAGGGTGCAATTAAAGGAACAGAGGAAAGCAGTGATGAGATGCTGTGTGATTTTACCATTCCTTTTTTGCATTTTTGAACAAAATATAGGAAAAATCTATGAAAACTATTTTTCATTGTGTAGATGACCATGTTTCATATTTGGGAGCCAGTTGTATTTCTCTCTCTGGAAAAGTTAAAGGATGTAATATATGCTGGTCAAGTTTTTATATTCTTACTTTCTAGCTTCTTCTAATATTTGAATGGTTAGGTTTCCTTCAGTTCAACTTCACTATGCTCATTTTCACAGTTGTGATCTGCGCTTTAATTCTATTTCTTCTTAAAATATTTAGTTGGAGGAAATTCCATGATCGTTCATTGAGTTTAATACTTTTTTATATGCTTTATCAGATTTTTGAATTCTTACCAGTATGTAATACCCTTATAATGAAAATATGTGGATGGTATAATCTTACATTACATTTTCTGTGGCTTAAGTTAGTGATTTATGGCCTATGATTTTTACATTTTTGATCACGAAGCAGCAAATGACCTTTGCAGCTCTTTGAAAGCTCTCCTGATCTGAGGAAGAGACGTTAGTCTTAGGGTTTCAAGTACCTTCTCCTTACTGCCGTTTTGTGGTCATGTTGCATTAAGGGCCTTGACTTGTTCATAATTCATCAGCCTTGGTTCAAAGGGGGTGGAACACGACTGACTCTCTCATTGCAGTTCATTGTTCTCTTACCGTTGTGAGAAGTCATAATTAAATCACTTCACTCTTTAAGCACTAAGGTAGAATAGAAATAATGTCTTGATTTTTGTTTTTTGAGACAGGGTCTTGCTCTATTGCTCAGGCTGGAGTGCAGTGGTGTGATCTCAGCTCACTTCAGCCTCAACCTCCTGGGCTCAAGCAGTCCCCCTAACCTCAGCCTCCTGAGTAGCTGGAATGAGGGGCATGTGCCACAACACCCAGCTAATTTTTGTATTTTTTTTTTTTTTTTTTTGGTAGAGATGGGGTTTCGCCATGTTTGGCAGGCTGGTCTCAAACTCCAGAGCTCAAGCGATCCACCCACTTCTGCCTCACAACTTGCTGGGATTACAGGCATGAGCCTGTGCACCTGGCTGAAATTATGTCTTTTGATATTGTGATGAGATTTCTTTCCCTTTCTTTCTTTCTTTCTTTCTTTCTTTCTTTCTTTCTTTCTTTCTTTCTTTCTTTCTTCCTTCCTTCCTTCCTTCCTTCCTTTCTTTCTTTCTTTCTTTCTTTCTTTCTTTCTTTCTTTCTTTCTTTCTTTCTTTCTTTCTTTCTTTCTTTCTTTTTCTCTCTCTCTCTGTCTCTCCCTTCCTCCCTTCCTCCCTTCCTCACTTCCTCTCTCTCTTTCTTTCTTTCTTTCTTTCTTTCTTTCTTTCTTTCTTTCTTTCTTTCTTTCTCTCTCTCTCTCTCTCTCTCTCTTTCTTTCTTTCTTTCTTTCTTTCTTTCTTTCTTTCTTTCTTTCTTTCTTCTTTCTTTCTTGTTTCTTGTGTTTCTTTCTTGTCTTTCTTTGTGTCTTTTCTCTCTTTCTCTCCCGGGACAGTCTTGGTTTGTCAATTAGGCTGGAGTGCAGTAGCACAATATCGGCTCACTGTAACCTCTGCCTCCTGGGTTGAAGCTATCCGCCCACCTCCTCTCCCTCCTGAGTAGCTGGGATTACAGGCACTCACCACCACACCTGGCTAATCTTTATATTTTTTAGTAGAGACAGGGTTTCATCATGATGGCCAGGCTGGTCTGAACTCCTGACCTGAAGTGATTCACCCGCCTCAGCCTCCAAAAGTGCTGGGATTACAGGTGTGAGCAACCACACCTGGCTGAGAAAATGTTAATAGATGAATTGGGTGAAGTAGCTAAATAGAATAGGAAGAAGTAGAAGAGACAGGGTTTTCTTCATGGGAGCTGGAGCAAGTTGTTTGATTTTGTCTGGGCTTCTATTCCTCTAGTTATAATATGAGGACAATAGATGGTTTTAATTTCCCTACAGCACTCAGATTTTAAGGTCTGACGGTGAAAGTTGTGGCAAGAACACTGTTAGAATACCTTGTTCCTTTTCTAGCATTCAAATCCAGCTTCCGTGGAGCACCCTCCTTTCACCAGTGTTGTACAGGAACAAAGGGAAAAATCTTGAAGTCTGCCTGGATTTAAACTAGACAAACAACTTGAAATAACTCCAAAAAGATTAAAAATAACCCAAATCTGGACTGCCATGTGAGAGCTGTGATGAAGAAAGTCTAAAACAATGAGGAATCTTCAACTAGAAAAAAGATGGAGAAAATAAGAAGCCTGGAAAATCGACAATGTGGTTAGATGAATGTAGGTCCATTGATCTTGTCCTGGGAGGTGAGACTAAGAGGAAGTTGAAATGTTAACTGTAAATGAATAGAGAATGTGTTCTGTTTACGTAGCGAAGAACACATTTTTAGTTATTCATTATCCCAGGTGTAATTAACCAAACCCTTCTATTATGAATTAAGAGAGAGGAATGGGGAAAATTGACGTCCTTTGTCAGGCTTAGAAGACCACATCTTCCTAGGGTACAAGTTCATCTTTGGTTCTGGTCGCAGAACCAAGTTCTGTGCTGGGTGGACTGTGGTTTTGCCCCAGGCTTGCAAGTCAGTGATGACATGGGAAAGTCCGTGGCTTCCTGGGCCTGATGTTGGGAAAAGGCATGGTGAGTCATCCTCAGGGAGATTTCAACACAGGCTGTGAATAAAGAGCATTTATTCCGTCAAATGTTTACCCGCAGCCTGAGTACCTTTGAGGCAGTTGCCTCTTACTCCTTCTGAGTTTTGGCCCCGGACGTTATCTTAGGAAGCAAGCTGTTCATAAACAGACATTTGTAACCACTTAAAATACTGTGTTGGAAGCCCAAAAGAGCCGTGGCATTTAATGTAACTTGGCTGTGAATACTTCTACAAAGAAGTTTGTCTTTTTAATCCCTGGATTTACCTATCAGTATATTTTGAAGCTGAGTAAAAATGGTATTTTTTTCTTTGATTTTGTATAAATTTAAGGGGTACGACACCGTCTGCACTAAAAATACAAAAATTAGCCAAGCGTGGTGGCACATGCCTGTAATCCCACCTACTCAGGAGGTTGATGGAGAAGAATCGCTTGAACTTGGGAGTTAGAGGTTGCAGTGAGCCAAGGTCATCTCAGTGCACTCCAGCCTGGGCAACAAGAGTGAAACTCCCTCTCAAAAAATAAATAGAGTACAAGTGCATTTTTGTTACATGAATGTACTACATAGTGGTAAGTCTGTACTTTTACTGTAGCCATCACCCAAATAGTATACATTGTACCCATTACGTAATTTGTTGTCTCTCACCCCCCATCCTCCCATTAGTAATCTCCAATGTCTATTGTTTTACACTCTGTATCCATGTATATACATTATTTAGCTCACACTTATAAGCGAGAAAATGCAGTATTTGACCTGTGTCTGATTTATTTCACTTGAGATAATTACCTCCAGTTCCAACTATGTTGCTACAAAAGACATTATTTCATTCTTTTTTTGTGGCTGAGTAGTATTCCATTGTGTATATGTGTGTATGTGTGTATGTGTGTGTGTGTGTGTGTTTGTGTGTTTGTGTGTGTGTACATACATCCACACTGCATTTTCTTTAAGCATACGTTGGTGAATACTTAGATTCCATATCTTTGCTGTTGTGAACGGTGCTGGGATAAACATAGGAGGGCAGGTGTCTTTTTAATGTAATGATTTTTCCTTTGGGTAGATACCCAGTAGTGGGATTGCTGGTTCAAATGGTAGTTGTATTTTTAGTTCTTTGAGAAGTCTCCATACTGTCTTCCTTGAAGGCTGTACTAATTTACATTCCCACCAGCAGTATAGAAGTGTTGCCTTTTCTGCACCTCCTCGCCAACGTCTGTTATTTTTTGACTCTTTAATAGTAGCCATTCTGACTGCTGTAAGGTGATCTCATTGTGGTTTTAGTTTGCAAAATGCCATTTATTCATCCTGCAATCCTGTAAAACTAGTAATGTCTCAATTCCATTCCTAGATTTACAGCTTTGAAAAACACGTTCAACATAAAATGTGAGTCTAAGGAACATTTAGGAGAGGATATCAATATCAAGAAGTAATGGCAAATAAACTCTTTCCAGGAGCCTGGGCCGAGCCATTGTGTGGGCACCTGGCAGGGTGTGGAGGGTTTCCTGGCCTACCCCTGGCCCGCGCTTTCACCAGCTGGGAGTCGGCCTGTCTGCTGGTAATTGGAAAAGATTTCTCTGTGAAGATGGTGTCACTTCTACTCTTTGTACAAGAGTGACATTTGTCTGTTTTAAAACTGCCAGGGTCTGGCATCTGAACCCACATCTGAAGGTCATGTTGGGACCATATCAAACATGAAGAGGAGAGAATTGTGGGATGGAGGAGAAGGGCTGCATTATCTATCTGGCTCTTATCTGTTCTCATGCCTGAGATTCCTTCTTGATGAATTGAAACTGTTTGCACAATAGAAATGTAGTATTGCGTTTTCCTCAAGTTATTCCAGGTAATACATTTGTCTCTTTAAGTATGTTGTATGTACTTTTCCCTAGTGTCTGTCTTCCTCCCCAATTGGTAATCATTCCTCAAATCTTTGTACAGGATGTGAATTTGAAGCTTAAGGAGGTACCACTGTACCCAGGCTGTCAGCTCTAGAATTGCCTGTTTCTTCCCTGTGGAAGCATGAATGCTACGCTCTTTGGAACAGAGTTGCTTGTAGGAACCTCTCGTGCTAGGGGGAAAGGAAAATTGGGATGTTAGTCATTGACTGCTTTAAACTTAAAATTTGCTCTGAATATATTTACTTGTAGTGAGTGATTTTTCAGTAAGTTTTATTTTTAGATTTTGGCGAGAAGAGGACTTAAGAGCACCCAAAGAAAACAGGGTTTTCGTAGTATTGTATCCTTCAACCATCGTAGGAAGGGGAGAAAAAAACCTCAGGTACAATTAAGTACAAGCCTGACCCTAGGGTCATGGAAGATGGAAAAATCCATCTTCACAAGTGTAGTTATCTTTTTTAATAGACTGCTGTTCCATGGAAATGTTTCTCCAACTGGGCATGGTAGAGGCAGAGTGGCATGACTCTTGAATGCCACAAAGGGATCTGGGGCATTGTGGAGGCAGTGATCATGACTAATGAGGAACGCAATAGATTGATAGAGAGCATCCTGCATTGTTCTTTGCAACCCCTTCCAGGCATTTGTAGCACTAGCACTTTTTTCCCCCTTTCCTTTTCCTTGCATCATTACAGATGTGCCTGACACTGCAAACAGATGTTTGGGTTTCTGCCTTTGACATAGCCTCATTGTTTCATGGGAGTGGTTGAAGGCTCAGAGTAGCTGGATGTGTGGCATGACCTCCTGAATGGGGGGAGAATAGGACAGCTGTGCTAGTGCCCCAGCTGATGGGTGTGCTGTCTCTCCACTGCTCAGAGTGGATGGTGAAGACAGAGCCAAAGGTGAGCATTACCAGTGTGGACCACTGTTGCCCAAAGATGGAAACAGGACAAATATGTCTTTCAGATTTGTTTACCACACACACCCTAGCATCCACTTAGCAGGCACAGATGTTTCACTTCAGGATTTAAAGGTTTCCTATCAGCAAAGAGGAAATAATAGAATGGGAGGTCTTCCTAAGAAAGGAGTACACTGCTTCCTAGTAAAGCATAGTTAACTATTTAGGTTGCATCCAATTATTAGATGATGTGAACCTTTTTCACCCAAACATCAGCCTAACAGTTTAACTTTGATTCTTACATCAGTAGGAGTGTTAAGAACATAAAACCTTGTTGTAATTGTTTTGGTTGCTGGATTTCAGATATTTTTCTTTCTTTTTTAGAGGCAAGAATCTTTCTCTGTCGCCCAGACTGGAGTGCAGTGGTGTGATCTCGGCTCACTGCAACCTCTGCCTCTGGGTTCATGTGATTTCCTGCCTCAGCCTCCTGAGTAGCTGAGATTACAGGTGCACACTACCACGCCTGGCTAGTTTTGTATTTGTAGTGGAGATGGGGTTTCACCATGTTGATCACCTGCCTTGGCCTCCCAAGGTGCTGGGATTACCAGTGTGAGCCCCACCGCACCTAGCCTCAGTTGCTGGATTTCAATAAAGAGCTGAAGCTGCTGAAGATGCGGGGGGGGGGGGGGGTGGGGGGGGGTGGGGGCAACTGTAATAGTGGGAAAGGGGTTGCTGCTGGTAGGGATGGTTAAAAATACCTCAGCTCTTATCCCAGGATAGTGAACACCAGGAAGGGGAATGACTGCTATGGAAATAGGCTTCACCAAATCTTGAACTATTAGGATGAAGGAGAAGTCTTGGTCAAAATAAGTTGAGGTTATATACGAGGAGAAACTGTTCACATAGAGGCCCAGACACTGGTGAACTGGTGGGAGAAATAGAAAGGCAAGGCATATCCGTGATTTGAAATGAGTGGCACATCTGTAAGCAGCTTCTACTGGAAATGAAGACCTTACCTGACCTTCTGGATTCATGGAAAGGAATGGCCATATCCTCCCATGTGAACAGAATATTCCATGTGCTTGTCCCATTGTCATAAAGAGCATGGCATAGATGATCATGAATGAAGATCTGGGATGGCTATCCTATGTCCCATGCAATCCGGGCCACAAGTCACTTGTATTACTTAAACTCCACATAGCGGGAATAGTACTGTATTACAGAACATTTGAAAGGTCCTGGAGCAGCTATGGGCCAGAATACCAACCCTCATACAAGCACTGTGGGTTTGGTGCATTCCTTAGATTGAAGACAGTTTTTCATTGAGAGTTTTTACCTTCATTTAATAAATCCCTTTCGTCAGTGCCATGCAGGAGAACTTAGGACTTTGCAGCATTCCATTCAGGAACTGGGCCAGGTGACAGCAGTAGGTGACTCATCTTCACATGCTCTAGGCAGAGTCCCTGCCCAGTTTCCAGGCCATTGCAAGGCTGGAGAGATGAGGCTCTGGGAGAGGCCTTGTGGCTCCTGGGTGACAGAACTGAATGGTCCTCCTGGGAGTGGTGGCTTACGCCTCTAATCCCAACACTTTGGGAGGCTGAGGTGGGCAGATCACAAGGTCAGGAGATCAAGACCATCCTGGCCAACATGGTGAAATCCCGTCTCTACTAAAAAAAAAAAAAAAATTAGCCAGGTGTGGTGGCATGCACCTGTAGACCCAGCTACTTGGGAGGGTGAAGCAGGAGATTCGCTTGAACCCAGGAGGCAGAGGTTGCAATGAGCTGAGATGGCACCACTGCACTCCAGCCTGGGCGACAGAGCAAGACTCTGCCTCAAAAAACAAAAACAAAACAAACAAACAAACCTGAACGGTCCTTGTGCCATAGAATGAGGTCATTCTGGAGGTTTTGGGAATGTACACCCATGTAAGAACCTTGTGTTTTCCTGTGTGTAGAGAGTGTGTCCTTTTGGACAAAGGAGCCACTGATGTTCTAGGGACTGGTGATTTTCATCTACCATGTCATTGCCTTTAATATCAGGGATCATGGGGAGGTAGGCTCTGAGAATGTGCCTGTAACAACTGGAGCTTTTGTGAGTAAGAGGGGAGTGTTTCCTTGCTACCTAGTGGGTCCTGCATGGTGGCACACAAATTAACTCAGAACCCCAGACTCTTTAGATGTACCAGGACCAGAAGTTTCTGGTTGGGGCTACAGTTACCCCCAAATCACCTGGCTACGGCAAAGCATTGGTATTCCTCCCAATTTTTGAAGATGATAATCTTCTAGAGGCTGTGGCACCATAGTGTTACAGAGAGGTTACAGGGTTGAGTCTTATTTCTGCCACTCATCAGCAGTGACAGAAGGTATAATTATCCCCAATTTACAGATGAAGAAATTAAGGCTTAGGGGGATTAAGTAATTTGCTTGAGGTTGTGCAGTTAAGATCTTGGACTGTAACTCAAGTTTGTCTGGTCCCCAGACTGCACTCTTTCATCTGCTCCATCCTCTCATCTTTTTTGGTGAGGCAGACATTTATTGAATTTTCTCTGATCCCATGGCAGGATATATGGAATAATATAGAATGCCCTGTATCGATGTGGGTATGGAATTGTGGACAAGAATGTGAACTCTGAAGCCCCACAGATTGACCATTAAGTCATGGCTTCGCCACATCCTAGTTGTAAGACTGGGCAGTTGACTTAACTTCCCCGTGCGTCAGTTTCCCCATCTATAAGACTGGGACAATAATAGTACTACCTTGTACTTCTTAGAGTAGTAAATGAACTACTACAAAGAAAGCGGCTAGAGTCTAGCATATAATAAGTATTCGGTAAATGTGAGGCAGTATTTTTGCCATGATTTGCTGCCATCTCTTCAGGCAAGAGGATAAGTAGGCAATCTGGGATTAGCAGGAAGCAGCGATCTCCCCTGGGAGATGCACTGCTGGAGGGTTATGTGCTTTGGTCACAGTCTGGGCAGACAGTGCTCTGAGCTGCATGCCAGGCAGGTGCTCTTAAGCAACAACAGGAAAAGCTGGATGACCTGCCAGCCTTTAGCCAATAATGTAGGCAGAGATTCATGGGATGTGTATTCTATACTCATATGTAAAAGAGAAGATGAGAATTTAAGCTGATACCTGATTTTGTTGAAAAGCACTTTCGTGGTAACTTATGTGATCCAGGCAGATTCAATTCAAATATTTTTAGAGTCACTTCCAGTACAGAGACAGAAACTCTGGGGGATTCATATGACTAATTTTCTATGCCTGGGAAATAGTCAGTTCTGTCGGAAACACACACAGTTTGTCACAAAAGCCTTTGGAGAAGAGTTTGAATTGGCAATGAGAATTCATGTCTTGGGTTGATGCAAAGAGAGTGTGGACAGCACCTAGGATAAGGGAAGGAGCCCAAGTAAGAATCTGACATAGTTGGGATGAAGAAAGTGTTGCTTGAAATCAAGAGTGACCAATGGGAAATAATGCAAGACACAGGCAAAATGGAGCTGAGTTAGTCTTGCTTTCTAATATGGATCTAATGTGGTGGACAAAGAAATGCTACGTATACTGAGCTTATGTGAGATACCCTGATTAAACTTGGCCAAAATACATGTATCCCTCTAATGGTACATCAAACTTTAAAATGTCAATATCATCCTATAGAAAATGTACATGGTAAAGACATGTAAGGTGGTGGGTGGGTTGGGGGGAGCCCTGCCTTTTCAGTGAGAATTTAACAAGAGATTTCATTACTTAGATGACTGGGAAAAAAAACATTTATGAAGCTGGTTATTCACAGCTCCAACAGGTGTAACTAGCTACCAGGTACTGGCTTTTGAATATCATGCCCCAAAGACCTATTTAACTTAGAAAGATTTACCAGATAAGTGTTGGAAGATAAACACTATGTATCACTTTTCAGCCTCAATTCCCTTAAAGTAGTTGAAGCTTGCTGAATGTCATAGCTAATGAAAATATGGAGAAGCATAGCTGTTGCTTGTGGTGGTGGTGGTGTTTTTTGTTGTTGTTGTTGTTTTGAGACAGGGCCTTGCTTTGTCACCCAGGCTGGAGTGCAGTGTCGCGATCTCAGCTCACTGTAACCTCTGCCCCCCAGGTTCAAGTGATTCTCGTGCCTCAGCCTCCCAAGTAGCTGGGACTACAGGTGTGCACCACCATGCACAGCTAACTTTTGTGATTTCATTAGAGATGGGGTTTCTCCATGTTGGCCAGGCTGGTCTCAAACTCCTGACCTCAGGTGATCCACCTGCCTTGGCCTGCCAGAGTGCTGGGATTACAGGCATGAACCACCATGCCCGGCCTCTTGTTTGGTTTTTGAGATTCCTCTCTTTGACTTTTCTTAGTAACTATTATCTTGAAACATAGTTAAAGTATGGTTGGTGAAATAATAAATTATATTAATCACCTTGGGCTTACAAAATACCATAACAGATGTATTTTCTCAATTTGGGGGTTGGGAAGTCCAAGATCAAGGTGCTAGCTTATTTGGTTCCTCTTGGGGGCTTCCAGACAGCTACCTCCTGGCTGTGTGTGCACATGGCCTTTGCTTTATAAGGGCACTAATTCTGTTATAAGGGCACACCCTCATGACCTCATCTAGCCCTAATCACTTTCCAAAGGCCCCATCTCCAAATCTATCACATTGGGGGGTTAGGGCTTTAACAGGACTTTTTTTTTTTTTTTTTTTTTTGGAAGGAGGGTGAGAGGGCACACATATTCAGTCTAGAGTAATTAATTATTCTATCACTATTCTGCCTGAATAATGATTTCAAGGTTGAAAGAGACCTTAAAATATCAGCTAGTTAGACCACCAAGCTGATGCCTGAGTCTTCTCTGCCCCCAGGCCATCTAACAATGGCCTGGAAACCCCATCGGGGGTGCCCAAGGTGCTCTGTTGGACCCTCCACTTATTTTCCCAGTGGAAAAGTGGAGGTCCTTAAGATTGCCTATAAAAACCCATATAATTTCCTCCCGCATGCTACGTCTGTCCTCATCTCCTAGCACTTCTTGTTTTGCCCCAGGGTCTTACAACACTGTCTAGAACATTCTTTCCTCAGATTTGTTTTGCCCTTATTCTTAAGATGTTTTCTGACATAGTACCAATGCTAGATTGAGATTTACTTTTTCTCTTCACATGGAAGGTATTTTATACTGGATTTTGACTTCCATTGTGGCTCTTGAGAAATGGGGCTGTTGTTCCTTTAAAGATAATCCATCTTTTCATTCTATTTGTGTATTTGTCTTTGGTGTTCTGTGGTGTCTATGATATATTAGGTATGGTGAGTTTGTTATTGGATCTTCTGCAACTTTAGATTGATGTTTTTTGTCAATTCTAGAAAATATCCAACCATTATTTCTTCACATCTTGCCTCTGATCCATTCTTTCCTTTTCTCATAGAAATTCGATTGGATCTGTTAGACATGTTTGACATCCTCACGTCTTTCAGTTTATCTTTCAGTTTATCTTTCAGTTTATCTTTCAGTTTATCTTTCAGTTTATCTTTCAGTTTATCATCTTTCAGTTTATCTGTGTCTTTCTCTGGTTTATTCTGGATTTCTACAGCTCTATCTCCAAGTGCACAAATTGTCTCTTCAGCTGTGTCTAGTTTAGTAATAAAAAAATTCTTTGTTTTAAGTTTTACTTATTTTACATGGTTTTATTTGTTTTCCTTTTTTTTTTTTTTTTTAATGAGATGGAGTCTTACTCTGTTGCCTGGGCTGGAGTGCAGTGGCATGATTTCGGCTCACTGCAACCTCTGCCTCCTGGGAGGTGATTCTCCTGCCTCAGCCTCCTGAATAGCTGGGACTACAGGCATGTGCCACCAAGCTGAGCTAATTTTTGTATTTTTAATAGAAACAGGGTTTCACCATGTTGGCCAGGCTGGTCTGGAACTCCTGACCTTGTGATCCACGCGCCTTGGCCTCCCAAAGTGCTGGGATAACAGGCGTGAGCCACTGCATCTGGCCTACATGGTTTGATTTCTAAAAGTTCTATTTAGCTATTTTTAAAAGCTGCTTATTTTTAATAGTTTCTTATTTCATACTCACTTTATAAATTGCTACTTTTTATTTCTTTTAGACATGATTGTTTGATATTTCATGTTTGATAATTCTAATGTTTGAAGTCTTTGCTGATCTCGTGTGTGTGTGTGGGGGGGGGGCGTAGTTTCTCCTGGTTCTTGGTCACTGTGTGTGTGTGCATGCGCGTACACGTGTGTGTTTTAAGTGTAAATTCAGTTTCCTGAATATTTACCTGTGGGGCCTCTTTGAGGTCAAGATCGAAGGTGGGTTCCTCTATAGAAAGTTTGTTTGCTACTGCTAAGTTTCTTCTGGCACTAGCATCCTGGAATCACCTTAAAATTATTTTTTTTGGCTTGAGGTTTTTCAGGCCATATAAAAATGGTGAATTGGACTAGAGGTCCTATATGAGGGCTAGGTTTTGATTCCAGACTTTTAGGATAGATCTTTTTCCCTCTGTTTGCTCACAGGATTTGAGAGAATCAAATTTTCTTGCAGTTTCTGAGAGACAGCCATGCTGCTTGTTGATGTAACATTGTGCAGATTAGCAAAAGGCAATCCTATCTTCAGACACTTTGTTGCTATTGGTCAGAAACTTTTCATAACATGAGAGTCCATGATGACTGAAGTGAATGGAGTTCCCAGAGTTGTGTGAAGCACAAGTTGCCCTCACCTAGGCTTGTGATGTACCCCCTTCCATTCTGCCCTATCAAATCCTGCTCAACCTCCAAAGTTTAACTGAAATACTCTATCCTCTGAGAAGACACCCGTGAATCCCCCAATTCTAACCCCAAATGGTCCCCTCCTTTCAATTAGCATAGTAGTGGCACATTGATCACAAATTTCTACCTTTTGTTATTATTTTTAAGTCTCCTATTACCAGACTGAGAGCTGCATGTTTTATTCATATTTCTATGTTCCATAGCCTCGAAGAGATAGTTGGAATATTTTTGTACAATAAGTGAAAAAAATTTTTCACTTTTCACAAATTTTTCACAAAGAATTAAAAAAGACTAGCAGCTGGGTTGGTGGCTCATGCCTGTAATCCCAGAACTTTGAGAGGCTGAGGGCAGGTCACTTGAGGACAGGAGTTTGAGACTATAGCATAGGCAACATGGCAAAACTCTGTCTCTGCAAATATATATATATATATATGTGTGTGTGTGTGTGTGTGTATATATATGTGCATATAGATGTATATGTAAAAATTAGTGGGGAATGGTGGCACATGCCTTAGTTCCAGCTACTTGGGAGGCTGAGATGGGAGGATTGATTGAGCCAAGGAGGTCAAGGCTGCAGTGAGCCATGATAGTGCCACTGCACTCCAGCCTGCACAACAGAGTGAGACCCTACCTCAAAAGAAAAATAACACCCAACTAGCAAATAGGAAGGTGCATCGTGACTGTATAGTTGAGAAAGACTGTCAGAGTGGGTAAGAGCCTTCTCTTGAGTGATGGCATACCGTGTCATAAAGGGCTTGGATTTGTTGGTGTCTCAGTGCCTGAAGTGTAGAGTAGCTTGGCAGAACTTTCATCCTATCATCACGGAGTCAGAGATGTCTTCTACAGAGGAAAATCTTTGCACCATTCCAGGAAAATGACTTCTGCTAATCACTATTTTCCAAAGAGCGATTAGGCCATGGTGTTCTACAAAAATGACTTCCCTAACATTTATTGGCTTATTACTCAATGTATTTTGATACCCATTTTTTAAATAAAGGAATGTATGTCAGTCTTTCTTCCTTTTTAATTCTGGTCTACCATCAGGTGATTTTAGAATTTTTTTTTTTAGTAGAACTAGGGGAATACTTTCTTTGAAATCTTGATTACTAATATTTTGCTTTATTCGATACTTATGAAAAATTTTACTTTAAAAAATTACCTGACTTAGGCTGGGCACAGTGGCTCATGCCTGTAATCCTAGCACTTTGAGAGACCAAGGCCGGGAGGATTGCTTGAGCTCAGGAGTTCAAGACTAGCCGGGGCAACATAGCAAAACCCTGTCTCTACCAAAAATACAAAAAATTAGCTGGGCGTGTGGTGCATGCCTGTAGTCCCAGCTACTTGGGAGCCTGAGGTGGGAGGATAGCTTGAGCTCTGGAGGCAGAGGTTCAAGTGAGCTGACATCACAACACTGCACTCCAGCCTGAGTTATAGAGCAAAACCCCCTCTCAAAAATAATTACCTAATTTAAATATTTAAACACCCTACAACATCCTCATTTTAAACATGGGGAAACCAAGGAAAACATAATTTATCCTGGTCACTCAACCATTAAGGAGTTGGGGCTGCTGTGATCTGGATTTAAGTTCACCTGATTCGAAAGCTTTTCTCTTTCCAGTGCGTCACACACATTCAGACTTAATGGTAGGATTTGGGCAGATATTAAAGGTTAAACATTGAGTCTGTTGGAACTCCTTCCCTTCCTATTTGAAATTCAAAGCTTGTTACCATGCTAACTGGACATGACCTTGTAAGAAAGTGATTGAGCATTTCCAGTTTCTGTTGTTTATTTTGAATTTGGAGAAACAGCTGGAAAATGTTATGTTCAGTGACTATTACTGACTTACTGACTCACATCGATGTCATAATGTGGAGGTCCTCAAGCACTCTGAAAGCAGTCAGTTCGTGTGTTTTCAGTGATGATTGAATAAGGCAGCTTTTCATGCAGTGGGCACACCTTAGGCGTTGCAGGATCAGCTTTGGACTTTCAGGGTCCCTGTGGGAGGAGGCTGGGATTTGCTTTCTGTGAACCTAGCATGGTTTCCTTGCAAGGAAGGGGAGAGGGGAATGGAGGCATGTCAGACAGTGAACACCTATAGTCATCCTCCTATACTTTATGATAACTAAGGGGAGATGTGGGTAGGTATTGGATAGAAGGATTTGATGCTCAAGAGAAATGTACAGAAATGTACAGCTGAAGATTTTTTTTTTTTTTAAGACAAGGTATCATTCATTCACCCATGCTGGAGTGCAGTGGCAAAATCACGGTTCACCGATTGTAGCCTTGATCCCCTGGGCTTAAGCAATCCCTCCGCCTCAGCCTCACAAGTAGCTGGGACTACAGATGTGTGTCACCACACCCACAAATTTTTTTAACTTTTTGTAGAAATGGGATCTCACCATGTTGCCCAGACTGGTCTCTAACTCCTGGGGTCAAGTGATCCATACCTCTTGGCCTCCCAAAGTGCTGGGATTACAGGCATGAGCCACTGCACCTGGCCGCAGCTGAAGATTGTGATTTGGTTCTCAACACATATAGATGAGACTTACAGCTATGGGATTGGATGAGGGTGCAGGGTAGGCCCCTGAGGCACACAACAGGCCATGAGAAAGGAGTCTGAGGGGGACAATGGGACCAGTGTCCAAGGAGACAGGAGGGTGGGGCCTCTGAAATCCAGAGAGGGGAGGATTGCTGCCTGTAGGGATACTCAGCGATGTCAACAGCGCTGTGTGCTCAGCCTCCCTTAGAAGGATAGGAGAACTGAGAAAGCTACAAGGACAGGAGGTGACCATCCATTGGGAATGTGGGTTGAAGGGAAGCAAAATCGAGGGGACAGAAGTCTCCTGGTTGGGTTAACTGAGTGGATACTGGTTCCATCAAGAGAGACAGTGATTCTAGGAGGGGGGAGTTGGTTCGAACTGTGGCAGTGGGTTCAGTTTTCATCAGTTCATAATTCACTTTGATGGTTTTCATTACAAGTGTATGCTTATGCCTCCCAAACTTATAAGTAGTTATATATAAAGAGAGGAGGGCAAAGCAGATACTTGGTTACTGGAAAATTTGAGGGTAGAGGGAAAGAGCGTGTAAGGAAAGCTGGAAGGCCACAGAGATCCTAGTCAATAGAAGCTGGGCTCATCTGGTAAACCGAGGATGAGAGGGAGTTTGGAGGAAAGTCAGTAGTTTCCGTTGCTGCGGAGAAGTCAAGTATGTTAATAGCAGAGAAATATCTATTGATTTTGGCAAAGACGATTACTGAAGAGTGGTGGGGTCAAAATTCAATTAACACAGGGATTTTAAGTGGAACAGCAGGAGGTGGGGAAAGCACAGATTGCTGTTTCCCAAAGTCTACTGTAAATAGAGGAGCAGTGGATAGAGAAGGAGATGGTCAAAGAGATGGGGCTCATTATGTTTTGTGGTGTCTGTATGCTGATGGAAAGAGGCAATAGACAGAAGGAAGGCTGACAATACCAGAGAGGATGAATTGAAGGAGTGACCTTATGGAAGAGGTAGGAGGTAGATGGGAAGACAGACAGTTCATCTAGTGAATTAGAAGGGATGGAGGTAAAGACAGGTGGGGATGCATCTATTTCTAGATATGCATCCATGGTCATGGTCCATGAATATTTGAATTTGTATATACTGTCACATAAAGTTATATCAACTCCCCCTCCTTGATCTTGGTCACCAAATATTTACCTTAAGGAAAGTTATTATTAATCAACCTCATACCAGTGAGAATGGCTATTAAAAAGTAAAAAGCAGGCCTGATATGGTGGCTCATGCCTGTAATCTTAGTACTTTGGGAGGCCTAGGCAGGTGGATTGCTTGAGCCCTAAAGTTTAAGAGCAGCCTGGGCAACATGGTGAAACCCCATCTCTACAAAAGAAAAAAATAAATAAAAATAAATATTTAAAATTAGCTGGGTGTGGTGGTGTACACGTGTAGTTCCAGCTATTCAGGAGGCTGGAGCAGGGGATTGCTTGAGCCCAGGCGGTGAAGGTTGCAGTGAGCGGAGATCACGCCACTGTACTCTAGTCTGGGTGGCAGAGTGAGAGCCTGTCTAAAAAAAGTCAAAACAAAACAAAACAAAAAAAAACAGACAGCGAGGTTGTAGAGAAAAGGAAACACATTAATTGCTGGTAAAAATGTAAATTAGTTAACCACAGTGGAAAGCAGTTTGGAGATTTCTGAAAGAACTTCAAAACACTATTTAACCCAGTAATCTCATTACTGAGTATATACCCAAAGAAATAAAAATCATTCTACCATAAATGCACATGCATATGAATGTTCATTGCAGCACTATTCACAATAGCGAAGACATGAAATTAACATAGATGCCCATCAACAGTGGACTAGATAAAGAAAATGTGGTACATACATACCATGGAATACAGTGCATCCATAAAAAAAACAAAATCCTATCCTTTGCAGCAACAAGTATGGAGCTGGAGGCCCTTATCCTAAGTGAATTAATGCAGGAACAGAAAACCAAGTACTGCATGTTCTCGCTTACAAGTGGGAGCTAAACGTTGAGTACACATGAACACAAAGATAGAAACAATAGACACTGGGGCCTAACTGAAGGTGGATGATGGGTGGAAGATGAAGATAAAAAAACTATTGGGTGCGAGCCTTGTTACCTTGGTGACGAAATAATCTGTGTACAGAATGTCTGCAACAGGCTGTTTACCCATGTAAGAGACATGTACATGTACCCCTGAACCTAAAATAAAAGTTGGAGAAAATTAAATAGAAAATGAAAAAAAACAGGAAAGGTATTATTACCCTCATTTTGCCATGCAGTGGCATTGACAAAATCCAGAATTTTGTAAAGTTTTATTGGAACATGATCTATGGCTAGTTCTGTACTACAATGGCAAAACCTGAACTGCCCACCATCTGACCCTTTTCAGAAAAGCTTTCTGACCCCTATACAGTTGATCACATCAAGGCCCAGAGGAAATGTTCACTTCTGAAGACCGCACCTCCATGCTAATCTCTGAGCCCACCTTTTCTTTGTCCCTTGGTGTTCTCCTGATGCTGTAAACTCTTAGAATTATCTGGTGATGCCTCTTTCCAGCACTTTGAACAGTTAAAATTGCTAAGGACACGGGAGCAACTCGTGACTCTTCACCTGAGTCCTGGAAGTGCAGGTTTAGGCCACTTTAGTTTTTAGTCACTTTTCTAAGAAGCCAAGACTCACTTCCTGGCCAAAATCATTACCAAAACCCTCATGTATTCCTCATTCCAAACAAAAGAAATGAACCGGTTTTGTTTCCTTGCTTTGCATTTCCTCAGTGCTTAAGCGTGTTGTTTCAGTCTCACACACACTGTCTGCTATGGCTGGTCTCCTGGGAGCGTCCCCACTGTGCTGGCCTCTGGCATGCTGTCTCCACACCTGATGGTCTTGGGAACCAGGACCACGTTGACCCCGTCATCAGCATCTTCTGTTCGACCATTGCTGAGCATATTGTTGGTGCCCATTGGATTGCATTTGATTTAGCTGAAAAAAATTAAGAGCTTCACTATTGCTCACTTATGCATAAAATAATGTACTAATTACTAGGTGTTCTCTCATTCTTGAAACTAGAACCCCTCCTGGATCTTTTGAAATCGACTTTGAATTGTTGACCAAATTTGAGAGCGTAGTATTTACATCTCTTTATTTCACACTGCTCACAGTTTTCAAGAGAAAAAATCTAAATCTATTTCTTTGTCTAGCTTTCAAATACTTCTGAAGGGGCTAAGATTTTAATAGTTTCAATTTGATTCTACAACCTCATTGATCAGATTATACTTTTATTTAGTTTTATGTATTGCCTGGTGCCTTGCTACTCAAAATGTCATCTCTCCAACAGGAGTATCCTTATTAGAAATGCATAATCTGAGTCTCACCCCAGAGCAACTGAATCGTTTTAACAAGATTGTTGGTGATGCTCATCATACACATGAAAGTTTGGGAAGTACTGTTTTGGCCTGCTGACCCTGCATTTCAGAAAAACATACTGAAATAGGGCCCTACCTCACAGACCTTTTATGTTTTATGTATTATGAAGATGTGGTTTCATATGTTATGGTGAATGTATTCCCTACCAGAAAAATTTTACTGGTTTTCTGTTATTAGAGCTTACAATTAAGAGATACATAATGCCTCCCCCCGTGGTTTTTTTTTTTTTTTTTTTTTTTTTTGCTACTTGGAATGCATTTAATTTCTTCCTTTAATTAGAAATAAAGCCTAAAATTTCTACTCTTTTTAACAAGAGTCTTGGCTAATCTGTAGTAAACGAACAACCTCAACCCTCACCCATGGCAGTAGGCTTGATAGTGGGTTTTGGGGTGTATGGATATTTTATCATTCCCCTTTGATTATTTTGGAAATTGCATGTATTCGTAACTGTGAATTCTGTATAGAATTAAGTTGTCTTTTCCATCTTTTTGAGTACTTGGAAAAACTAAGGGATTAATTACACAAGTAAACACATAGGACTAAGACAACATTTCTTTAAAAATACATGATATACAGCAGCATTCATGTTGTCCTTCTTCCTAATTAATTCCAGAAGGCAGAGTAAAAAAACACTGGATTTATTATTTTTTGCACAGATCACGCTCATGTATAGAATACCAAAGATTCAGGGAGAATAAATCTTCTGGTTTCCATCTTTTAGCCAAGCAGTCCCTTCCTTAGAGTGACTACTCTTAGAAGCTTTCTGTGGGTACTTTCATAGCTAATATCTACACTAGGAGGTTCTTTGTAGTCATACCTAAGAAGATGGCCACCAACTTTGTGATCCTGGGCAAGTGACTAAACCTCCTTGTGCCTCCATTTTTCTCATCTGCAAAATGGGAATATTAGAATCACTGAGAGGAACAAACGAAATAATTGAGATAATTCATGTACATTGCTAACAATTATTGGCACACAGAATACAGTAGGCAAATATCAACTATTAATGTTATATGTGAGTCTGTCTTCACTTTACTGTATGGACATACACAGTAGAGTACTATTATATATTTAAATACTTTGCTTTTTTACACCTACCCATATGAGATCTTCAACACTGTAGAGTCTGATTTATTAGGTATAGAGCTACTGCATTTGTTCTGAAGTCTCTACTGTATTCCGTTTCATGGATATAATTTATCCACTTCTCTGTTAATGGACATTAAGGTGTTCACATTCTTTTTGTTTGTTTCTTTGAGACAGGGTCCCACTCTGTCACGCAGGCTGGAGTGCAGTTGGCGCCACCATGGCTCACTATACCCTCAGTTGCTCCAGGCTCAGGTGATCCTCCCACCTCAGCCTTCTGAGTACCTGGGACTACAGGTACCACCATGCCCAGCTAATTTTAGTACTTTTTGTAGAGACGGGGTTTCACCATGTGGCCCAGGCTAGTCTGGAACTCCTGGGCTCAGGCAATCCTCCTGCCTTGGCCTCCCAGAATGCTGGGATGACAGGTATCAGCCACAGTGTCGAGCCAGGTTGTTTCCATTCTTAGGATTTCATAAAAAGCCTTGGTGAAATCGATGTGTACATGTGGAGATGTATCTGTAAAGGAACTTTCTAGAAATTGAATGTAGAAATGGTCAAAGTGTAGGCTCTAATTTTATATATTGATGAATTGCTCTTCACAGAATGATACACTCCTTCCAGCAGAGAATGAGAGTGCCTGTTTTTGACAGTTTGCCTCTAACATTAATGTTTAAAATGCAGTTTTGTTCAGCAATAGTAAAAATACCCATCCATACTTGGAAATTTGATTAATGTTGCTAGATTCTTTGGAACAGATTGAGTGGTAGGGAGATAACACTTAATGCTTTATTCTTAAGTGTTGGAAGGAGCAAGTAAGTGGTCTAGTGAGCTGTTTTTAGAGGAACTGTATAATATGTAACACATTGTCATTATATTCACTAACTCCCAAAGTATTCTTGAGATATTGAAACAAAACAAAGAGCTTGAATAGAAACCCTGAGCAACAATGTATTTACTTTCCACTTGCAGCAGAACTTGGCCTTTCAGATGCTCCTTGAAGTGCCTTGGCTTAGCAGTACTGTCTCTTGTGCCCAGGGTCTGAGATTGGCACAACACAGAGTGCCTTTCTTTTATTCAAATGTCTCATTATGCAAATTATTGCTGCCAGCCAAACTGCCCATATAGCTTTTGTTTTGGATGTAGGTGAAAGTTTATTCCAAATACTTTCAAATGATAATATAATATCCTAAGTAAACCAGTCCCAAAGCTTGTATCAGCATCTAATATCCTGTATCGTATGACTTGCACTTGGTAATGTTGGGGTAATTGAAGATATTTGCAATTTCTTTATCTGTGTTACATTTTGTAAATTATGCAGCCATTGAATTTTACAGAGTTCCTAATACACCGCTCTGTTGAAAGAAAACTCCGATCTGTGGTAAGAATTAGGATTAGCACTGAGATGCACATTTGTAATCCATTTGGCAGGTGATCACTGGGCTCTCTTAGAGTATTCAGATGAGCTGAGGAATTGAAAGAGGAGGAGCAAAAATAACATGCCAAGATACAGATAAACACATGGCCACTTTTATTTTTTATTTGCTTAAATATTTTTTGAGAGAGGATCTTGCTCTGTCGCCCAGGGTGGAGTGCAGTGGCATGATTCCAACTCAATACATCCTTGAACTCCTGACCTCAAGTGATCTTCTTGCTTTGACCTCTCACAGTGTTGGGAATACAGGGATGAGCCATTGTGTGTAGCCTCGTGTAGCCATTTTTAGTCACTGGGGTATAAAATCAGGAAATACTTGTTGGATAGCAGGTGTAATGGACATGGCACCTGGTCAGGGTGAGAAGCTGTGAGTTGTCAGCTAACCTCTCCCAGCCTGATAGGAAGGCCCTAGCTGCTTCAGTCCTTCAGAAGCTGACCTTCAGGGTGGCCTGTGATGCTGCACTTAAGCGGGCTTCTTATTTAGGGGACCACTAGGCTTACAGGTGCTCGGTGGTAAGCTGAGCCACTCAGCCGTGTAGCTTTCACCATGTTTTACAGGCCAAAGGAGGTCATGCATGTATTCTTGGTGTAGAGCTGAGCACCAAAACTATTTATTCAGGATTGTTGTTATTTCTCCTTAGCAACTTGGCAAGATCTGGACACTGAGGAGGTGTGTCTCTTATCCCCCTCTTTAGAATGCAGGTCAACGCAATAGATGGTGGTAAGCTTCACAGTAGGTACCATTTATGGAGCTCTTACTATCGGCTAGGTCTTTTTGTCAATTGTTAACTGTAATAGGAGATGGATATTTATAGACCCCTTTTATAGATAAATTGAGTCTGAGAGTTTTAAGTATTAATAACATGTGCCAACAAGTAAGGGGGCAACACTGAGATTCATAGACGGGGCTTTCTTGTACTAAAGGTGGCGTTTCCTTATCCACTATGGTATTCTGTCAGCTAAAAATAAAAGTGCCTATACCAATATAAGGGGCTGTCACATCCGTTGGACACTATTGTTTCTTCTAAAAAGGACTCATTATTACTCCTAGTTCCACTACCCTTAATGTAATTATGATCCGTTTTCATGTTGCAAATGATTTTCAGTATCTCTTCAAATTATCTTTGTTACTTCTCTGAAAATCCAGGCTTAATTTATTGACAAGTTGTCAGAATTGCCCTTTAACTTTTCAGTGATCAGCAAAATCACACAGGATCTTTCTTCAGCCTCTGGGGATGGCTGGAGCTTTGTCTCTTTCTCTCTCGGCAAGGTCATTGTCTAATTCTCTTACGATCCAGATACATGCCAGGCAGTGTTCTTATTTTACACACACTTATCTTGTATTTCTAGTATTTTTCTCTTGTCAGTCTACTGAGTAATATCGATTTTTGTCTTCATTAATTCTTCCCATCACTGCCAATCTTCTTCACTCTTTGTGTTCAACATCTCTTTTAAAGTGTCGTTCAATAGGCTTATTCTAGATGTGTTGATTTCTCACTCATTTCTTGTTATTTTTCTTTTAATTAAAAGGCTTATTGTATTTTCTATAACATGCTTTTCCCTCTCTTTGGAGGGCGTATTGTTAGCTCTCTGGTGGGATTCTTTTTACCGTTTACCCATTCCTTTTATCCTCATTTTTTTCTAGGCTGTGTGGAGTTTGGAGTTGGTGTGGGGTGGACAGAGAGAGCCCAGGCCAGCACTGCCCTGGGGGAACCAGTGGGTAATGTCAGGGCCAGGGCTACATTTGATCATCCAGGCTGCTGCCATATCATTCACTTGCTACCTGTTCCAGCCACTTCTGCCAACATCAATCACAGCTTTCCCCCTGTGCTTGCAAGTCAGGCAGTGCCCACAGCATCAGTGACCCAGGAGTCCAGTCTTTCATAATGGACTTACAGCTTCCATTCGTTGGTAGGCAAGCTGCGCTTTGAACCAGGAATTTAGTACCCACGATCTCAACCTTACGCCCACCCTTCGAGGTTCCTTGTTATCTGTGTTTGACAGCTGCGGAAATGGATGCTCTGGGAGGTTAAGAACCTTGCCAAGGAGCACACAGCTTGTAAGTGGCTGCACTGGGATTCTACCTCCTGTCTGTGTGACTTCAAAATCTAGACAATTTCCACCACAGCAGCTTGTTCTCTGACAAAGGGAATTTGGTGCTTGAGTGTTGTTTTATAGCTTTTGTTATCTTCAGTTGGACAGTATTCTCCATGTCTTCATTAGAGGATGTCTTGGCTATGTCCCACTGTTGTATGTTAATACCGTTGCATCATGCTGCCTAAAGTTACTCATTTTTCCCTGTTTGACTTATTAATAATCCAGCACATTGTTCCCTTTGTTCATTGTATTAGAATCAAATAACTGGTGAATCCTGTTGCCCGGCCTCCTGCCTTGGTGAGAGCAGGCCTAAATTAATTATAATGTTTTGCTCTGACAGTCTAATCATATCAAAATCAAGGTTATTGATGATTTTATTTTTAATGAATTGAACTTTGATGATTAAAAGACTTTTACATAGATCCTTTCATTTTTATCAAAACTGGATTTTTACTCTTAAATTTGTTTCTTGGCCAGACAGAGGCTCCTGCTATTTACACAGGAATATTATTAATACCTGGCTGATGGCATGTTGGGATAAGACTTTTATGGATATAGGATATGCCTCAGTTTCATAAAATATTTAGAATGATTTTTTTGTATCTGCAGTACAAGATCTTAGGTTAGGTACCTGAGGTCATTTTTAGTTCTGTAATTCTGGTTTAGAAGAAGCTTTGGCTTGATGAGATGACTAGCTATGTTTCCTCTTTTTTTTTTTTTTTTTTTTTTTTTTTGAGACGGAGTCTCGCTCTGTTACCCAGGCTGGAGTGCAGTAGCACCATCTCGGCTCACTGCAACCTCTGCCTCCCGGGTTCAAGCAATTCTCCTGTCTCAGTCTCCCAAGTAGCTGGGATTACAGGCGCATGCCACTATGCCCAGCTAATTTTTGTATTTTTAGTAGAGATGGGGTTTTACCATGTTGGCCAGGCTGGTCTGGAACTCCTGACCTCAGGTGATTCACCCACCTCAGCCTCCCAAAGTACCGGGATTACAGGCGTGAGCCACTGCACCCCGCCCCTCATTACCTTTTTTTTTTTTTGAGAGGTTAAGAACTGTTTTTCAGGTGTATTTTTTTCTGATTAAGAAATTAATATTTGTGAAAACAAAAAAGAAATATACTAATTATGGAAAATGTAGAAAATCCAGAAATATATGAAGAATAAAATAAGTTACCTATAATTTTACCTACTAGTAACGTTACAATGATGATCACTATTAATTATTTTGGTATATTTGCCTTTAATCCGTGTGTGTGCACTGTGTGCACACATATTGGCAAACTTGAGACTCCAACACATTAACATATATCACAAATTTTCTATTAAAAACTCATAAACATAATTTTAATGTTAGACAATATTTTATAAAATCTATATGCCATAACTTAGCATTCTCCAATGTTAGGCATGTAAATTACAATTTTATGAACAATGCTCCTATGTACACATGACTGCATAGACATCTTTGTCCACATTTATGACTGTTTGATTTAGATTGATTCCTCAAAGTAAAATTACTAGGTCAAAAAGTAAGACCACCTTAAATATACTTCATACTTGCCAAATTACTGCTAAATTGTTTACCCGAGTGACTGAGCCAATTTCCACTGCAGCCAGCAGCAGATGGAAGCCTGGACTCAATATTCTCCAACAGGCATTGTGTGCTATCCTGGTTAATTTGATCAGCAAAAACTAATGTTTTCTCAAGTCTCAGTTCTTTATCAGTGAATTTATTAAACTTCAGAAAATCTGTGTATTAACATTTTCACTACTTTAAAGAAACTTTCCACACTTTTTTTTTTTTTTTAAGATGGTGTCTCACTCTCTTGTCCAGGCTGGAGTGCAGTGGTGCAGTCTTGGCTTACTGCAACCTCTGTGTCCCAGGCTCAAGCAACTCTTTTGTCTTAGCCTCCCAAGTAGCTGGGATTACAGGTGCACACTATCACACCCAGCTAATTTTTTGTATTTTTAGTAGACACAGGGTTTCACCATGTTGGCCAGGCTAGTCTTGGACTCCCGACCTCAAGTCATCCTACTGCCTTGGCCTCCCAAAGTGATGAGATTACAGGCATGAGCCACTGTGCCTGGTGAAAGCTCCCTACTTTTTAATCTATTGAAGTCTAGTATGTTTCTTACAGCTTGTAAAACATCTTTATAGATTAGGAATATTGACACTTTATTATATTAGCTGAAAGCATTGTCCTAGTTGGTTATTATTGACTTTTTAAAATTATTTTTTAATGTTTAATTTGCTGATTTTTATTCAGTATTTTAATTTACTGTATTAATAGTTCATAATATACTATATAACATATAACTTACTATATAAAGGTAAATTTACTAATTCAATTTATTAATTTTAATTTTTAAGTAGTCGTGTATATTTTATGTGTGTGATTCCTGCCATCATTTTAGAAAATCTCCCATCCAGAAGGTTGGTCACAATTTAACTGTATTTTCTTCCAGCTCCTGTAATGGGATTTAAAAACTTTAACTGTATTATTTACATGAAATTTATTTTGAATTATATTTTGAAATGGAGAAAAATCTGACTTGATTTTTCTTCTATAGATAATCTTTTGACTGACCCAGCAATTTTTTTGTTGTTGTTGAATAAGCCTTTGTGTCCCCACCACAGCCATTTTTTTTTTTTTTTGTGACAGGGTCTCACTTTGTCACCCAGGCCGGAGTGCAGTGGTGAAAGCACAGCAGCTCATTGCACCCTCAATCTCCTGGGCCCAAACGATCCTCTCACCTCAGCCTCCCGAGTAGCTGGGACTACAGGTGTGTGTGTGCCACCATGCCCAGCTAGTTTTGTTTTGTTTTGTTTTGTTTTTGTAGAGAAGGCATTTCACCTTTTTGCCCAGGCTGGTCTCAAACTCCTGAGCTCAAGTGATCCACCCTCCTTGGCCTCCCAAAGTCCTGGGATTACAGGCATGAGCCACTACTCTCAGCTTCCCCATAGCCTTTTGTCATCACTTCATCATGTATTAATGTCTTTTATAGCTTAGGGTCTGTTTCTGTGCTATTTAGTTTTGTTGATCTGTTTCATATTTACCCTAGAATGATACTCTGTTATTGTAGCTTTATGTTTTATTTCTTGAAGTTGTATTCTTCCTCCTTACAATTATTTTCTAGAACTTAGTCATTGTAACCGTTTTACTTTATATGAGTCAGAGTCATTTTGCAAGATTCATTCTCTTCTGTCTTCTCTGATCTCTACCCTTCCTACAGCAAAAACAAACAAAATAAAAACTAAAGGGAAACACAGATGTCTCTAAGATTTCTCTTGGAATTGTGTAAAGCTAACAAAATGATTCAGGCAGAATGGAACTCTGTTTTAGTGCCTATTTAACAAGCCATTTTCCTTTCAAACAGAAGCCTCTTAGTTTTCAGTACTCTTCCTAACTGATGTCCAGTTAGACACAGACATCAGGCGTTGCCCAAATATCTCCCAAGGAAGAGGTGATTGGACTACATGGTTTTTACACCTATAAAGGGTTGTAAAATAAACCAAAGAGGAAGATGAGGCAGAAACCTCATGGAGCCCACAAAGCTGAAAATATTTAAGTATCTGTCCCTTCGCAGAAAAAAATTGCTGAGGACACTGTGTAGCAAAGCCCCGGCCAACAACCAGAAGGCATTTGGGGGTCACCTGGTAATTATGAGCCATCACTTTGCTTTCAGTCACTTTCTGCCTCTTCTGTACATTATCTAGGAAGGTGTGTGTTTTGTAAATGCATTTAAGGCAGTCTTATGGGAGGATATGAGTGAATGCCTACAGGTTTTGTTTCTTTCTTTGTTTTCACCCTCGTATTTCAATATGTTTCATACATTTAAAAAGGTATGTTGAGTGTGTGTTGTGAAACATTTTTTACAATGTACTTCTTTTTGAAAGATCGTGTCCACTCCTGTGGACATCTTGTTTTAATGGAGTTTCCCATGCAGTAGGACTGGTATGGTTGCAGCTGTCCAGATAAAAACATTTGAAGAGCTCCAAAATGAGAGTTCTCCCAGGTTCGCCCTGCTGCTCCAAGTCTCAGCAGCAGCCTCTTTTAGGAGGCATCTTCTGAACTAGATTAAGGCAGCTTGTAAATCTGATGTGATTTGGTTTATTATCCAACTAACTTCCATCTGTTATCACTGGAGAAAGCCCAGACTCCCCAGGACGGGTAGGGATTGTGGGCATAGAGGGATTGGGTGAGGCTGGCGTTGTGGTACCTGGAAAAGCTTGAACACTTGAAGGTCTTGTTGGGAGGAGAAGTGAAGGGGAGAGAGAGGGTTGGTTTAAAAAAAAAAAAAAAAAAAAAAAAAAAGACCAGTCACCATTATTGGTAATACAGGTAGATTCCGCATCCCTGGGAGACTTGAGAACTCCATGGAAGGAGAGACCTAATAGAAATGGATTACAAAATGATCCTGCTTTGTGTTTAAGCAGCCTGAGTCTCACAGGATCAGTCTGAACTCTAATGGGTTTCTCTATGGTTTCATTCCTCTGTCTTAGAAAATGATTGTTCAGGCACTGAATCCAGCCTTTTGGATAATCTGAAAGGAAAAAAAAAACAACCAAAACTTAAGTCTTAAGCTCATAATTCTACTTTCTGAAATACAGAGTGTGTTTGCTAAAGATTTCATAATCTTTTTTCAAGTGTAGAATTGTTTAAGAATAGTGTAAGGGCCTGCAGAGTTTGGTTAATAGAATTTATAGCATGCGAGTCAGGCAAAGACCAAATTTCATGGAAAAACTTCTGAAGCAAAGTTGTTAGAAATTCAGATTAGATTCAAGTGTGCCAGATCAACTACTGAGAAATGCTATATAGTGCTTCCCTGTTAGAAGAATCTGCTTAGAATTAATGTTGTTATTTTCTTATGTAGTGGAGAACTGATTTTGAGTTTGAGTCCAAGTACATTTTCCAGATGTAATCATTTTACCTAAGTAAATGAAAATATGGCTGTGTTTGGGACTCAAAGTTACATTGAGAATGTCTTTAGCAGCAGTTTGATGTTCAGTCAAGAATACTCTAGCAGCTGAATTCCAAGGAGTCTGGAGAATTTCAGGAATCAAGGAGAAAACAGTGAGATTTGAGAGTTGGGAGATTTACATGTGTGGGATCATGTGCTTTAAATTTGTTGCATAGTCATTTTCCATACATGTGTAATATATGTAAATGTACATATGTATAAATACATTTCATAAAGTGAGCAAAATATACAAATATTACACTGATGTGTGGCTGGCAAGTGCTAGAGGTTGAGATGGGAGATGTTAATAAGCTATTTGCTCACTACAGTATCATTGAGGGAAATAAAATACCTTATATATCTTTGTTATTTCCCCCCAGGTGCATTGAACATTGAAAGGTCTCATCAGCAGGTGGGATCGTTTACTGAGCTTGGTTGAATGGGCATGGTGGTGCGCCTGTAGTCCCAGCTACTTGGGAGGCCGAGGTGGGAGAATCACCTGAGCCCAGGGAGGTCTGGGCTGCAATGGACAGTGATTGTACCACTGCATTCCAGCCTGAGAGACGGAATGAAACTGTCTCATTAAAAAAACAAACAAAAACAAAACAAAACAAAACTGTTCTTAAAAGTGAGTGTTCCAAAGAGCATTTTAGATAATGCAAATGGATATATCGTTATAAATTCAGGAGACTCCTTAATATTTTGCCATTTGTTTATGATGACATGGAGCGGGTCAGAGCAGTTGCACGTTGTGGATGGCCTGATTAAGAAAAGCAGCTCTCTTCCCCTTGAGGTGGAAGAAGAGAGGGAAGCTTTGTCAAATGTTAAATTACCTGCCCCATCTTCCTGACTCCCAAGACTTGGTATGATACATAGTTTTCAATATTCATTACCCATTTTGAGTATCTCCTCCCTGGTCCTGCTATGGAACTATGTGCCCTGACCAAGAGTGATGGGGGTACCCTAGTTTTGTGACAGACCTGTTTCCACATTGTTTCACATGTGATACAGTAGATTTTAGCAACTCTTTGGCTTCTTCCTGGCAGTGGTTAATGGTGCAATGAAAATATTAGAAAATAAAAACCATTCTGTGGAAAATTGGGAGCAAAATTCTCATTAATCCAAAAACAACAATAGCTAGCATATTTCCCCCAGACCCCATGATGTAGACATGTTTGTCTCTCATTGTTTAAATACAACCCTTCTTAACCAAGGGCAAGCATGCTGTGCCTTTCTCCTCTCCCATTTGGACATAAAGCCTGTTATTGTTGATTGTTCTGTGGTTGGGTCACTTGAAAATGAGATTTCATTTAAGTAGAACATTTTCATTACAGGATAACAGGCCTCTTTAATTTTGTACTTTTAGAGGGGCTAGGGAAACATTCATATTTACTGTCAATTTTCCCCTTCAGAGTCCTGAAGAGGCAGGGGAGGAGTCGTTAGAGAAGAGGTGATCATGATATACCTCTTTATTGGTGAGCCATAAAAAAACAGAAAAAGAACACAGAAAGTAGGCATTTACAGTAGTAAAAGCCTTTTGCAAATTATGTATGTGGTAGTTTTAACTGACCTTGGAAGTTGTAACTTTGATGTGCAAAGTAAGTCTCGGTGTATGCTTTTACATCAGAATGTGGCCTTTAAGAATAATGATCATCTATTGAATTTACAAAATACCTTCCCACAGGCCTAGTTCAGCTCTTTCTTGGTGGGGAGCAAATGAATTGACACTCTGTCTCTAGCCTTAGGGAAGTTACCACCCAGTGACTATAGAACAGGATTCTATTCCCGTTCTGTTCTCACTTATATGATCACTTCTTTCAAAGATCTCATAGAACTATTTAAATTCCAGTTGGGTTAGTCTTTTGTGCATTTCGATTTTATTTAATTATAATACATTTTAAATATTTCTTTGCCCCTTATTGTTAGCCTTTTCACTTGTTCCCTTTCTGATTCATCCAGTTCCTTTTACCTTATCTTAGCAAAATATTGTAATGCTGCTGAGAACCAGAAATAACTAGAACAATTAACTGAGAGTAATCTTACAGGGCAGGAAAAAGAAGGCGAGGTCCAAGGTTAGGTTGAACCCAAAGACAAGTGGGCACCGATGGGTGTGATCGCCACTTGGGGCAGTGCTTTTCTTCCCTTCTGGGTGGGCTTGTCTGTTGCCCATTTTCCGCTCTGCTTTTTGGAGCAGCAGACACAGTTGAGGCAGGGAGGGCAGCCTCTCAAGCCCAACCTCTCTCAGGAGCGGACATTTGAGCTGAGACCTGAAGGGTGAGGTGGATGTGGCTGTCCTAAGGAGGCAGGGAAGGGAGTTTCAATACAAAGGAGGGCCTGGGAAGCTAGAAATGAGTCTCCTAGCTTATTTTAGACAGTCGTTGGTTTCAAGAGACTAACAGTTTAGGTTGGTTGTCAAGGTTTTTCTATACCTTCATCGAAACTTCCTCATATCAGTTGACAAAAGCCAGTGAGCTGCTCAGTGGACCCACTGCTGCTTCCTTCGGTTTAACCAGCACTTTCGACCTGAGATCTGCTCCAGCTGACCTTGAAGGGACCTGTTTAACCCATCCTGTGGCTAACCTCAACTAATATCAGCGCTGGGCACTCACTTCTTCTATGTTTGTTTAAAAAAAAAAAAAAAAACTGGTCAGGCTGATTTCGAGAACATTCTCGTACAACGAGTATAATTCTCAGGTTGTAATTTCCCTTGTCAGTTACGAATGATCCTCAGAAGTCAGTCCTGCAACAGCAGTGACAAACTGATTCCTGGTTATTTGCCAATTACCTTTTTAAAACTTAGGCTCAGTTTTATAATTAGATCAGCCCTGAAGGGAAACTCCTTACTAGATGTGCTGCATTAGACTTAATTTGCATGGAATATTAACAGTATCTGGAGGCTTACTTTCCCTTGTATGCATGTGACCACATAACTGTTCGGCTAACATTAAGTTTTAAGTGCTTTTATTTTAAATATCAGCCTTCGGGGGGAATAATCAAGACCTAACAGAAGGGAAAATTAGGCTTATGACATTATCATACAAAAAAGAGAACATTATAAACCGGAAAGAGAAACAGTAAAATAAAAATCTTCCCAAGTGCATATGGTAAATAAAAAAGAATGATTGCTGTGATTACTAAAACGACCAACTCCAAATTGAGAAAATAAAGGCTTTTGGTTGAAAAGAAGGGGGTGGTTTGATTCCCTACCAACTAGAAAAGGGAAAGTCTCTTGAAGCAGAGCAATTTCCTTGAGACTTTATTTTTATTTATTTATTTATTTTGAGATGGAGTCTCTATCGCCCAGGCTGGAGTGCAATGGTGCGATCTCCACTCACTACAACCTCTGCCTCCTGGGTTCAAGCGATTCTCCTGCCTCAGCCTCCTGAGTAGTAAAGTGAGGGATTACAGGTGGAGACCACCATGTCTGGCTAATTGTTCTATTTTTTTTTTTTTTAGTAGAGAACAGGGTTTCTCCATGTTGGCCAGGCTGATCTCGAATTCCTGACCTCAGGTGATCTGCCTTCCTTGGCCTCCCAAAGTGCGATTACAAGCTTGAGCCACCATGCCTGGCCTCCTTAAGACTCTTTAATGAAAATAGATGATGTAGCATGTCCTTGCTTTCTTCAGTGTGAAACAATTGTCTCAAGGATTTTGATTGACCTGTGAAAGCATCCACATTGAAATGGTATTACATAAGGTAAAAAACGTTACAAAACTCGGGAGAAGGAAGACTCTAAAGTTATTCCTATTGATTGAATAGGGAATTCTAGAAGGATGTTACCAAGTTCTCACTCCATTTGGGGACAGCACTACCGACTGTATGTGACACCAGGGTAGTTTTACTGGTGTGAACATCGATTTTGGAAAGACAGGTCTTGTTCAGGTGTATGAAAAATAATTATGCCTTTGTGGGACTTGTCAACACTTTTCAGAGACAGAGCAGCATAGAATATAAAAAACTGTCCACCATTTTCTATGAAGTGACTCCAATTATATAAAGTGGTGCTGATTATAGGGGTACTATTTTCTCTTGGATTTTGGTATCGCTTACACAGTCGTTTCCTCTTAAACACAAGGGATATGCTCCCAGATTCTCATTGGATGCCTGAAGCCACAGATAGTCCCAAACCCTAATATATATTATAGTGTTTTTTTGAATATATACTTATCTATGATAAAGTTTATCAGGCACAGTTAGAGATTACCAACAATAACCAATAATAAAATGGAATAGTTATAACAATATACTGTAATAAAAGTTACGTGAAACTGATCTCTCTCTCTCTAACTCTCTCAAAATACCTTATTGTATTGTACTCGCCTGTTTACTGACCATGGTTAACCTGAGGTAATGGAAACTGCAGAAAGTGAACCGCTGATAAGCGGGACTACGGCATATAGTTAATGGGAATACTACCGTAAAATCTGAGGAATGGTGTGTGAAGCCTTTGAAAAATGAATGAACAGGCTCATGCCTGTAATCTCAGCACATTGGAAGATCAAGGCAGGTGGATCATCTGAGGTCAGGAGTTCGAGACCAGCCTGGCCAACATGGTGAAACCCTGTCTCTACTAAAACTACAAAAAAATGAGCCGGGCATGGTCTTGCATGCCTGTAATCCCAGCTACTCAGGAGGCCGAGGCAGGAGAATTGCTTGAACCCGGGAGGCAGAGGTTGCAATGAACGGAGATCACGCCACTACACACCAGCCTGGGCAACAGAGCAAGACTCCGTCTCAAAAAACAAAACGAAAAGCTGAAAAGGGAAGTGGAAAGACTTCCTAAATGCCCGCTTTGGATGCCTCACAACTGTGTCCCTCTGCCCATCCCTCCTTTATGAAACAACCTCAATATGCCGAAAAAGTGGAGCTGATCTTGAAATGCCTGTGAATGGTGAGGGGAGGAGCAGTTAAGTATCTGGTGAGACTACAGACAAGGGGGAGGCAACAAGGAAGTTGGACACAGAAGCAGCCGAGGTTCACCCCTAAGCCCCTGACACTAACAGATGCCACATGTATGCGGCGGTTCAGATCTGCCATTTAGGGCAACAGGCCTAGATCAAAGCGTTGAGGAAAAACACCAGTAGGCAGGTAGGACTTGGTGTCTAAAGTGAGGGCAACACACATCAGGAGATGCTGTAGGCAAGAGTAGACACTGAGGAAGTTGGACAGAAAAGCAGCTCAAACACATCCCTGCCCTTGGCCTTGCACGGGCCTACTCGCCAAGGAGTTCAGACAGGTGCCCAGAGGCTTTTCCACCAGTGTGGGCTCAGGAGAGGACGGGTAGCTGTCTTCTCCCTCCCTCTCCTCCTGGTCCCCTCTGCCCTGATGGCCAGGCCCAGGGCACGGCAGTGAAGGAGGAGGTAAACAGATCTTATTTATTATTGAAAGCAAAGGACCATAACCACTTAATTACACAATCATTTAGAAATTTGCTGTACTTAAAACGTACAACATTTACTTAAAACATTTAACATGACCTGTCTTTCCAAAATCGATATGACAGAGTCCTGACTCAGATGGTGTCTGATTAGCGCTACTGCTTTTAAAGTGTTATCATCATTATATTACATTGTGTTCTCACTTAAATATGACAGCTGTCTTAGCTTGGGCTTCCATCACAAAATACCATAGGCCGAGTGGTTATGCAAGAGAATTTTCTCATAGGTCTAGAGGCTGGAAGTCCAAGATGAAGGCGTGCGCCACTTTGCTTCCTGGTAAGGGCTCTCTTATTGGCTTGTAGATGACTGCCTTCTCTCTGTGTCTCCATATGGCTGAAAGAGAAAGCAAGCTCTGTTGTCTCATCTTTTTTAAAAAAAATATTGAGACAGGTCTCACTCTGTTGCCCAGGCTGGAATACAGTGGTGCAATCATGGCTCACTGCAGCCTAGACCTCCTGGGCTCAAGTGATCCACCCATGTCAGCCTCCTGAGTAGCTGGGACTACCGGTGTGCATCACCATATCAAGTTCATTTTTTAATGTTTTGGAGAGACAGGGTCTCATTGTGTTTCCCAGGCTGGTCTGGAACTCTTTGGCTCAAATGATCCTCTTGCCTCGGCCTCTCTCTGCTGGGATTACAGGCATGAGCCACCACACCTGGCCTCTTGTATTTCTTCTTGTAAGGGCGCTAATCCCATCACGAACATCCCACCACATGATCTCATGTAAACCTAGTCACCTGCCAAAGGCCCCATTTTCAAATACCATCACACTAAGGAGTTAAGGCTTCAACATAGGAATTTTGGGAGGAAATAATCCAGTCCATAGCAACAGTTTTTGAGCCACAGACGTTTTATGTGTATGAAAGTAATATGTTTTCAAAATGAACAAATATGACGTAAAGTGTCCTAGGTTTACTTAACTTTTAGGTAAAATTATAAATTTACTAGCTTATTTTGTGTTTATGAAAAATTAAACCAAACAAACTCCCAAGTCCCAGGAGGGGCTTTATGGGTTTTCCGTAGACCTTTAGGCATCATCCCTGGAGGCTGTGTTACTGTTAAGTGAAAGTAGGAAGGCACGAACCCTCGGTTGGGAAAGAAGTCTGGTCCCTGGGGAGGAGGTTAGTGCAGCAAGGTTGGGCCCCAGTCTCAGAAGAGCTTTGCATGCCACCAGTTTGGCATGCCACCAGTTGTCCAGAAAGAAGGGTTTGAACCCCTGTTTGACTCAAGAACCAAGGCATGTGTATCAGTTTCTCAGGGTTGCTATAACAAATCACTACAAGCTAGATGGTTTAAAACAACTGAAATTTACCGTCTCACAGTCCTGGAGGTTAGAAGTCTGAAATCTGAAATCTGAAAGCTAAAAGTCTGGAGGGCAATTCTCCCTGTTAAAACCCATAGGGGAAAACTCTCCCTTGCCTCCTCCCAGCTTCCAACGGTGGGATTCCTTGCTTTGCAGCTGCATCTCTGCAGTCTCTCTTTGCTGTCACATTTTCACATTGTGTTAAGAGGACAATAGCCATATGGAATTAAGGACCTGCCCTATCTCAGTATAACCTTGTCTTAAGTCATTATATCTGCGATGAGCCTATTTTCAAATAAGATGTGAAGTTTTGGGGCTGAGACTTTAACATATCTTCTTTGGGGTACCACCATTCGGCCCTTAATTGTATGGTAGCAAGCTTTATGTCTGTAGTGTGGGTGAGAGTAGTATGGTTGTCAAGCAGTAGGGTAAGAAAGGGAAGGAAAGGATCACAAAAATCAAATGACTCATACTGTATTAGATACTTGGAACTCTCCAGCCTCGAGACTCAATGATAAAGATTCACCGACGACCTGGGGAAGCCCTCTTAATTCGGCAGGGATAATCAAGTACCTCCTGTGCCAGAGGTCCCTCACTGGAAATGTTTAAAAAGTTACATCATTTATTCTTACCAGCCCCCAAACTCCCTTTTAAAAAGCCCTCAGCTGGGCACGGTGGCTCAGCATTTTGACACTTGTGATCTCAGCATTTTGGCAGGCTGAGGTGGGCAGATCCCTTGAGCCCAAGAGTTTGAGACCAGCCTGAGCAACATGGGGAAACCTCGTCTCTACCAAAAAAAAAAAAAAAAGAAAAAAAAATTAGCTGGGTGTGGTGGTGCAAGCCTGTAGTCCCAGCTACTTGAGAGGCTAAGGCAGGAGGATCAATGAGCCTGGGAGGTTGAGGCTGCAGTGAGCTGTGACCGTTCCACTGCACTCCAGCCTGGATGACAGAGTGTGATTGTGTCAAATAAAAGTAAAAGACTCAGCAGAATGTACTCACTCTGCTTAGGTTGAAAGGAAGTTACAACTTTCCTTTCCTGGGGAGAGTTTTCTTAGCACTGCTGAGATGTGAGTATTTCAGTGTTTTACTTGAAGTTTCTTATGTTCGATGTTGCCATATGAAATACAGGGATGGCTGCAGTGATCGCTGTAGATAGCTGCGGGTTAAGAACAGAAGTAATTAAACTTACCGTCCAAAATGCAGCAATTAAAAACCGAGGAAAGGTATTCCAAATGTTATGCTTATTTCTGACGAATGCTTTTTTGATGCTTCCCTTAAATGCTTTGCCATTTGGTTTGGAAGACTTTCTAGGCATCTTTGCCACCTAATTATGGACTATTTCCAAAGCTTTTGAAGAGGTGCCGTAAACGGCAGATAGATAGTTGAGAAAGCGCTTGTTTTTACATGGTTTGATCTTGCTCATTAAGGATTGGAATGTAAAATGGGCCATTTAACAATCTAAGATCCTTGCCAATAATTTTCCAAGGCAGATGTGTTATGTGATTTTGATTATGTAAAGTTACCACATCATAAAGTCATAACTGTGGAAAGTTCACATTTGCAAAAAATGTGAAATTGGGTGATTTCTCTTTCTTCAAGAATTTGGTTTTTGCACTTTGTTTTCCAAACCTTTGTAGAGTTAATGAGCATCAAAAGTATTATGTAAACAAGAAGGTGTAAAATGTAGCTTTGAAATATAGTAAGAAAATATCTTCCACTATTTGAAAATTCAGGCCATAGCAGGTGTAATAACCTACAGCAAAAAGCTTCTTCCTATTTTTCTCTTGTCCCAGATTGCATAAAAAATGTGAGAGAACATCTGGATAAGCTATAGAAGAAGGAAATGCCAGGCCCCTCCCTGCTGCCCTGGCCCACACCTTTTAGTGTCTTAGAAATAGCACAAAGTAATTTAGGACTGCACACTTGTTTAAATCTGAGAAGCTTTGCAAAACACAGTCAAATCCAGAAATGCTAAAGAAAGTGCCTTTATGAGGCTCCTAGTCAACAGAATACAATTTTTATTTTATACTTAAGGTGTCCTCATGCTGTACTAAAAAAGTTCATTTTGGCATATTAGTGAAGGGACACATTTTGACTTGGCTTTTTCAATTGCAAAGTATTTTGGGTAGTAAGTAATATCAGCCTTTCCTTCAGCAATAGGAATTAGTAGTTTTAAAGAATTTTGTTCTCACTGGAGCCCTCCAATTTGATTGGCTGAAGTTTCTGAAAATGACAATTGCAGGCTGAATTCTGGAGGTTTATGAAGACTTGTTTTCTATTTTAGTCTAGAAAAGATACATTTGGGTTAAAATGTAAGCTACAGCTATTAGACACATCCAAGAGACCCGCCTGTTAGAATGTCTGGAATCTAAAACACAGCACCAGCAAGGATGTGGAGCAACAGAAACTCCATTCATTGCTGGTGGGAGTGCAAAATGGTATAGCCACTTGGGAAGACAGTTTGGCAGTTTTTTTTTTCCAAAGCTAAACATAGTCTTAGCATATAAGCGAGCAATCAAGATCATTGATATTTCAACATAAGTTGAAAACTTAGGTGCACACAAAAATCTCATGAAATGCTTATAGCAACTTTATTCATAATTGCCAAAATTTGGAAGTAACCAAAATGTCCTTCAGGAGATGCATGGATAGACCAACAGTGGTGTGGTCATACAAATGGTCTGTTACAAGTGTGCTAACATTAGATACATATCATTATACAATTGTCAAAACCCAGCGAGCTCCAATGAAAACAATGGACTTTAGTTAATAACATGTCAATATTGGCTCGTCAGTTGTAACAAATGTACCAAACGGATACAAGATGGAAATAAAAGGGGGAAACTGTAGGGAGGCGGGTGTCTGGGAAATCTCCATAGTTTATGATCACTTTTTTGGTAACCCTAAAACTGTTCTTAGTCTGTTTTTCAAAAAGAGCCATTAAGGTGTGAGAAGACCTGGAGGAAGCTTGAATGCATATTGTAGTGAAAGAAGCCAGTCTGAAAAAGCTACTATGTAGTTCCAACTATATGACATTCTGGAAAAGATAAAACTATAGAGACAGCAAAATGATCAGTGGTTTTGGTGGTTTTGTGGGGGAGGGATAAAATAGTTGAAGAACAGGGGATGTTTAGAGCAGTAACATTATGCTGCCTGATACTGTAATGGTGGGTACACCTCATTATACATTTGGCAGAACCCACAGAATTGTATACCACAAAGAGTGAATCCTAATGTAAAGTTAATAATAGTGTGTCCATATTGGTTCATCAGTTGTAACAAATATACCACACCAATGCATGATGTTAATAATGGGGGAAACTGATGGGGGTGGTTGGGAATATATGGGAACTCTGTACTTTTTCTCTCACTTCTCCTGTAAGTCTAAAATTGCTCTAAAAATTAAACTCTATTAATTTTTTTAAATTAGCAAGAAATTATATGAAACTCAAGTTTCAGTCTTTACAAATAAAATTTTACTAGAACACACACACATACACACACACACACACACACACACACACACACACACACACACACACACAGAGACGTGGGAACTTGGATGGCTAATCTTCTCTGGCAACCTAACTGTGGCTACCCACAACTGTGCACAGTCAAAGCTGGAAAGTCTTCATTCGGCCCGTGTTGGCCTGGATGGGTAGAGGCCTGCCCAGTTTTTCCACGTTGCTCTGCCATAGCATCCATGGGGCTACACTCATTCTATGTTGAGATCTTTAGGATGTCGGACTCCCCTGATCCCTGAGTCTCTTGTTGACTTACACACAACTTTGATTCTATGCCTGGCCTACTGGGCGTCTCAGAATTTCTCATCTTTAAAATGAGACTCACGTGCTTACTCCTTCTCTGTCATTTTTTCTAATTCAATTTGCATACCCCACAGGGATGCTTTTGAGAGAATGATACATTAGAAGCATAGGTTTCCTTACTGGACAAAATGGAGCTCCTGAAAGAAGGGCTTGATTGAGATGAGTGGATTTGGAGCTGATGTCAAATCAGGTTAGTAGCATTTTGAGGCATAGGTACTTTTACAGCTGGAAAACAACCATAATTAATTATTTGATGCAGTTTTATGCCATTAGGGCTGGAGTAGGGGGCTGGTGTCAAAGTCCACAAATCTCCAAGTTTAACAATGTATATAACATAATGGAAATAATCTGAGTTGTAAAGGCAGATATGCCTCGGTTTGCATTTCACATCTCCAATACCAGGCAGCTGAGTGCCTTTAGGCAGGAGTTGAGCCTCTCTGAAGCTTAGTTTCCATATCTATGAAATGGGAACAGCTATACCTGCTTCATAGTTACCTACGAGGATTCAAACAGACAACACATAACAAATGTCTTATATGGGTCCTGGCATAGCACCAGTTACAGCTTCTGAACAGGTTTCATTTTGAGTACAATGAACTGCCAGTTTTGTTTTTTCCTTCTTGAATGTCTCAGAAGAAAGTCTAATCTGTCCTACTTTTGTCCTAACTCAGATGACCAGGAAAACGTTTTTTAATGTCAAACTAAACGGTTTTTTTCGATTTAAGTCTCTTTCATTTGTCCTGTATCCTCTGGGCATGCTCTCAAAAGTCTTTACAGAAGGTGGCAATTAAACTACTCTCTTGATTTCCCGTAGATTGAATAACTCCAATTACTTGGACCTATTAGAATAAGAGCTGTTTAATATTCCTTTGAGAATGTGCCTTCCCTCTCTCCAGTTTCTCCTTGGTCTCTTAGAAATAAGTGGACCAAAATGGAATACAGTCTTTCCTATGGGACTGACTGACACAGAGGGTGCCAGAAAGATCACTTCCCAGGCCTTTGCATGCTGTGTTTGGTTTACTTTGTCTTTTTGTGTTCTTTTTCTTTTCCTCCCCCCATATTGTTGACTCCTATCCTGACCTTCTGTTTGTCCTGCTTTTCTTTTTTTGTCCTTAAAAAATATTGCTTATTGGAATTCGGTACAGTGGTCATGCATGTAATCCCAGCACTTTGGGAGACTGAAGCGAAGAGATTGCTTGAGCCAGGAGTTCAGGACTAGCCTGGGCAGCATGGCGAGACCCAAAAAACAAAAAAAAAAAGCCTATTGATTAAGACTGAAAGCTCTGGAATTGGACTCCTTGGGTTTGAATCCTACCTCTATTACTTAGCAACAGCGTCCTTGCTCAATTCACTTAAATTTTCTGAAGCTTAGTTTCCCGATCTGTAAAATGCAGTGAACACTGTTGATACGGTTTGGCTCTGTGTCCCCACCCAAATCTCATCTCAAATTGTAATCCCCATGTATCAAGGGAGGGACCTGGTGGGAGGTCACTGGATCATGTGGGCAGTTTCCCTCATGCTATTCTCATAATAGTGAGGGAGTCCTCATGAGAGCTGATGGTCTTAAAAGTGGCAGTTTCCCTTGAGCCTTCTCGCTCCTGCCACCATGTAAGATGTACCTTACTTCTCCTTGGCCTTGCGCCATGATTACAAGTTTCCTGAGGCCTCCCCAGCCATGTGGAACTGTGAGTCTATTAACCTCTTTCCTTTGTAAATCACCCAGTCTTGGGTAGTATCTTTATAGCAGTGTGAGAACTGACTAATACAACAGTATCTACTGCAAAGGTGTAAGGACTTAATGTATTGATGTATGTAAAGTTCTCAGAGCAATGTCAGCACACAGTGCTCAACAAATACTAGCTCCTTTTTATCTTATTTTGAAATCATTTTAGACTCGCAAGAAGTTGAAAAAAATAGTACAGAGAGTTCCCAGGTTCCTTCTCCCAGCTTTCTCCAGTGATAACATCTTTCATAGTTATAGTACTTTATCAAGACCAAGACATGGATATTGTTTCAACACTATTAACTGAACTACTGACTGTATTCAGATTTCACTAGTTTTTTCATCCTGCTTTATTTTTTTAAAGGTAGGAGGTCTTGCTCTGTCACCCAGGTGCTGCAGTGCAGTGGTGTAACCATAGCTCACTGCAGCCTCGAACTCCTAGGCTCAAGTGATCCTCCCACCTGAGCCTCCAACGTAGCTGGGACTATAGGTGCATGCCACCATACCTGGCTAATTTTTTTATTACGTTTTTCGAGACAGGTCTCGCTTTGTTGCCCAGGCTGGCCTTGAACTCCTGGCCTCAAGTGATCCTTCTGCTTCAGCCTCTCTTAAGTTCTGGGATTACAGGTGTGAATCACCATGCCTGGCCTTATGCTTGCTTTTTTGTGTTTGTGTGTGTGTATAGTTTTATGAAATGTTATTACCTCTCTAGATGTGTGTAACTACTGCCAGAGTAGGGATACCAAGTTGTTCCATTTCCAGGAACTAACTTCCTTGTGCAATCTTTTTATAGTTACGCCCTCTTTTCATCCCTAACTCGCTCCCCTTCCAGCAGCCGTGGATCCATCCATGCTCCGTCAGTTTTTGAGAATGCCACATAAGTGGAATCTTAACTTTGGAGATTGATCTTTTTCACTCTCTATAATCTTGAGATCCATCCATCTGGTTTGTGTATTAGTGGTTGATTGCTTTTTGTTGCCAATTAGTATATATGCCATTAAATGGATGGATGGTAGTTTGTTTACTCTCTGAAAGACATTTGGGTTGGTGTCAGTTTCTTGGCTATTACAAATAAAGCTGCTGCGAAAACTGATGTACATTTTATGTGAGAATGTTTTCATTTCTTGAGGATAAATACCCAAGGGTATGACTGCTGAGTCATATGCTAGCTGTAAGTTTAACTTTTTAAAAAACTGTCAAATTGTTTCCGTTAGTGGTTGTACATTTCACATTCCCACCAGCAATGTGTGAGGGACCCAGTTCCTCTACATGCTTGCCAAAATTTAGTATTATCACTATTTTTTATTCTTGCCATTCTAATAGGTGTGTAGTGGTATCTCATTGAGGTTTTAATTTGTGTTTTCCTCTGGCTAAGGATGTACTTACTCACCACCCATATTCTCTTTGGTGAAGGTCTGTCTGTTCAAGTCTTTTGCACACTAAAAAACTTAGATTGTTTACTATTTAGTTTAGCAAGTTATTTAAATATACTGAAAGCAAGTCCTTAGTCAGACATGTATTTTGCAGACATGTTCTCACTTTCTGTTGATTATCTTTTCATCCTATTCCCAAGATACTTTGTGGAAAACAAATTTATAATGAATTGAAATTTTTATGTTACTGATCATGCTTTCAGTGTCATGCCTAAGATTTCTTTGCCTAACCCTAAGTTACAAGGATTTTCTATGTTTTTTCTAAAGGTTTTATATTTTTACATTTACCATTTTACATTGAGATCTAGGATCCATTTTGATCTAATTTTTGTTAAAGGTGTGGTTTAGATTGTAAATTTTTTTTTTCCTTCCCCTTTGGGCCTCAGGATAGCCAGTTGTTCCGACACCATTTCTTGAAAACAGTCTCCTTCCTCCATTCAGTTGCTTTTTAAATCTTTGTTAAAAAATAAATGTGCTGGCCATTCTTACGTAAAGCTATTTCTGGGTTCTGTAATCTGTTCCATTGATCTATGGACCTTTTTCTCTGCAAATACCATGCTGTGTTGATTACTATAGTTACACAGTAAGTCTTAAAACTGGGTATTGTGATTCCTCTGACTTTATTCTTCTTTTTCAAAATTGTTTTAACTTTTTAGTTCTGTTTCCTTTCCATATAAATTTTAGAAGAAGCCTGTGTATATCTACAAAAAATCTTGCTAGGATTATCTGTTAATTTAAATGTTAATACTTTCTTCATCCTGTATGTGTTTTATTGTCTCAGTTTAAAGCTCTTTAAATCTTTGCAAATAACTTTTGAAAAGGCTTTAGAGATTATTTAGCCTGATTGCAACATTTTACTATGGAGAAAATGTAGACTTTTTTTGGGGACAGATTGAGTGAAGTTAGGTGACTTGCCCAAGATTACCCAGGAAACTAACTGGCTTAGGATGAATTCCCCAGCCTCAAACTCCTTGTTCTGTAGGATTTTCCACTTGCCTTAAGGCCCCCTCTCTTAAGCCTACTGAATCTTACTTCTTTTTCGTACATTTTCTAGTTTGTTTAAAGAGATTGTTTAGAATTTCACTGTTGTGTTGCAGAGACAGCATGATCCGCTATAGTATAGAGTCAGCTTGGGAACTTGTTAAAACTGCAGATTCCTATACTCCAGCCCTGGATATTCTAATTCAGTAAGCAAGGTGTGAGGCTCAGGCACCTCAAATTACTGTGATAGAAGTGAGCTGTGGGCCACCTTTTGAGAAACCTGGGATGATAAAAGAGAAACACAGGCCTTGGAGTCAGATAGACCTGGAGTCAACTCCTGACTTTTTAATTTACTTATATAATAGCTCTATGCTTCAGTTTCTTCATGTATAAAATGAGGAGAATGACATTTGTTTTACGTTTTCTTACTGTTTAAACACAGCATGTATGAAGTTTGTAGCATTAAACTTGGTACCCCAAATCAGTGAATGCTACTTCCTTTCTTTTCTTCCTCCTTAATAGACTGCAGTTTAATGCCTATTGGAGGAAGAAACAGCGTGATGTGTGTCACAGACCACCCCACGTCCCTCCTGGTCACTGGGAAGACTATACTTTACAGTCCCTCTCCATCTAGGTAGGGTTGTGATACTCTTTCTGGCCAATGGAATGTGAATGGAACTGACTCGTGTCCCTTCCTGGCTGAGATGGTTCAGTCGTTGATTAGGCTTATCTTTTGTTCCTCTGCATCTACTAGCTGGGTGATAGCAGGATGACAGTGAAGCAAGAAGATGGTGAAACCGGCTGGGTGCAGTGGCTCACGCCTGTAATCCCGGCATTTTGGGAGGCCGAGGTGGGCGGGTCACGAGGTCAGGAGATTGAGACCATCCTGGCCAATATGGTGAAACCCCATTTCTACTAAAAATAGAAAAATTAGCTGGGCGTGGTGGTGTATGCCTATAATGCCAGCTACTTGGGAGGCTGAGGCAGGAGAATCGCTTGAACCCGGGAGGCGGAAGTTGCAGTGAGCTGAGATCTCGCCACTGCACTCCAGCCTGGGCAACAGAGCGAGACTCTGTCTCAAGAAAAGAAAAAAAAAAAACAAGAAGATGGTAAAAGTACAAGATGGAAGGAAGTAGCCTGATCCTCTGAGTCACCATTTGGGGGAGACTCCAAACTCCATTAACACATGAGAGTGATTCAAAAGAGAACTAAAGCTTTGTTGTTTTAAACCACTGAGATTTGGGGGCATGTGTGCAGTACTTAGTGTTAATTACTCCAATTAATATACTGTGTTGGCTATTTTTAAACACTTAAAATTATCTTTTGAATATTATCTTTGTTCTATGTTCTAAATGCTTTATGGTTTATACTAGCTACAGGAAGTACATAAAGACATGTAAGCAGTTCAGTAGGAGATAAAAGCATGATGAGATCTTCACTGGTGGAGAATACAAAATTTTTTAAATCCAGAATATTTTTGTGGGTTTTATGTATATAATCTCAAACATCAGAGGCAGGTCTCTTAGCCAGGTGAAAGTCAAGATAATAATCCCTTGACAATAAGGGCTATCAGGAACCAGAGGTAGTAGATGGTAGATAATCTCAGAGGGGCTACACTGTTGAAGAGGTGGTCCAAATAGTCTAGGGACCGATGGTGGGCATTCTACCACTAGGAGAATGGTGCTGGGCACTAGAAGAAAAGACAAAGGGTTTAGCACGTAATTTACTATGCCACTGCTCATTATAAAATAGAAGATTCTTGTGTTCCATGGAGTAGCTGCCCGGGGACCGGATCTAAAATATTTCGCCATTTGCCTCCAGTGATCTCCTAGACCTTGTAAGATGAGCCTCCTTCATAGGCACAGGCTTAAGTACATGATTCATTAATACAAGAGAGAAATCATCTTAGGTCATTAGATCATTAAGAGGGACCATTATTTCCCCACTTTCAGTGAATAGATGAAAAGCCCATTCTGGCTTAGAGATTTCCCCTCCGAAAGGATTTATTATCAATAGGTCCTAAGTAGTTTCTGATTCATGAATTCTTTAAAAGTTTATTGGTTAATATCCAAACACCTGGGGATTTTCCAGTCATCTTTCTGTTATTCTGGCTCAATTTTACTGAGGTCTGTGAACCTACTCTGTGTAATTTCAATTCTTAGAGATTTGTTAAGTACTGCTTTCTGGCCCAGCATGTAGTTAATTGTTGTAAACATTCTATTTACTCTTGAAAATAATTCACATTCTACAGTTGGTGGATATAGTATTGAAGAGTGTTAATAGTATTGTTCAATTCTTAAAAAATGTGACAGGATATTTTATGCTGTTTATGAGATTGACTTCTCAAATTCAGGTTATAGAGAGGTTAAAAGCAAAAGTATAGAAACATTTTTGTTCAAAATATCTTCACAGATTGTTTTTCCTGTTTCCTCTGTGAACCCCAGAGAAAGGTATATTAAAATATCTATGATTAAGGATTATTATTACTTCTCCCTTTAATTCATCCACTTTTTTCTTTGTCTCAAGGACATGTTATTATATGCATACAGCTTTAGAATTGCTATATCAATCTGATGACAGTGGTTCTTCCCTTAAAGTCTAGTTTGATTAAGCTTTCCCAGTTTCTGTTTGGTTAGTATTTGCATATGTTTTTTAACCCTTTACTGTCAAATATTCTATATCCTTATGTTGAAGGTATGCCTCTTTTTTATTTACTTTACTTTAAGTTCTGGGATACATGTGTGGAATGTGCAGGTTTGTTACCTACGTATACATGTGCCAGGGTGGTTTGCAGTACCTATCAACCCGTCATCTAAGCAGCATACTTCAATTTTATTTTATCTACTGTGTCAATCTTTGTCTTGTAATTGGGGTATCTATTGGCCTTTAATAGAATTACAGATTTAGCTTTCAATCTACCATCTTACTACTTAATTTCTATTTTTCTCACCCATTTCTTGTTTCTTTTTTTCTCCTTTCTTGCCTTATTTTCAGTTAAGTATTACTTTTTTATTTCCCCCCTCTTTATTAGCTTATTAATTACACATTATTTTACATTCTTGTAGTGGTTACATTAGAGAGTGTGTATTTATCTTTGACTTACTAAAGGCTAATTTAAAGTAGTACTTTTACCACTTCCTGGACAATGCAAGGGCTTTAAAATACTTTTAACTCCATTTATACCCCTTTCAAATTTATATGCTACTATCCTGAATAACTTCTAGGTAACAGTAAAATGTAGTAATAGGAATGGGAAGTGATGAATCTTGAATATTTAATCCTTGTTTTGAAATATAATTTAATTATAAGTTCATACGATTTCTTTTAAACAATGGTTACATTTAACAACTGGCTTGTAAAATTCCTGAAAATTTAATAGTTGTCTCTCATGAACCAATAAGATCTGGGTCAAGTACACTATTGAGTGAAGTCATTCCACAGAATTGTAGCCAAGTTTAATAAAGATAGTGCTTGGAATTACATCTCAACCTTCAAACATGGATATATTTAGGATCCCTAAACAATAAAACAACCACCGTGTTTAGTCAAGTTCAACAAATAGGGACAAATTTTAATGATGACCTGGAGGAAGACATTGAGAAGTTTTGTAAATGTGAAACAATGGAGTGCATTATACCTGTATTATAAAAATATTACATAACCGTGTTCCACTGTGCTTTTCTTCCAAATTCTGTTAACCAGTGGCCATTTTGTAGCTTGAAATTGGCCACAATGGACTATTTACTTTATGGAAGTATCGACTACATACCAGGACTTGAGTTATTGTTTGTTGTGTAGGCTTAAGAAAAATGATGAAGAAAATTGAAGATTAAACTTAATAGTATCTGTTGTCTGTAGCATTACATTGTGAATAGCACAAAAAATTGTGGAAAATATTCTCATATCAGAAACAATTATCTGACTTAGCAAAGGAATCACTCTTGCCATTGATGAGTGAATGATGTGTTGTTTTACTCTTTTATTTTTATTTTTTAGAGACAGCGTCTTGTTCTGTTGCCCAGGCTGGGGTGCTGTGGTGTGATCATGGCTCACTGCAGCCTCAACCTCATGGTCTTAGGAGATCCTCCTGTCTCACCCTCCTGAGTAGCTGGGACTGCAGGTGCTTGCCACCACACCTGGCTAATGTAAAAAAATATTTTTTGTAGAGACTGGGTCTTGCCACGTTGCCCAGGCTGGTCTTGAACTCCTGGCCTCAATCCTCCTGCCTTGGCCTCCCAAAGTGCTTGGATTACACATAACAGCCACTGTGCCTGGACATTATTTCTAATAATATATTATTAGAAGAAAATATCAACAAGTATTCATGTTGGAAGTACACTTGTTCATATGCAAACATAGGTTTTCTATAGATACAATAATTGTATAAAAATTAACAAATCAATTGGTTATATGAAATTTAGGATGTGTGACACATGCCTAGCTCAGTAAAATTTATAATAAACTTGTGTACAAAATTCAAGATTTGCAGGGTTTTTTTTCCCCTCATCAATCTGGCTGTTAAACATTTGCCAGCACACCTCTGACCTCACTCCTTCAAAAATGCAGGCAAAAGTTTTATCATTGTGTCAACTGACTTTCTTAAGAATCCTAGAATGAAAATTAAACAGACGTCACTAACTTAAATACAGTAGTTACTTCTTTATCACTTCTAGCATTCATTTCTTTATTATGGTTTTCCTGATAAAGAACTCAGACTAGTTGTTCATTTTTCATTTTCGTAAAAATGACCAAGACCTCTAACTTCTCACAACATTTTTACGGTGTTAAGTTTCTATTTTTTCAGAATGCAAAATAGATGATTCCCACTGTTCTTCTAGCAGATTTGGGGTGTGAGAGTATCTCACAGCCCCCACTTAAGGGATCCATGTTCCCTCTGATGCTCCTGGTTGGACTTGAGAAGGAGCATCTGGTAACTTTCAGTCCGTGGCTACATACCAGAGTGTTAATATTCTTTCTCACCCACTACCCTTAACTGAGGATATCTTAAAAATAAAAGCTAATTTTTTAAAATTTAAAAAAGGGGTTGGGCATGGTGGCTCATGCCTGTAATCCCAGTGCTTTGGGAGGCCAAGGTGGGAGGATTGTTTAAGCCAGGAGTTGAAGACCTACCTGGGCAACGTAGTGAGACCCCCATCTCAACAATACAAAAACATAAATTAGCCAGGCCTGGTGGTGGATGCTGTAGTCCCAGCTCCTCAGGTGGCTGAGGTGGGAGGATCGCTTGAGCATGGGAGGTGGAGACAGCAGTGACCTATGATCGTGCCACTGTACTCCAGCCAGCCTGGGCAACAGAGCAAGACCCTTTCTCAAGAAAAAAAAAAAAAGATTCTTTTCCAGCCCTTGGAAATCCTCTGTACTGAATGATGATAGTGTTTTAATGAGTACTCGTTGTAGGTCAGACACAGTATTTCGCACTTTTTTTTTTTTTTTTTTTTTTTTTGAGACAGAGTCTCACTCTGTTGCCCAGGCTGGAGTGCAGTGGTGCAATCTTGGCTAACTGCAACCTCTGCCTCTCGGGTTCAAGCAATTCTCCTGCCTCAGCCTCCCGAGTAACTGGGTTTACAGGCATGTACCTCAACTCCTGGCTAATTTTTTTGTATTTTTAGTAGAGACGGGGTTTCCCCACATTGGCCAGGTTGGTCTTGAACTCCTGGCCTCAAGTGATCAGCCTGCCTTGGCCTTCCAAAGTGTTGGGATTACAGGTGTGAGCCACTATGCCCAGCCTGCTTTCTTCTTATAGAAGTTTCCTGGTTAATCTCTTCGGGTAGGTCCCATTATTCTCCTCCTTTTAGAAATTAGAGAACTAGAATTTAGAAGGATAATTTGCCCAGCGTCTCAAGTGACCAGGCTGGGATTTGAGCCCGAGTTAATCTGGCACCATGACCACTGCATTATACTGCCTCTTGTCAACAAGTCTGATGTTACTCTCTAATCTCTCAAGTAACTTCCCTGGCCTCTGCCTCCCTTTTTGTTATCAATGTTTATTCAGTATTTGGAACTCAAAGTCTGAGGACAGGACTGTTTTGTTATTGTGACACGAATGTGTTCAACAGTTCAAAACTGTGTTTTGAACAAGAAGAAAGTTAAATTTTGGAAACACTCCTTCGTCTTCCTTACCCTATGTGACAACAATCACTGAGCCCTGACTCTATGCCTAGAATGTCTCTTGAACCTGCCCCTAGTCTGGCACCAGTCCTTCTCAGTTGGGTAACTGCTGGAACCTTCTGCTTGTTTCCACACCTCCAGTCTTCACCTCTCCAGCCCAGCCACATCATGGACTCAGAATGAGCATTTAAAACTATGTCACAAATAAGGTCTTTGCGACTCCATTGCACTTAGGACATGGCTCCATCCCTTCGCAGAGGTTCCCAGCCTCCTCTATAGACTCGCTCCCTTCCACACTCCTGTAGGCATCTCAAATTCCAGCCATATTGTATTCCTCACAGGTTCCAAACTCTGCCATGCTTTCTCATGTCTGTGCTTTTTTTCAAGGCCCACCCCCCCCCGACCCTGTCTAGAATGCTCTTTTCCTGTCTCCCATTTCTTACCTCACCTGCACTCCTACCTGCCCTTCCTGACTCAGATTTGAGTCTGAGTAGTCTAATGTGATTAGATGCTCCTTCCCTTTGCTCCTCTGTAGTGCCCTGTACACGCTTTCTCATAGCCCACTGCCTTCTGATTTATGGCAGGGGAAATAATCTGTGACTTCTCTAAGAGGGCAGGGTTTGTAGCCCCATCATAGAGCCTGACAGTTCTGAGGCACGTGTGCATTTATGCTGGAGGAAGGGGGCATGAGAGATTTGCCTGTTTTATCACCTGCCCTCCATCCCATTAAAATTTCTCTTCTCTTACAGCGGTAGAGAATTCAGTGTGGAAGAAAATGGATGATGGTGATAATTACATTATGTAAATCCAGCAGGAAGGAGAAATTTAGAAGGCACTTAGAGATGCAGCTGTGCCTGGAGAAAGTGCTAGCCCCGGCCTTGGGAGAGTCATGTCCCCCGTCTGAACTGTGGTTTCTAGGACAGGGAGAAGCTGGGTGCCATGATTGCTAAGGTTTTCTTTTCTTTTTTTTCTCTTTCTTTCTTTCTTTCTTTCTTTTTTTTTTTTTTTTTTTTTTTTTTTGATGGAGTATTCCTCTGTCACCCAGGCTACAGTGTAGTGGCATGATCTTGGCTCATTCCCCTTCCAGGTTAAAACGATTCTCCTGCCTCACTCTTCTGAGTAGCTGGGATTATAGGTGGCCACCACTGAGCCTGGCTAATTTTTATATTTTAGTAGAGTTGTGACTTCACCATGTTGGCTAGGCTGGTCTTGAACTCCTGACCTCAAGTGATTCACCCACCTCAGCCTCCCAAAATTGTGGGATTACAGGTATGAGCCACTGGGCCCTGCCAATTACTAAGGTTTTCTTAGGTCTATGCATGCCAGCCCTACAGTCATAGTACATAGTCCTCTGTGTCATAATTTTCAGGGTATATATTTTGCCGAGACATAGATCTTCCTGAGCAACCTGGAATCTGATTATTTCTCAGCAACAATGAGTACAAATCTCATTTGAAGCGTACAGGCATAGCCAGTTGCAGTAATATTGTCTGTAATCACAGTGCTTTGTCGGGGGGGTGAGGCAGAAGGACCACTTGAGGCCAGGACTTTGAGACCAGCCTGGGCGATGTAGTGAAACCCCATCTCTACAGGAAAAAAAAAAATCAGCCGGAAGTGGTGGCAAGGGCCTGTAATCCTAGCTGCTTGGGGGCTGAGGTGGGAGGATTGCTTGAGCCCAGGAGTTTGAGGGTGCAGTGAACTATGATCACACCACTGCTCTCTAGCCTGGGTGATGGAGAGAGAATCTGTCTCTAAAAAATAAAAAAGCATATAGGAATATAATGACTTTTATTAAGTTCCTCTTTTAAAAGCCTATCTATTCTTCCTTCAAGGTATTAATTAAATGACATGTTAACATAAATCAGCACAATTTTATTTTAAGATATCCTAACATGTCAAAATATATAAATTAAAATGAATGCAAAGTAATTCAATGAAAATACTTTGGGAAGCTACTCCCATGAGTCTGCCTTCGCTTAAAATATTTTTGGAACTTCTTGTTCAGAATTATCCTGGGGCACTTGGCACATTCTTTTTTCTAGCAGTGGTAAATGTATATCTCTGTAGGACAGATTTATGAACAAAATGGGTAATTGAACTGTGTTTTGTGTTTATTAATTTACTCTGCTTATGAAAGTAATATATGTTTGGAGAGCATAGAATAAAGAAAAGATGAACACAGTCTATATTCGGGTTAAACATTGTGTTAGGGTGTTCTTGCATTGCTGTAAAGGAATACCTGAGACTAGGTATTTCTTTTTAAAGAAAAGAGGTTTAATTCAGGAGTCCTCAACCACTGGGCCACAGACTCGTACTCATCCATGGCCTGCTAGGAACCAGGCCCCATAGAAGGTGAACGGCAGGCGAGTGAGCGAAACTTCATTTGTATTTACAGCCGCTCCCCATCACTTGCATCACTGCTTAAGCTCTGCCTCCTGTCAGATAATTGGCGACATTAGATTCTCATAGAAGTGTTAACCCTATTGTGAACTGCACATGTCAAGGATCTAGGTTGTGCGCTCCTTATGAGATTGTAATGCCTGATGATCTGTCATTGTCTCTCATCAACCCCAGATGGGACTGTCTAGTTACAGGAAAACAAGCTCAGGGCTCCCAATAATTCAACATTATGGTGAGTTGTGTAATTATTTTCTTATATGTTACAATGTGGTAATAATAGAAATAAAGTGCACAGTACGTGAAATGAGTTTGAATCATCCCCAAATCATCTCCCCCAACCCTGCCCCACCCCCGTGGGAAAAGTGTCTTCCACGAAACCATTCCTTGGTGCCAAAAAGGTTGGGGACCGCTGGCTTAATTGGCTCACAGTTCTGCTGATTGTACGTGGATGGCACTGGCCTCTGCTCAGCATATGAGGAGGCCTCAGGGAGCTTTTACTTACGGTGGAAGGTGAGGCAGGAGCAGATACATCACATGGTGAGAGTAGAAGCGAGAGAGAGAGAGAGAATGAGGGGGGAGGTACCACACACTTTTAAACAACCAGATCTTGCAAGGACAGTACCATGGGATTGGTCCTAAATCATTCATAGCAAATCTGCCCCCATGATCCAGTCACCTTCCAGGAGGCCCCACCTCCAACATTGCAGATTACATTTCAACATGAGATTTGGGGGCGCAAATGTCTAAACTATATCAAATATTAGCCAGTCCTTGGATGAAAATAAAAATCATGGGGTTTTGGAGCCTGAAGGTGACAGGAGGGTCAGGATTCTACAATTTTTTTTTCTATGACCCCTCATCAGTACCTTGGGATGGTATTTGTCTGGGTCTGAGTGTCTGGATGCCTGAATTTGAGGAAGCTGTGTCTTCTAATGCCATGTTTTCGTTTATCTTGGACTTGAGGCTTTCTCTTATTTAAAAATAGCAACAAGTAGCATAAAGAAATAACTAAAGATCTTCCCTAATTTAACCAGAGTATTTCTTTTTCTAGTTTTAAAAATATCTCATATGAATATTTAAGATAAATTGAGGTCCTACTATATACATCTTGTGCCTTTCCTCTTTTGCCTAGTATTGTATGATAACACTGCCACATCATTAAATGTATTTCAAAACTTTTTTTTAAATGGGTGCATTTTATTCAATCTTGTATATCCACAGTGTCTTGGTAATTTTCCTATTGTCTTCTTAAGAGTTGATGATATGGATATGCCTATTTGGCTGTAACATCTATGATAAAAGTATTATAATTAAAATACCTGTTTGATAAATTAAGACTTCTTCATACAAATGAAATTTTTATTAATGAGGTTGACGTTTTTCACATGTTCTTTGTCCTGTTAAATGGTCTTTTGATTCATATTCTGGATTGTTTGATATAAATGTTGTCATTCATCTTTTCTTCTCATTTGCATTTTCTGGATACATCTTGCTCCTCTTCTTGTTTTTGATTGCTGAGTCACTTGACTTTAGATCTGTCTTGTAAACAGCATATAATTGGATGTTGAAAATCTTTGTCTTTGTTAGGGATGTTTAACCTATTCATGTTCATCACATTTCATAGTTCTAATATGTTTTCCAGTTGGAAAAATTTTTCTACTTTAAATGTTTCTTATAATTCTCTATTGCTTTAGTTATATGGCTTATATTTTTGTTTTCTTACGATTTGGAAGACACACATCTGGTACCTATTCTGTTGGTGCTGATTTTGTAGTTTTTAAAAATAAAATTGGTTTGTTTGACTCAAAGTAGCTCTGAAGTTAATCTCAAAGAGAGGGTTCAAAAGAAGTCACGAGCATTCTTGGAATAAGTGTCTGTCCTCCCAGGACGCCACTTGGAAGGGCAAATTCCTTTGGATGGAAATCGTTATTTATCAGTTGATTGATGGAGATGGAGTCTCACTTTGTCCCCCAGGCTGGAGTACAGTGGCACAATCCGGGCTCACTGCAACCTCTGCCTCCCGGGTTCAACTGATTCTCCTGTCTCAACCTCCGAGTAGCTGGGATTACAGGTGCACGCCAGCATGCCTGGTTAATTTTTGTATTTTTAGGAGGGATGGGGTTTCACCATGTTGACCAGGCTGGTCTTAAACTCCTGACCTCAAATACCCATTCGACCTCCCAAAGTGTGTTGATATTTTTACAATGAAAAATAGTGTTTTACATTAAAGTCAGTTTGTTGAGCATTTCTTCACCAGTTTTACCTTTTGGATACTTCAACACTTGTTTAAAATTGAAATATCACTGCAAAACTCTTTAGCTGGGCTTCTTTCTCTGTTACACATCCTGTCTTCTGGTTACCCCTCACTGTGTCTGTAGTACAATGTGTAGAAGTAACCAGCCAGTGGCCAGCAAGGGCAGCACCGTGTAGCAGAAATGCTCTGAATTGTTGTGTCTTTAGTCACTTTCCTTCTTGCCTTCAGTTTGCACATCTGTAAATTGAAGAGTTTGGAACACATAAACTATGTCACTTCTAGTTTCAACCTTCTCTGATCAGAGTTTATTAAACACCTATTTGAATAACTTCAGTACCAGGCCCTATATAGAATGAGAAGCATAAAACCAATCTCTGTTGAAAAAGAAAATATCCTAAGCTGATGAAAAAAAATTTTTTATCTTGATCCATGTGATGGTTATAGAAGAGTATAACATGTAAAAACTCATTGAGCTGTATCTTTAAGATGATTGTACTTTACTCATCTGTGTATTGATAACTCAGTAAACAGGAAAACTAGAAAACTGAACATCCCCAACCCACCAAAAAGAAGAACAGAAACTGGCTAACTGACAATATGTTTAAACATTGTGTTATGAGGCAGGATGGTATAATGGCGAATCCACAAAAAGTAGACAATGAGTTTAAAAGCTAACATTACATATTAGCCTTGGAATTTTGCGTACATTATTTAGCCTTTCGAGTCTCAGTTTTTGATTTTTTAGTAAAAGTAAGATTTGTAATAATGACTTTATCAGGCAGTCAGGAGTATTGAATGAGTTATCAGGCATATAAAGTACTTGGCATATAATAGGTGATCAATACACGTTTTTAAAAGGGGGCATTAAGAGTATTACACAAATGTGACAGATTTCAAAGAACTAAAAGATTCTACATCATTCTTTTAGTAGATTAAAGGCTTTGGGATCTTCCACAACAATGAAACTTGTTAACTTTGACACGGCATTTTCCAGAGTCACTTGATCGTAGAAACTGTTTTTCTAAATATCACCTCTCAGGAATAATTAATGCATTAGTTGACATCTGGGACTTCCCTAACTCAGGAGTCCTCAACCACTGGATGGACACTGGTATACAAGTGTTCTCCCCAAATAAAATCACCCTAAAATAAATACAGCCCAGAAATCTCAGTGCGAAAGAGAATATGAAGAAAAAGCTACGGTCATAATTTTGCTGGTGACATTGCAAGTTGCTAATACCTCTTTTGGAGAGCCATTTATAATAATAAAAGTGATTTATAATAAAAGTCACAGGGGCTGATTATGGTCTTAAACGTGTTAACCCTACTTTTCAGATTATAGCCTAAGGAAAGAGCTCCAGTAGGAACAAACAAAATTTATTTCTTTAAAAATGGTTGACTTGGTTATAATCATGTGTGGAAACAACGAGCTGAAAGATGGCTAATTGAACTGCTTTAGCAAAACAATGGAATATTGTACCATTAAAAATGACAGATATCTGGACTCAGTAGATAAATGCAGACATCAAGCAAAAAGTTAGAAAATAGTGTGCGCATGGTGAACGCAACCAAAGAAAACCGGTCTGTGCGATGATAAAGGTTACTAGTGAATTTGGTAAATATGGTTTGATGTAGGAAAGGGATGATCTATATTTTAACTTTTGGTTTATCATAGAATAATTGCTAAATAACTCAATAAAAACAAAGCACTAAATAGAAACATAAATTATATGTTCTGAGCTAGAACAGGATGTTTTTGAAAATAGGTGAGAGTATGTAAAATACAGAATAGAAATAAAGAGCTGACATATAGGTAGAATTATAGAAAAATAGACATGGTACACCTTGAAATTTTTAAGAGTTTTGTCTCACCAATGTATTGTGAAAGTAGTTATCACACATGAGAAGTGTTTTTCTGGAAAGAATTTTCAATTCAGTGAAAACCCCAAAATATGGATATGAAAATTCATGAGACAAGTTGTTCTTAAAGATACCAAGTTCCCTGTCAGCTGTGCTTTTTTTTTTTTTTTTTTTTTTTTTTTTTTTTTTCCAGCTGCTTTTCCTCTCTTCTTTTGTGATAAAGGAGAAGGTTTTACGGGTGCTGAAATGGTTTACAACTGCCTTATTTAGTTGCTCTCTCGCTTTTATGTCTCCCCAAAGGGTCACAAAATCTATCCGTTTAAAAAGAGAAAATGGTGTGTTTTTAGTGCAAAGAGAGAATAGCCACTTTAAAGAACGAATAAGAATTAGAAATACACGGAATCTCGCAACTTTAGCCACCATGTAGTAGGACTTTGGATCATCTCAGATGTCGGAAGCTACACAAGGAGAATGGAATGAGCTTCTGGGTGGGGGCTGCCTCCTTTTCACTCCTTGAAAGCCCAAATTAACTCTTGCGTGCTTATCACGTGAAAAAGATGGTTAGAGTGCCTAGCAGAACAGGGAAGTCACTGGTTGCGGGACCCTCCTCCTTTTTCTTGGGCCTTTATGGGTGATCCTTGTGAACAGATGATCTTGAGGAAATAGTGAAGAATCTTGCAAGGTATGGCGGGGATGGGGAGGTGTCTGGGTGTTTGAGGGGATGAAGAACACTGTGTATCTGAAATGTATTACGTTCATGGAGAATTTTTTTTTTCAATTAGTTTTTTTTTTTGAGACAGGGATTCATCCTGCCATCCAGGCTGGAGTGCAGTGGTGCGATCTTGGCTCACTGCAACCTCAGCCTCCCAGGCTCAAGCAATTCTCTCGCCTCAGGCACCTGAGTAGCTAGAATTACAGGCATGTGCCATCACGCTCTGCTAAATTTTGTATTTTTAGTAGAGACAGGATTTTGCCATGTTGCCTAGGCAGGTCTCGAGCTCCTGGCCTCAAGTGATCCATCTGCCTTAGCCTCCTAAAATGATGGGATTATAGGCGTGAACCACTGTGCTGGTCTCATGGAGAATTTTTAATCCAAGTTGTAAAATGCAGGAAGTATTCCTCAAAAGAGGACCAGCAGAATCACAAAGCTGGATGGAGTCTTAGAATTAATCAATTAGTTCAAATCCTTAATTTTCACCATAAAGGCAACAGATCCAAGCAGGAGACATGGCTTGCCCACGTTTACAGTCATCAGTGAGGACTTGACCAAAACCGATTCTGCTGATTTCCGGTCATATTTTTTTTCCTCCCATAATTCCCCTTGCCTTCCACCATCACTTTACTACTTACCGTTTCTGCTGCTACCATGCAAAAGATTAGCATTCAGACTTAGAACTGTAGCTATGCAATGAAGAAAGAGTCTTTTTAAGCCATCAGAGGTATGAGTCAGCATACAGGATCCTGTTCATGAAGAAGAGGGCCAGAAGTTTAATTTCAAGAGTTCGACTCTGCATTCAGACCACCTGGGTTTGTATCCCAGCTCCACCACTGGGATGGTGGGTGACACTAAGCAAGTTATTTAATGTTCCTGAATAGTAGGTGTCCTTATCTGTAACATAGAGAGTGAAGATTATATACGTCTCTTAGCTTCTTAGGTGAGAATTAAATAGGATAATCCATTAGATTGGGGCGTGGTTTACAGCAAGTGCCCAATAAATGCTAGCTAGCTATTTTTACTACTGTGAAGGAAGTTATAACTATTTCTGTCAAACCTTAAACCGGGTGTGGTGGTGCACACCTCTAATCCCAGCTACCTTAAAAAAATCTTAAGGAAATAAGAATTATATATTTTGGAGGAGATGAATGTTAACTAGGCACAGTCTTTAAGTGCTCAGAATGACTTTTTCAGTTTTGTGAAACCTGCTGAATTCCCCTGATCCTGAAATCTGCCTCTGGTAGTCTCCTGTGTCTAGTATAGCTTATATTTTCTGTAGCTTTTCATGCAACAGGTGTCTTAATTACTCACAATTTTAACTATGCCTTGTTTTTCTGAAACGGGAAAAGTTCTCTTGTCCCCTTCGCAGGGCGTGCGACAGGGGGAGCGGCTCGCTGCTTCAGTGCCCCGCTGCTCAAAGCTCTAGAGGGGCATACAGACGGGCAGGCTGCGGGGCTCCCGCCCCACGTCTCGGGGTGGACGTTGACAGCTCCGGAAGCCGCAGTGGGCATGTGCTACCATGTGCTCTTTTAGTTTTGCCGTCTGTAGGCGGCTTGTGTTAACCTGCTCGGTTAGATCCTCCACCTTGTCTCAAGGACAGAGGGCTTTCCGTATCCCGGTTTCTTGCCTTGGTGTACAGGAAGAATCAGATCACATGTGGGCTTTGCAGAATGGGTGCAAGGTTTTATTGAGTGGAAGTAGCTCAGCGAAAGTCAGAAGTGGGTAGAGTGGGAGGGCTTTCCTCGGGAGCTGGGCCACTCGGTGGCCTGGGCTTTCCTCGGACTGCCCCAGCCAAACTCTGCATTGTTCTCCTTCTGCTGGTTGGTGGCCTGCTGGCGCCTGCCGGTGCGTTCCTGTGGTTGTCCAGCGCCTGTGTGTTCCTCCACCGATGTGCTCCTCTCGATGTCCACCTGCCCCTGTCTCTGCCTTGCTGGGGTCTCGGGAGTTTTTATAGGCACAGGATGGGTTGTGGCAGGCCAGAGTGGTCTTGGGAAATGCAACATTTGGGCAGGAAATGCCTGTCCTCACCGAGGTCCGTGGGGGTTGGAATCCTAGCCAGGGACCACGCCTTCACCTCTACCCAGCACTTCCCTTCCCCTCTTCTGTATCTTTTTTTTTTTTTTTTTTTTTTGAGACGGAGTCGTACTCTGTCGCCCAGGATGGAGTTCAGTGGCACAATTTTGGCTCACTGGAACCTCCGCCTCCTTGGTTCAAGCAATTCTCCTGCCTCAGCCTCCTGAGTAGCTGGGGTTACAGGTACCCGCAACCACGCCTGGCTAATTTTTGTATTTTTAGTAGAGACGGGGTTTTAGCTGGGGTTACAGGCACCCTCAACCACGCCCGGCTAACTTTTGTATTTTTAGTAGAGACGGGGTTTCACCATCTTAGCCAGGCTGATCGTCTTGAACTCCTGACCTCGTGATCCACCCACCTCGGCCTCCCAAACTGCTGGGATTACAGGCGTGAGCCACCGTGCCCGGCCTCTTCCATGTTATTTAAAAGGACCATGCTCCTCCCGTCCCAGCACGTCCTTTCCGTATCATTTAGATATTTTCCACATTGTATAGCTTTATTAAGGTATAATTAATACACAATAAACTCACGTATTTAAATCAGGCAATTTGATTTGTTTTGACATATGTATACACATATGAAACTATTACCAAAATCGAAAATATATACATCCCCAGAAAAGGTTTCATGTGCCCGTCAGTAATCTGACCCTCCTGCTTCTCTGGGTCCTTCTTTGCCCCTCTCACCCCCCAACCCCCATCCCCAGGTGAACACCGATGTGCTGGAATTGTATATGAATGGAATCATACAGTATGTATTCTATTTGTTGGGTTTCTTTTCCTTGGCATAATTACGATCCATGCTGATATGTGTATCAATAGATCATTCCTTTTTATTGCTGAGTATTCCAATGATGTTTTCTTTGTTAACTGTTTATCCTTGTCTTGCTTACCTGGCTATGGTGTGGAATGAAAACACATTGAAATGATTTAAAAATATTTATTGAGGAAACATCTGTGTTTCCCATCTATATTTTTAAACTTCATTATCTAGTATGCATAGCAAATAATATACAGCAATTGTAGGATCCCTGAGGGCAATATCCATTTACATTCTGTATGCATAAATCTTTTTAAATGACATCTATAAGCAATATTACTATATATTTATTTGTATCTTGAGATTAGAATTGTTTTCTTGCCTCCCTCAATCTCAATATAAAAAAAAAAGCATCCTTCCATCAGCCTAACCCAATGGATTGATTGAATAAATTTAATTATATAAATATTTACACAAAGTTTTCATTTTCATGGTGAAAGATTCATTCTGTTAACGTTAGTCTTTTCTGGAAAATGTGGACAGTATGTTCTCAATTCCCTTGCAGTTGGAGCATAACACAAAATAAACTCAGAAATTGATACAGAAAAAGTAATACATTTGCAAGATAATGAGAGACCATTTGGGAGGCAAGTCCATTTTTGCAGTGACTGTCTACCTTCATCATAGTATCTCTCAACTGTTGACATTCCTGCATCTGGGAAGGAAGAAGATAAAAATTACCATTCAAAATGCCTGTTCTAGTTTGGTGAAAGATTTAATTTCTTCATCTATCACAGTGTCACCAGGCCTATGACTACTATAGATCAAGCCTCAGTGCCAGAAATACAGAGACTTGGCAGAGTACAGGGTAGAATTTAGCCAGAGGGAATTGTAAAGAAGCCAGAGAAAACAAACTTTACTCATTCTGCATCTCAAACTTGTGTTCTGGGCAGTTGTCCTAAGTGTTGTCTTTGCCCGAAAAGGCTGGGAATGTGGTAATTTTAAAAACTGAGCCAGTAATGGAGATGCATGTAGTGACCTTAAAGATGCTGTGGAGATTGTAGTAGCACATAGATGTTTATTAGAATAATAAAAAGTAAGTGCAGTTTCTCTACTGGAAGGTAACTTGGGAGATGGTCTGTTCCATACTTTGATTTTGCAGGTGACTTGCTCAAGGGTCACACAATTATTTCATGGCAGAACCGGGACTGAACTTGGTATTTCTGAACCACACACCTCTGCCCTCCCCATACCGCTACTTCCATTGTTGTGTTGGAGTAGGTGTGTTGGTGTATAAGGTGTGGGAATGTATAATTTGTTATGTTGGGCTGCCCCGTATAGGTGTCCCTGTTGCCTGGGATCATGCATCCTAGACGAGCTATTCTTGATCATTGTATCATCTTTGGGGGTGAGTTTACTTTTCTGAATGAAGGGTTGTGCCTGCCTAACTCAGCCAGCTATGCGATGGAAAGGCCACAATGAGAGGTGACATTTGGCTAATGAAGTAACCATGGTTGTTCTATGATTGTTTAACTACTCTTCATCAGTTAGCCTGCTGAAATCTTTATACTCTGGAAGTCTACAACTTTAAGCATTATAGTAGTTCTCTTTTTAAGCTTCTCTTCCCTAGTCTTAACATCTAAGTCTCAGTGCTGTCTGCATTTTCATCATTAATCGGTGTAGCTTATTACCATCTGTAACATATCTTCCTACACACAGGGATTCTTGGCTAGGAGTGAGAAGACAACAGATAAAGATCATCCTCCCTCACTGAGAATCACAGACTTAGTCCAACCTCTTCATTTTACAGATTGGGAAGTGGAGACTCACAGGAGTTAAGAACTTGCCTAAGATCTCACAGTAACTCATTTAAGATGTAAAGCCAAATTTTGTGTTCTGGACAGGATTAAGTGCAGCTGATATCCCTGAAACACTGTTCAGGCCTCATTAGGCTCTGTGATGGCATCTAGCACCAGCTGAGCAGCTGTAGTGTCTAATAAGGGCAGGGCTAGCCCAGAAGGATTTACTGGAAAAGGGTGTCTAATAAAATGAACAATTGCATGTGGAGTGTAACTATGGCACTGCAGACCGTTTGCTGGAAAATAGCTCTTTTACGGAGGTCCATCAGCTGTCTGTATCTTCACTGATTGAGGAGAAAAATTGTGTTATTGGTCTCACAGCCAATGACAAACAGAAGCAATTTACTTTATTTTCAAGAGACTAGTTATAATGCGGATCCTCTCCAGCCTAAATTGGTCAGTGCTTTTTTATGCTATAATAGCTTATCATTTATATCTCCAGTTAGCTTGTGATGGGAATCACTTCATTGTCGATTATGTTAGTGGTTCCCATGTTGACAATGTGAAAACAGTTCAACTCCAGACCACGCAGGGTCCCTACTGGAGGCACTTGGTAAATCTTTTTTTTTTTTTTTGAGACGGAGTCTTGCTCTGTCGCCCAGGCTGGAGTGCCGTGGCGCGTTCTCAGCTCGCTGCACACTCTGCCTCCTGATTTCATGCCATTCTCCTGCCTCAGCCTCCAGAGTAGCTGGGACTACAGGCGCCTGCCACCATGCCCGGCTAATTTTTTGTATTTTTAGTACAGACAGGGTTTCCCCGTATTAGCCAGGATGATCTCGATCTCCTGACCTTGTGATCCACCCGTCTCCGCCTCCCAAAGTGCTGGGATTACAGGTGTGAGCCACCGTGCCCGGCTACACTTGGTAAATCTTTAAAGTATAAGGAAAATAATATTGGGTATCCTTTAAGGCAATAATGGACTGGTACCTTTTTAAAGAGACTTCAAGTAATTTAGTAGCATAATTTTGTTATCTGAGATTATCTCTATTTATTGAGGTAAGAAATTGAAGTGAAGAAAAGCAGGGTGACCCACTTGAGTGAAAGGATTAAAATGAAAAAGGAATTAAAAATAGATATGTTTCCGTTGAGTCTGCATCCTGTAGTCTTAAGACCAGGACACCAAGATCCTCTTTTTCATTTGACAAAATAACAGAAAAGTAATCTTTTAGGGGAAGAACTCATGACCTTTAAAATCAGTTGTGTTCTAAAACATACTATTTGCAGTAAAATTATTTAATGTAGAAGGAATGTGGTTAAGGATATTGTATAGTAACACACAATTTATCATGTGTGACATCCAAGAGGCCTTTCTTTTCTGAGACATATCTTGAGAAAGATGATAATTTTAGAAGTTGTCTGTATAGTTCCTGACCCTATCCCTGCTCTATCCTCCAGTGCCATAACATAAGGGACTTCACTGATTTAAAGAAATAAAAAAGTTACCATTAAGATTTAAATATAAATTTTGTGTATATATAAAATTAGCCACATATGCACAAAGAAGATCTCACTGGGAACTTCTAGTTGGCAGACACATATCTCATCTCGTGGTGTTTTTCATTTGTTATTTTAGGCATGCTGATGGTGAAGAGGGTTTTTAGCCTTTTTATTTTTCACATTTTGAGAATCAGTGTGTCTGACACAGACATGGTTTAGATGGTCTAAAGATTTAAAGTTTTAAATAGATGCAGGTGAGTAAGCCTTGGAACTTAAGGCAGCTGGATGGATATTTTCACACCATTGGGTCCATTGTGTTTTTGAAGCCCTTTGGACATTAAAATGTGGAGAACTTTCACTTATTAGTTGTACATTAAATAGGATGAATTCCTAGATGGTTAAAATATTATTGATCTCAATGTACTCATTTTCACCATTTTTAATTGCTCTTTTCAGTAGATGATTTTTGGTAGGCTTCTTTTAACATGATTAAAAGCAGGTTTATTTATAGAGGACTGCTAATTGATGTCTGCCAAACTCCATTTCTTTGGGGGTGGGGAAGGGTGGACTTCCCAATCTTTAGAGTCCCAACTGAAAAACTTGCAAAACCAAGTCTAGGATTTTTCCATGGATGGTTTCTCAGCCGCTCTCACGCACATCCTGCCTCCTCTTACTCGGTTCTTACTGTAACTGACACTGGTGATGACACATGAGCTCTTCCATAATGCTCACTCGGAATCCTCACTCTCTGTGCCAAGCTATGGAGAACATACTAGGCATTGGAGGACAGGGGAGGGGACTGAGACCCGGATACAAGAACGAGTGAATGAATGAATTTATTAATTATTTATTTATTGGAGACAGAGTCTCACTCTCTCCCCCAGGCTGGAGTGCAGTGGCACCGTCTCAGCTCACTGCGACCTCCACCTCCTAGATTCCAGTCATTCTCATGCCTCAGTCTCCTGAGTAGCTGGGATTACAGGTGCCTGCCACCATGCCCGGCTAATTTTTGTATTTTTAGTTGAGACGGGGTTTCACCATGTTGGCCAGGCTGACATAAGAATTTAGACAGAGGGATGTCATTGTCACTGTCTGAATTGGGCAAAGCAAGGTTTTGTAACTATTCTAACTGCAGTCGCTTTCCTGGATTTAGTTTTTGCTTTTGGCAAATACTTATTGTCTATTTCTTTGACATTCAGAAAGTGTGAGTTTTTGTCATTATGGTTTCTTATGAGGGAATTATAGGGGATCAGGGTGGGCTGTGTTCCTGAGGCCAACATGGCAGCCTTAGGTTGCTGGCAGCACATATACCTAGCTACCACTTCCATGCAGCTGTGTTATGTAAGCCCCATACTTACTTTTTTTTTTTTTTTTTTTTGAGACAGAGTCTTGCTCTGTCGCCCAGGCTGGAGGGCAGTGGCGCGATCTTGGCTCACTGCAAGCTCCGCCTCCCGGGTTCATGCCATTCTCCCGCCTCAACCTCCTGAGTAGCTGAGACTACAGGCACCTGCCATCGTGCGCGGCTAATTTTTTTTTTTTTTTTTTTTAAAGTAGAGACGGGGTTTCACTGTGTTAGCCAGGATGGTCTTGATCTCCTGACATTGTGATCTGCCCGCCTCGGCCTCCCAAAGTGCTGGGATTACACGCATGAGCCACCGTACCTGGCCGCCCCATACTTAATTTCAAAGAATCATACATGAAGGCTAAGTCCTGTAGGTGAAGGTGTGTTGCAAAGTCAACAGAGCAAAGGCTCGCTTTCCTTTGTAGAGTTTGGTTTTGAAAGTTAGAAAGATCCTGACTTCACCACGTATGAGCCTAGTAGGTTACTTAACACCTTTGAGCCTCATTTCTGTGTTTGTAAAGTGGAAATATTAATGCACATATCCATAGCATTGTTGTGGTTGGAATGAGTTCATGTGTAACATAGCTTGTGTGGTGTATGGACACATTATGGATGTGCTGTTGATGTTCCTTCTCTTTTCTTCCTATAGAGCGTCTGTCCAGTTGAACATACCCACTTCTCATTAGCTGGTAGTATACCTGCAGGTCACCTCCTGGAATTTTCCAAGATGCTATTCCCCTTCCACCCTGATTACCAAGGGGGTCTTGGCAGTGGGTTTGCCTTCTAGTCTCTTCATTTTTCAGTTACTAGCTTGAGATGACTCTTCTCTGGAGGAATATGATGCTTGGAACGGCTAAGGAGACATGTACTTTCCAGAGCTGAAGAGCAGACTTTTAATAAGTACCTTCACTGGAAAAAGAGGGAGGAGCTGAGCCATGCCGTGGCTCCGAACCTGCAGTTTGGTATTGCTAGTACCACACACTCCAGGGCTCGATGTATGTTACTGTGTGTAGATGAGAAAACTGTGAACAGTTCTTCAAGTTGCTGGAGTAAGAAAGTACAAATTAGATTATTAATGATTATGTGGAGGTACCAGCTGACAGTCTATTTGTTTTCATTGTTAAAACAAGTGTGGTTTTGGATTATGTAGATTTCCCCCCTTTTTACTTAGATGGCCAAGGGTATTCATGAAGGATATCCATAAAGACCATGCCAGTGATGGAGCCTCCAGATCTGCTGCCTGCAAGCTAAAACACAGAAAAGAAAATTTAAGTGGTTGGGAATCAGAATGTGAGATGGATTGGAAGCCAAATTATAAGCTTATTTCAACTCTTGGCCTGCAGGCGCTGAAGTAACATTATTTGTTGTCGGGGACAGAAAACAACTCAGATTCGGGTCCAAGTGATTATTCCACTTAGGCATTGCTGCGTTGCTGCCAACTGCAATTTGGTGTAGACATAGATTGATTGGCCAGGCAGAGGCGGAAGTGGGTGGTGGGAGCCGCGCAGGCACCGCAGTAGAGGACCGAGTTGGGGCCAAGAGCTGGCCCTAGGCAGTCGGCAACCCTCTCCAACAGTAAACCCACAGTGAACTGGGGTGAGAGTGGGTGGGTACAAAATAGACTCTAAACCTCTATAGTGATACACCTCACACTTCAGCTGACTTTGTTCATGTCAGTGAGTCAGAGAAAACCTTTGGAGAGGTGTTTGGAGGCCATCCCCATGGAGGAACTGGGGACCAGCTGTCTTTAGACCTGAGACTTAGCAATTTTCCTTTGGCGCTTTCTGGGCCTGTTTTTCTTTTCTTTCTTTCTTTCTACTTTTTTTTTTTTTTAATTCCTGCATGTGAAATGGGAGCAATTCTGTGTGTGTGTGTGTGTGTGTGTGTGTGTGTGTGTGTGTGTATACACACAGTAATAGCAAATTGTATGTTTGTATATATGAATATATTTGTGTATGTATGTATATATATATATAAAAATAGCAAATACATATATAGATGGATATTTGCTGTTATTCGAATAATAAAGACAGATGGGATAAAAATCCTGACAACTCGGGAAGGAGGACTGTGCCTTCGTTAATTGAAGACAACATTATTGACATGAAATTAACTGGAAGGGCTTAGTCCCTTTCCAGAGTATTTTCCCCTTGCCCTTCATTCCAGAGTATTTTGCTTGCACCTCTTTCCCATTCTGCTTTTATCTAGTTGACACATCGGTTTCCTCCATTGATATTCCTAAAAGGAAGGGACGGCTGGGGCCCGTTGTCACTCCCTGCAAGGCGCAATCTCCAGGCAGGGGCAGGGCAGGTCTGGGGGCTTCACGCCCCCCAGGGAGCGGGTCACCCGGTGGGACTCGCGCCCGCCCTCTCCTTGGGTGTCGTGTTCCCTGGGACGCGCCCACCGTTCTCCCTGGGGAGCGGGAGGCTCCAGGCGCGGCTGGGGCGCTGTGGGCAGATGCGCTCGGTCCTCACCAGCGGCGTTGTGCGGCGAACCCTGCGGTGCTTCGGGAAGGCGGTCGTTCCTCCCTGCTCCCACCGTTTTCCAGCGTGTGCGCTCTTACCTTCTCTGGGGAAAAAAGGAAATTTTTTATTTTTTAACATTTCATTTCATGAAACCGTTTTTTTTAAGTGGTGGCGCTGAACACAGTCCTTGCAGAGGGGGGCAGCACTTTCCCTCCTGACCCCAACCTGGAAACCCCAGTGTGACTTCAGCGCTGTCAGAGCATTGGAAGCAGAGCTGCGAGTTAGGAAGCGGCTCGCTGGCAGCTGGGCACGTTTCTTTCCTGCGAGATCGGCTTTTTTGATTTGCTCTTTTTCACATGAAAATGTTCAGCTTCATTTTTAGACACCTTTAGACATGGTTATCACTGTTTAAAGCCTTGATTTTTTTTTAAACAAATAGTTTGCATTTTATTCATTGAAACAGGGAGAGAACAAATACCATCCTGCTTTTTGGGGTAATACTTTCAGATGCATTGTATTTTATATACTAAGTGATTTAAAATGTTCCCATTTTGTAATACCACATACATTTAAGACATGGAAATTTACAAGGGTTGCCTTTTGTTTTTATTTTATTTTAGCTGCCTTCCTATTTCAAGGAAAGACGCCAAGGTAATTTTGACCCAGAGGAGCAATGATGTAGCCACCTCCTAACCTTCCCTTCTTGAACCCCCAGGTAAGTGAGCATTTTCACTCAAGAAACAAACCTTTGCATGGTCTGCTTTGTGTTCAATATTCTGGATGTGTTTGAAATGTATGAAATTTCATTCTACTGTCAATAGCTTGATTAGTAACAAGTTATTACTTCAAGAGAATGATACTTCTTCCAAAATAATACAATTACTTGGCTCCATTGAATCCTTTTCATTCACTTTTTAAAGGCTGTAACATCTACATCTACATCTAACTTTCCCAACTTTTTAAGGATTTATCTCTTCTCAGAGTGGCAAGTGACTTAAACCAATCATAGAGCTGGAAGAGCTACATCTTTTTGAAACAGTTCGCTTACATAGGGACATTTGTTCTCCCATTGGAAATTGGGACAGAATACTGAGCTTTTTAAAATAGTCACCCTGTCATCAAATAGGTACTCTAATTTTGACTTTGCTAGAAAATAATTATTTAAATACCATGGTTTTGGAAATTGAAGAATGAGCTTTCTTTCTGACATATGGTGTCTTAGAGGGACACTGTCTAGAGCTCTTTGAGAATAGTGCCCTTACGGATTGGAAGCTTGGTTTTAGTCCGGGGACAAATGAAAATCTCTGGAATGTTGTTTTAGTTCTGCTCTTGTAACCAGTAATTTTGAGTTTCTATGCAATAAGATGTTTTATTACATCTGATAAGACTAAACTTAAAAAATACAAAATAAAACAAGTACTGTAAAATATCATTAATGTTGACATGCGATGGTATGAAACAGGAAGCTGTATATATGGTTCCAAGCTTCAGCAGAGAGTCTTTTTTTTTTCTAGAAGTAATTCAATAGGCATAAAAATGAAAATAGGTAAGCTGCACTCAGCATATACATATCTTCAGAAAGCCCCCTTCACCTTCCTCCTTCATTTAACAAATGTCTATAGAGGTTTGCTTGATGGTTTTGCTTTTTTTTTTTTTCCAAAAACTTTTGTCACACTATTAAGATAAAATAATGGAAGCCAGAGTAGTTAATGATTTGATTTTGCATTAATGAACTGCCCTGTACTTAAATGAGGGTGTGTGGAGTTTCATAAAGAACTGTATTTCAGTTACTAACAATAGAAAAAATAAAAAAAACCTTGGCTGAAAGTTAATAATACAAACAAAAATAACTGAAGGAGAATTCCTCCCAAATCCTTTCCTAAGTAGAAAGTCAAGTGGTTAAGAGGCTTAAGTAATTCAGGGTCAACTTGAAGGGCGTATGGAACTGTCCTAATCTTGGGCCTTGTGATGTTTAATGTTTTTGAGAATTACTTGGATGATACAAAAGAGAGCAATGTCATTACAACCCCATGTAGACCATAATTAGTAAGACCTTGAGATAATGCCAGAAAACAGTCAAAATAAACTTTACAAAATAGAGAAGTAGGCTGGGTGCGGTGGCTCACTCCTATAATCCCAGCACTTTGGGAGACCGAAGCAGGTGGATCACAAGGTCAAGAGTTCGAGACCAGCCTGGCCAATATGGTGAAACCCCATCTCTACTGTAAATATAAAAATTAGCCAGGCATGGTGGTGCATACCTGTAACCCAGCTACTAGGGAAGATGAGGCAGAAGAATCGCTTGAACAGGGGAGGTGGAGGTTGCAGTGAGCCAAGATGACGCCATTGCACTCCAGCCTGGGCAACAGCAAACTCTGTCTCTAAATGAATGAATGAATGAATGAATGAATGGTGAGCAGCAATTGACCAAGAATGAACCATGGTGGAGCAAGCTCTATGAAGGATATGTTTAACACACAAGGCTATCCCTACTGCACAACTTATGGCCTAATGCTACTAAATGTTTGAATGGAACAATTAACTCCCCTTGCTGGGATCCTGTGATTGCCAAGCATGCACTGGGTGTGGGGTAGGTTTGTCTGCCCAAAAAGAAAGGAAACAACTCATTTGCTGTCTTCTCAATGTGCACGTTGGTTTCTTTCAAGTCTGGTGAAGTTCTGCTGCTGAAGGATGTTCAAGCCCTGAGTCTATAAAAGTAAGGAGCAGTTCTGGGAAAACAAGGGCTTCCCAGGTTCCCCAAGTGTTCCCTGTCCTGCTACTGTGGTAGCTTTAACTTTAGAGCAGAAACATCCTATAACTTTGCATTTGCCCAAGTAGACCTTAATCAGCTTTGGACTACTTATTTATTTATTCTTTCTTTCCTTCTTTCCTTCCTCCTTTCCTTTCTCTCTCTTTCTTTCTTTCCCTTTCCTTCTTTCTTTCCTTCTTTTTCTTTCTTTTCTTTCTTTCTTTCTTTCTTTCTTTCTTTCTTTCTTTCTTTCTTTCTTTCTTTTTCTTTCTTTCTTTCTTTTCTTTTTCTTTTTCTTTCTTCCTTTCCTTCCTTCCTTCCTTTCTTTCCTTTTTCCTTGGCCTCCCAAAGTGCTGGGATTACAGGTGTGAGCCACCATGCTTGGCCTCTGCTCACAATTTTTACGGCCACCTTGTATCTTGTCACTGCTCACTGATATATTTCCTGCCTCTCCCTACCACGAAATGGAACCACATTTCCAAATCCTTAATTGCTTTCCTCCTATCAAAGAAAAGATGTGCTGTTGGCTCTCCATGCTCCTGTCCCCTGATGCTAGCTCTCTGTGCTCCCCCTCCCCTGACACTAGCTCTCTGTGCTCCCCCTCCCCGACCTGTGCTTTTGTCTCCACCTGTTCCTGTCTCCCACCTCTGGCCCTTCTGCTCACTCCTCCCCAGCTGTCACTCCTTGAAGCTGTGTTGGTGTCCACACTCTCTCTACCTAGCATACTTTCTTCTCATCACTGACCAGGGAGCTTCAAACCTCACCTCAATGGTAGTGTGTTCCTGTACTCTAGCTTGAGGACCAGTGCCTGGCTCTTATAAGGCACCAAACAAAAGAATGAATGAGCGAGTGAATGAATGGAAAAGTGAATAAAGGGATGTCTCCTACCTGAAGATGGCTCCACTTAGTCCTCTGGCACCACCCACATTCTTCTTATGGGCACGTGTCATTGCATTGTCATTATTGTTTGCGCAGTCGTCTCCTGAACTCACCCCTGAGCAGGGCGCAGAACTTTCCTTTCCCATTTTGGTGATCCAGCTCCTTCTGGAGCATCTGGGGGTAAAAACTGTTTGTAGACACATAAGCTTATAGGCCCTTTGCAGTTCCGCTAGTCTGTGAAGCATGACTAGCAAATAACATAAAATAGTAGCTGACGCAATCATTTTTGGAAGGAAGCAGATGTTATAAGTAAATAATAATATAAAACTCTAATGTACTAACTGGGCAAGTTGCTCCTATTTGAAAAGCCAGAGAAAAGTAACAGTTTGGATTTTATAAAGTGGCCTTCCTTTGGATGTGTTTTAGACTTTTAAAATATTTTCGTTGAATGGAATGAGGGGTGCCATAAAGTCTGTAAGCTTTTAATCAGTGTCACCTTTCACTGCTTCAATTTTAATTTATACTCCTGGGCCACCATTGGTTTTCTGCAGATGAGGCTACTCCAGGAGGTTCATACTGGCACATGAATGGGTATCCGGTGATGCATGCCTTCCAGTAGGTTTTTATTTCCTGTTGATTGACCCTTAATCAGGTGTTGTTGCTGTCTTTCCCATTCTGTTTTGAGCTCTGCTATTGGGATTCCCTTTTCATTGAGTTGGGTTCTACCTCCAAGCCTGTGCTTCACCTTCTCTCCTCCATGTCTTATTCTGCTGTCCCATATCTGCAGTGCCTTCCCCTTCCTCTTGACCCTCCAGATTCTCACTCCATGCCTGAGACTTATCTTGGGAGGCAGGTAAGGGGGGAGCCTTTGCTGAGCCCCAGGCTGGGATGGGGCTGGGCCATTGTGTGCCTCTCTCTATTGCCTTATTTTCCCTATTGTTCATAATTATTTACTGGTTAGATGTTTGCCCTTTGGCCATCTGGCCCTCAAACTAGGCATGGTCTCTGCATTTTTAGCATCTAGCATATGTATGTTCCTACTTCACAAACAAAGGTTTGAAGGAGTTGCTGGTGTCTGAAGACCCTCATCAGAAGCTAGCAATGTTATCATCATTTGCTGCACATTTGACGGTGTACCAGCCTTTCCCCTACTTCCTTTTAACATCTGTATTTTCTCTGCTGCCTTGGAGGCAAGGGATCGGACTCCGGCACTTTGCCTGCTTAGTTAAATTAATTGTTTAAAAATAAGTGAAGGCTGAGTGCTGTGGCTCACACCTGTAATCGGAACACTCTGGGAGGTGAGGTGGGAGGATCACTTGAGCTCAGGAGTTCAAGGCCAGCCTGGGAAACATAGTGAGAAGACCCCATCTCTACAAAAATAAATAAATAAATAAAATTAGCTAGGCTTGGTGGCTCATGCCTGTAGTCCCAGCTACTTGGGAGCAAAGGCGGGAGGATTGCTTGAGCCCAGGAGACTGAGTCTGCAGTGAGCTATGATCACATCACTGCACTCTAGCTTGGGTGACACAGCAAGACCTCCTCTCCAAAAAAAAAAAAAAAAAAAAAAAAAAAGAAAGAAGATAGAGGCAGCCCCAACCCAATATCCATTAACAGATGAATGGATACACGAAATGCAGTATGTATATCCATACAATGGAATATTTTTCAGCCTTAAAAAGGAGAGAAATTCTGACACCTACTAAAATATGGATGCAGTTTGAGACATGATGCTTTGTGAAATTAGCCAGTCGCAGTATGACAAATACTGTGTGATTCCACTAATATGTGGTCCCTAGAGTGGTCACATTTATAGAGACAGAAAATAGAATGAGAGGTGTCAGGGGCTGTGGGAGGCAAGAATGGGCACTTGTTTAATGGGTACGGAGTTACAGTTATGCAAGATGAAAAAGATGTGGAGTTTGGTTGCATAACAGTGAATGAATTTAGCAGTAGAAAACTGTGACTGTATTTAATGCTACTGGACTGTATACTTAAAAATGGTTAAGATGGTAAATTTCATTACATGAATTTTACAATTAAAAATAAAAAGTCAAAGTGTCTATTTTTATAATGATTATCCTTTAAAAGTAAAAATAATTGAAAGGAATTAGATTTTTTAGAGTTCATGGTTTGAGCTTTATTTTTCCTTTGCTTAGATTTTTAAATCACTTTTTATTCCAAAATGTGTTATGTATGAAAAAATGTATTTACAGTGGTAAGATCTTTGGGACTTAATTTTAGACTTTGTTGTCTTTTTTTTTTTTCTTACAATTTGTGGCCTATATTTGCAGTTAAAACATGATTCAGAATTACTCTCTTTCTCACTTGTTTTTCTTCAGCAAAGATAATAGGATCTTTTTGCTTATCAGAAATACTTGTATGATACTTAAAAATTACTTTTGTGATTAAGAGCAGAAATGTTTGTTCTGTCACAAGCAGAGGGCGTGACACACTCCAGGGTTTGATTTGATTGTTCATAAGAAGCCAACTGCTTTAGGCTTTTTCATTTTCCCCCTCATCACACTAACAGTCCTTTCTTGTGGAAAATCATGACTCTAAAACTGTCAATATCACACTGGTGTCTGAAAGAATGCAATTTCAGAATGTTCAGCTGACACATAGGAAGTAGCTCTCTTTTCAGTCAGTTTCTGACCCACAATGTGATACCTTTCCTGAGGAACTGAAAATGAGGCTGGGCACGGTGGCTCACACCTATAATCTCAACACTCTGGAAGGCCAAGGCAGACAAATTGCTTGAGCTCAGGAGTTCAAGACCAACCGAGGCAACATGACAAGACCCCTGTCTCTATAAAAATATTTTTAAAAATTAGCTCGGTGTGGTGGCATGTGCCTGTAGTCACAGCCACTTGGGAGGCTAGAGTCGGAGGATCCCTTGAGCCAGAAAGGTTGAGACTGTAGTGAGCTGAGATCACATCACTGGACTATAGCCTGGGTGACAGAGTGAGACCCTGTCTCAAAAAAAAAAAAAAAAAAAATACATTAACTGAAAATGAGAAAGGGAGGCAAGAATCTGATGGAGTTGTGCAGAGAAGTCTGGAATAAGAGAGGGAGTGAAAATTAGAGTGGAGGGTAGACAAAGGAAAGAATTATAACCTCTGGAAACAAACAGTTCAATTGTTACTTAAATTTTTGTTTTTGAAACAGGGTCCTGCCTTGGCCTCCCAAAGTGCTGGGATTACAGGTGTGAGCCACCATGTCTGGCCAGATTTTTTTTTTTAACATTACAAATATGATCATATAGTCAAGTCCCCCAGAGAAAAGAAAATTCATCTCTTCCACTGGGCACATATCTAATCCAAGCTGATACTTTAATTTTTTCATGAAAATCATATTTAAGTTCTTAAAATAAATGGTAATTTGAAATATTAGTGTTTACCCTTAAATGTTTTAATAAAGAGTTGTATGTTCTGAACTCACAAACATATATTGAGACTTGTTACTGCGTGTTGGACTTTAAATGTGCTTTGTGGTTACCAAGTACCAATTCTTGGATTGGAATCCAGTCTCTGGTGAAAGTCTCAGTCATCCACAGAGAAATGAGAAAAATAGCATGTTGTTCTCAAAGAGCTAATACTCGCTCTAAAGGGATAACCTTTACTTTGAGGTTCTAGCCTTTTTTTCTTAATAAAATTTAAAACGGGATGGTTAACAAAATTAATGATAGTTAAGTTTTAAAATTTTATTAGTAAAATAAAATGCCGATTTTTATTTAGGATTCTTAGGTACAAGAAACAGAAATCAATGAGGCTTACTTAAGCAGGAAAGGAATCTATTGGAAGAATGTCCAACAGAATTGATGGGGAGCCCGCAGACACAAAATCTCATATACGATAAAAACTTGCAGACAGGGCTACTTCTATCATCAAATGTGTTTTCTAACTTTATAACACGTGTGAATAGCCAACCTTAGGCCAAGCCTGGAGGGTAGGTATATAAAAGGAGTAAAGGTCCTGACAGTAGGAAAATGGATTGAATTAAAATTAAAGTCCGGGTGTGGTGGCTCATGCCTATAATCCCTGCACTGTGGAAGGCCAAGGTGGGTGGATCACCTGAGGTCAGGAGTTCGAGACCAGCCTGGCTGACATGGTGAAACCCTGTCTCTAGTAAAAATAAAAAAAAAAAAAAATTAGCCAGGCCTGGTGGCGTGTACCTGTAATCCCAACTACTTGGGAAGCTGAGGCAGGAGAATCGCTTGAACCTGGGAGGTGGAGGTTGCAGTGAGCAGAGATCACGCCATTGCACTCCTTGTGACTAATTTGAGTCACGACCTAAAGTTGGAATGAAGACGGTGCCTGGGTGTGGACTAGCTAATTGCATGTGGGCAGCTTGAGTTCTTTCTTTGGTAAATGGTCACCTAACTTTTCTTCCTTTGAGGTCCTTGTGTGTTTGAGTCTCAATGTTATTGTTCGTCTCACTGTAATTTGATACCACGTACTTTAACTCATATTTTTAGTATTGAGTGCCGGATTACACATATTAGGTATTCCTTGATTTCTCTCCATCATTTGGCACTTTGACCACTGTCCTTGAGACTCTCACTTCCCTTGCCTTATTTCTATATTGTGACAATAAACTCTGGTAGTTTTTTCATACACCTCTAGCTGTTTCTTCATAATCTCCTTTTCCGTGCCTTAAATACTGATGTTCTCTAGCAGTCCATGTTTTTCTGTTCTTCTCATTCTCTTTCACCTGTGTAGTTGCTTCTGTTGTAAGTGGTGAACTTTTATCCAAACTGCTGACGTCAAATATGTACCCTCAGCTCAAACCACTCCTCTGAGATGCACACTCCTGACCATCTTCATGGCATATTCCACCAGCACCCTCAATTCATGATGTCCCCAGCTGAGTTCTGATATTCTGTCTCCAAGTCACCATTCCAGTCCTTCTCCTTCCATCCTGAAGCAGCCTAGAGGGAGAGACAGGGAAGGAAAATTAAGTTTCAGCACAAGGTTGAGAAGGGTCTTGAGACAGATGGGCTTGTGGAGCAATAAGTGGGCTCTCATCCAGCCCTCAAGGGAAGGAATGTAGGAATCAGTCCCAAAAAGTGATGCTTGAGCAGAATTCTTGGAGCATGTGTAGGAATTTTCTGGGCAGAATGAGAGGAGCTGCACAGTGTCCTTTAACCTCAAGGATCTTTTTCTCTGTACTGAGTCTTCAGCTCATTTGATTTAAGATGAAAACCACCCTTCCTGATGTTATTCATACCCTGTAAAGAAATCTACAGACTTCCTCAAAAGAACAAATCATTGTACATTAATGGGAGCTGGGGCTTCCCAGCATGCAAAGGGTCATCTAGAACCTGCAGATGGCCCTAGTGTAGTCCGTGGGCCATCTGCAGCTATCTTCTGGGGCACTTGAGAGCCATTGGGCCCCAGGCCCCACTCCAGACCTACAGAGCAGAATCATTTGAGGAGCCTAGCTGTTGTGGTGCCCCAGGAGGACCACAAAATGATGCAGACTTCACTTGCATATGGTGAACCTTACCAGTAAGGTCCCTATATATCTTGTTCATTTAAGTTTGGTATCTTCAGTTCTTTTCACTGTTCCTGCACATCACTTAGTGCACAGTCTTCAGCAGGCTGATGACTGAGAACTTGCGTTTATGTGCTTTGGTACCATCACACTATTGATTGACAGTGAACATCCTGTCATTAAGCCCACGTATTTCTGATACATATCGTACATTCTTTAGCTGTGGTGCAGGCATCCTATTTAGTTACTGAAGCAGTTAGCTTCTTGTACTCCAGAGTGCCACATAGACATTTTACTTACTGAAAATATTTGGAAATAATTTCAAATTACAGATGTTCTTTGACTTAATGATGCTGTTATATCTGGATAAGCCTATTGTAAGTCAAAAATATTGTAAGTCAAAAAGCATTTAATACCCTGTTAAACCCAATGTAAAGTAGAAAAATTGTAATTTGAACCACTGTAGTGGGGTATGGTCTGTATAAGAAAGTTGCAAAAATAAGAATAGTACAAAGAACTTATGTGTTCTTTACTTAGATTGACCTGTTGTTAACATTTTACATCATTTCCCTTTTTTTAAATTTTTTTTTCATTAGAGACAGGGTCTGTCTTTGTCCCCCAGGCCAGAGTGCAGTGGTGCAGTGGCACAGTGGTGCGATCTTGGCTCACTGCAGCCTCTGCCTTCCAGGCTCATGAGATCCTCCCACCCTAGCCTCCTAAGTAGCTGGGACAGCAGGTGTGTACCACTACATCTGCCTAAATTTTTTGTATCTTTTGTAGAGACTGAGTTTTGCCATGGTGCCCACGCTGGTCTCAAACTCCTGGGCTCAAGTGATCCACCTGCCTTGAAGTCCTGGAATGCTGGGATTACAGGCATGGGCCACTATACCCTGCTCATTTGCTTTTTATCCATGCTATTTGTCTCTTTGTTCCCCCTCATGTATATACGTACATAAATAAATATATATACTATTTTATCTGAACCATTTGAGAATAAGTGTATACATCATAGCCCTTTCCTGCTAAGTGGTATATTTCCTAAGAATAAGGATATTTTCTTATATAACAAAAGTGCAAGTATCAGCATCAGTAAACTTAACATTTATTTGAATTTGCCTAATGTACTGGGTTCTGGTTTTGTAAATTGACTTAATGTCCTTTAAACTATTTTCCCCTCTAGTACTAACATCAGGGATTGCATTTAGTTATTACGTCTCTATATTCCTTTAACCTGAAGCATTTTCATAGCGTTTCTTTGTCTTTTGTGAAAATGTTTTTGAAGTACACAATCTTTTTTTTTCTTTTAAAGGCTGTTTTTCATTTTGGGTTAGATGAGTGATTCTTGTAATTGGATTCAGGTTATACATGCTGAACAGGAATTCTACATAAATGATGTGTTCTTATCAAGGTATCACATCTATTCCTCATTGACAGTGTTAATTTTGATGATGCAATTAAGGTGATGGCAGATTTTTAAAAATACTATAATATAGCAAATACTGTAATATATTAAATACTAAATATAGCTACATTTTCTCCCTAAAACTAATAAGAATTGCTTTTATCCCTTTATATTATTTTATCTTTATATTTACATTTTTTTTTGTGGAGAGGAATCTCACTATGTTGCCCAAGCTTGTCTGAAACTCCTGGGCTTAAGCGATCCTCCTGCCTCAGCCTCCCAAAGTGCTGGACTACAGGTTTGAGCCACTCCACACAGCCTAAATGCTTATTTTTTATCCCTATCAGTCAATTACTAGTCCACAATGAAATTAGCATTCTTTAACTCTCCTTTCTACAATTAAGATGGTTTGGCTTGTAGCCAAAGTTCCTACCTAATCTTTGTTACACGGTTGGACTTCAGTTGAATAAATTGAAGATGGATGAATATAAACGCCCAAAAAGGACTATAAGTGACTATCACTGATTTTTTACAGTATACTTATATTTTGTCTCATGGTGAATTATTTTGAATAGCTCACACTTCTAAGTTTAAAATGAAAATTGAAGTCTATTGGTCTTTAGCTTATAGACTGTACTTAGGGTGTATTTAAGTAATTCTTCCCTTCTGTCCTTGAACCTCCAGACATAAAGGGAGCAGTAGGCATAAAATGTGGGGAGCTGACCATCTGCCGGTCCGGTCCTGACCTTCCACTAGTAGTGAGACCAATCCAGCTCTTGCTGCTGCTGTGGCTTTGTGAGGAGGTGGGTCCAGGTCCTGATCTCTTCTTCTAAATATCAGCTCTGTGAAAAAGAACCCTTCCTATTCTCTGCCCTATTTTGGAGATTGACCAAGAGGTATAGTTGAGAGGTTCTTCACCGTTCTTGGTTCACGGTGCCATTAGTGTCTCATTAATTTTTCCAGTATCCCTTGAACAAAGGAAATACCTAATGGCTAAAAATTAAGTAGTTAGGGCTGGGCATAGTGGCTCACACCTTTAATCCTAGCACTTTGGGAGGCCAAGGTGGGCAGATCACTTGAGGTCACGAGTTCAAAACCAGCCTGGCCAACATGGTGAAACCCCGTCTCTACTAAAAATACAAAAAATTAGCCAGGTGTGGTGGTGGACACCTGTAATCCCAGCTACATGAGAGGCTGAAGCAGGAGAATTGCTTGAACCCAGAAGGTGGAAGTTGCAGTGAGCCGAGATCGCGCCAATGCACTCCAGCCTGGGCGACAGAGCGAGACTCCATCTCCAAAAAAAAAAAAAAAAAAAAAAAAAAGTAGTTAGGTCCACCAGCTATGAGTATTTATGTCCTATTGACTTAGAAGCTGTTTGAGAAAATAATACAATAAATTGGAAAAAATAATAGTTTGATCTCATTCTCAACCACAGTGAGCAGTGGGATGTGTGCATCTCTTGAGCACTGCGCGATGTCTCAACCTTGGAATTAGATTAGGCACCACCTCATTTTGTGCAGCAATTGCATTCATTACAGAAACCACTAAAAGGGCAGTTGTGCAAAGATAAGATATCGCCAAAAGGAATGTAGCTCAATCTAATGTTGACTGTATGATGTCCAATAGATGTCTACTATTACTACGTTCTGCCACAAAGTTAAAATATCTCAAAGTGCCTCTGTGAATTCCCTTTGATGCCTCAGCGTACCTCAGTGCGCAGTTTAGTAATCATCCATTTAGTTAAAAGAAATTTTCTGGGATGATTTGCAGTCGTGTCGCCCACAGCCACTCAAATATGTGTCTTAATGGCAGGTTAGGGGTTAAATAACTAAAGAGAGAGATGACAACGTCACCAAACTTGGGCAGGAGGCAGAGATAATAAGATGACATTTCAACCTAATTGGTAGGATGTGACAATTCTTTCTTTCATTTATAATATGTCTAACCTAGAGAGGTCTGATTTTAACTTCTTGGGCAGTATTGCATCATGTCTGCTCATCAGTGAAGAAGAGAATGACTGTTTAACTACACTATGTATGTGATAAGATTTTCTTACTTAACCTTTTTGGTTTTTTTCACATATTCTTTCCACAAACTGCCTATTTTCTGTGGATTAATGATTTGGCTGCAACATATTTTGTAATTATCCACTTCAGGCATTAGAAGGATGCTGTAAATCTTCTCAAAACCAGGACTGTACTAACATACCTTTTTGTAACAAGCTACAATCAAATTAGCTCAAATTAGCTAAATCCTAGTAGAAATGAGATCTAGTTGATAAGATTATTTTAATTTCAGTTACTTGAGCTTTGGGTATGAAAAAACTTTCCTAGACTGTGCACGGTGGCTAACACCTATAATCCCAGCACTTTTGGAGGCCAAGGTGGGAAGGTCACTTGAGGTCGGGAGTTCAAGACCAGCTTGGCCAACCCAACGTGATTAAACTCCATCTCTACTAAAAATACAAAAATTAGCCAGATGTGGTGGTGCACTCCCGTAGTACCAGCTACTCAGGAGGCTTAGGCAGGATAATTGTTTGAACCTGGGAGACGGAGGTTGCAGTGAGCTAAGATCGTGCCAGTGCACTCCAGCCTGGGTGACAAAGCAAGACTCCATCTCAAAAACAAACAAACAAAAACCTTCCTAAAAGGAACTGGGGGACATGTTGAAAAATTAGGTAGCTTTAGAATGATAACTAGAAGCTGCCTGCTTTACCTAGTCTGACGTTTTCAGAGGAGAGGATGTTGGCAGATGGTTTTCTCCTCAAAGAAACGCCCACTGCTTTACCCAGCCTACTGCAAATGAATAGAAATCAGGGATCATAACACCCTAGACAATCCTAGAAAGAATGGAATAGCATGGCATATGGGAAAGGACCACAAACATAGTCAGCCGATCTTTGCTGTCAAGAGCTCCGTGACCCTGGGATAGGCTTGTCCTGTGACATAAAGGATGTTCACCATTCCTGGGCCCACTCAGTGATTGTGTCAACCAGAATGCTTCCCCACCCCCACACATTTTCAAACACCCCTCAACTACTATGCATTGAGTAATGTGTCAGGCTCCAATCCAGTACTTAATGAACAGATGAGCAAACTGAGACTCAGAGACGTAAAAAGAGGAGCTAAGGTAGTATATGGAAGTACAGCTAGGATCTGGGTCTTCTGCCCTCTCGCATCCCCCATATCCTGTCTTGAACTCATGTCATGCACAGAGCAGCTGGAATAATTTCTTTCAGTGCCAACCTTGCAAAAAAATTGACAAAAATCCAATTAACTTGATATTTATTTGGATTCCTAGATCTAGAATGAAAGCTTCATGAAGGCGGGGGTTCTTATCTCTTGTTCACTGCTGTATTTCCAGCTCCTGAAATACTGCCTGGTGTATAAGAGGACCTCAGTAAATTTGTCTATTGAGTGCATGGGCACACTGCAATTTATGGGCAATGCTCACGAGTGATATTTACATTTAGGTAATCAGTATTTGTATAGGATATAAATCACTGAATTCTTTCTGAGTTTGCTTGGATGAACTTACTTCACAAGTTACTTGGAATCAAATAATACTCTACAGAAAAAATCATATTTGCAATGAGTTCTCACTGGCTAGAATATGATATTAGGAGTATTAATATGATACTGATAACTTTGTCATTGCCAATTGAATACCCTGCCTATGGCATTTTTCATTGGTGTGTATGTATATATATGTGTTTGTGTGAGTATATGTATATATCTTTTTTTTTCTTTTTTTTGCTGAGGGGATGGGGGACAGGGTTTCATTCTTGTCACCTAGGCTAGAGTGTAATGGTGTGATTTCTGCTTACTGAAACCTACCTCCCCACCCCATACTGAAGCAATTGTCCTGCCTCAGTCTCCCAAGTAGCTGGGACTGTAGGCATGCATCACCTTGCCCAGCTAACTTTTGTATTCTTTATAGAGACGGCGTTTTGCAACGTTGACCAGGCTGGTCTCAAACTCCTGAGCTCAGGTGATCTGCCCACCTCAGCCTCCCAAAGCACTGGGATTACAGCCGTGAGCCACCATTGCTGGACTGTTATTGTATATTTGTAATGCTGATCACAAAGGTATCACAAATATGAAACCCATCATAGCTGGAAGTTTATTACTTGTGTTAAGAATTTAAAATTCTGACTCTCCAAAGGAGAAACAAGAAGAAGAAAGCCTTCCCCTTTGATAACTGTGGCATTCCAGGCCCCGTAGGTTGGAGAGTACCAGTTTCTCTTGTAATGCAGGAGTATCTATGCCCTTGCCACTAGCTGTTCATGTAGAATAATATCATAAAGGGCATCTGTATGTAATAAGGTACTTATAGGTTTGTGGTATTGCTAAGAACATGAAAATGTCTGGTAACCTTATTCCAGGAAATTTAGTGATGTGTGCATAGTCTCATCTTCATTCATAACTTGATAGTTATTAGTCATGACTTAGGTTTGTTTATATTGGGACCAAGTTAGAAAAGGATTGAGATGTTTGGAGCCCCATCCTAGGTGGGGGAGGGTGGGACACAGCATCCTTACCACCCATGACATTTCTCAACTTAGGAACAATGGCCTCACCCAGTAGCCTTTGAGAAGCACTGCATTTGGGGAAAATCTGATTCCAAGTTTTGCTTACAGCTCACTACCAGTCGTAGACTAAGCCAGTGTTTCTGAACCTTTGATTTGGAGCTTTAATAAAACTACAGATGCCCAAGCCTATTCCCAGAGTTTCTGATTCTGTGTGTCTTGGGCAGTGCCAGTTACCTGCAATTTTGAAAAGCATCCCAGGAGATCGTAATGAGTCTGTGAATGGAGTCAGTTTGCAGCGATTGCTGTTTTTGGTCCTGCAGCCCTGACTGTGCAGCCGTGTGCAGTCAGCAAAGCCCTAAGGCCAATAACTCAAACACATTTTTAAGTGAATGTTTGCACCATACTGACCTTCCAGGAAACCTCTTGAAATCATTATTGAAGGACAAGCACATGAGACCAGCGTTTCCCAGAGTGTTTCCTGGAGATTACTAGAGTTGTGAGATATTTTTCAAAGAAGAATTTCGTGATCAAATAAGTTTGGGAAAATACTATGTAATGGATTCCTCTCTGGTAGGGTACGATGTACCTGAGCCTAGGACGATTCTGGGAGTTCTAAAGTAAAGACTTGTTTTGTTTAACCTCTGGGTTCCCAGTTTTCTTCTCCACAGAATCCATTTCCAGCTGGACATTTCTCAACCTTCTTAGGTACAATATCCCACCCAGCAGTCTATGAGAAGTACTGCATTTTGGGAAAAATCAGGAAAACCTGATTCCAAGTCTGACTTACACTTCATTGCCAGTCATAGACTAAGCCAGTGTTTCTCACCCTTTGATTTGGAGCTTTAAAAAAATCTACAGATGCTCAAGCCCATCCCCAGAGTTTCTGATTCTGTGTGTCTGGGGTGGTGCCAGTTACCTGCAATTTTGAAAAGTGTCCCAGGGGATCTTATATGTTTTAGAGGTTGAGAATCACTACATTAGGAAGAGTTGTCTAAGTTCTTCTTCTTCTTTTTTTTTTTTTTTTCTATAAGACTACGGTGCGTGTCTCCACTGTGTTTTTGTTTGTGTTTTCTGAGATGGAGTCTTGCTCTGTTGCCCAGGCTGGAGTGCAGTGGCATGATCTTGGCTCACTGCAGCCTCCCCATCACAGGTTCAAGCGACTCTTCTGCTTCAGCCTCCCAAGTAGCTGGGATTACACTCACCACCACGCCCGGATAATTTTTGTGTTTTTAGTAGAGACGGGGTTTTGCTATGTTGGCCAGGCTAGTCTCGAACTCCTGACCTCATGTGATCTGCCCGCCTTGCCCTCCCAAAGTGCTGGGATTACAGGCATGAACCACCACACCCAGCCCCATTTTACAACTCTTTTTGATGTTAAGCATGTTTCCTAGAGGGAATTGGTTTCATGTTGAAAGAAAACTGAGGTGATATGGGGACTCTGAGGTCCTTAGCCTCCTGGGGGCTCTGCCTGCTGTTCCCAGCCTGGGCATCGGCACAGTTCCATTGCAAATCTGGACTTGCAGGTTAATTTGAGATGTAAAGAAGCGGTAAAGAGGGGCAGCACTGTTGAAGGGGTTTCCTGAGCTCCTCAGGGCAGATGCTACTGGGACCTGGAACTCTGGTTGGAAAATACAAATGATAATTTGGTAACATGGAGGTTGAATTGAAGCTTTCTTGGAGAAACGTTCTTTGTATGGGTTCTTCTCATTTTACACCTCATGGCCTAACACCTTCTAGAATCTCCATTCCTCAGCACCATGCTGTGAGAAGCCAGGCAGGAAGTGGCACAGTAAGATTAATGGGTTTTTACAATTACCAATCAGGGAATTAATAGGGAGATAGTAAAGGGGTGTATCACAGCCACAGGCTTCTCTGATGGTTGTTTTCCAAGAAAGAGCTCAAATGACAACATCCAAGGCTGAGATGAAGTCGGAGGAATCTACCTATGCTGTGGAGATTGTCTCATCACTTGTGGAAAATGCTCAGGTAGCTGTAGGTTTAATCAGAGGCAAGAGAATTAAGGTTGTGCTTTTGTGGCCCATGAGTGCTTTGATGAGGACGTTTGTGTCTTTCCTTCTTTCGGTCCCGTGTGGTCACTCACCTTGCCACAGAAGTTATGCCAGGATTTACTAGAGAGTGTCAACTCAACCAGCAAGCGGCTCCTTCGGCTTAACTTGTGGTTGGAGGAGAGAACCTTTGTGGGGCTGCGTTCTCTTAGCAGTGCTCAGAAGTGACTTGCCTGAGGGTGGACCAGAAGAAAGGAAAGGTGAGCCAAGCACTGTGAGTGTTCAAGCACTATGTAATCTATTTTACGTATGTAATTCTCTCATGTATTCTCTTTAATAACCCTGGGAAGTACTTCTTAGCAGTGCTTTATGGAATAGATGAGACCCAGCGGTTCAGGGAGATAAGATAACTTGTCCAGGGTTACACAGCTAGACAGTGATAGGACTAGAATTCAGACTTAAGTCTATTTGGGTTCTAAAGTCCACTTTGAGGTCCCCCTGCCCCATCCTGCTGTCTACGGTTGGTACCCAGGACAGTGTCACCATCCCTTGCTTCAGAGTATCTACTTTGCTGTTGGTCTGGATGACAAGCCCTTAATTCTGTTAGGAGAAAAATCATAAAGAGATGCTTTATAACTGCCTTATAACTGATGGTTTAATGCTTACTTTGTACTGCTATCAGCCTTGCACTGCAGCTGTCAGCAGTCATTCTAGGACATACTGTGAAAGAAAACAATATCATAGCCAGTTAGAGGATCCCTGCATTCATCTTCGCTAAGTGTATTTAGATTATACTTTTGATTTCTGAATAGTCAATTAATGGTATTTATTAGCAATACTTTATGCCTAGAATTTAGTGGCGTTAGCTAGAATTTTATAATGGCATAAACAGTATCCTGGAGGAAATAGGATATCACCATGTAATACAAAGCTAACATTAGTAAAATAAATATTAATCCAAGGTTAACCATTAGCCTAAGCTTTCTCTTAATTCAAATTCCAAGCTAAGTCTTACTGTGTCAAAAAAAAATATTTCAGCCCAGTTTGACATTCTAATGTGAAAATCACCATAGACTTGCAAAGGCCCAGTATGAGTAATATTAACTGGCTGCATAACTTAATTACAGAGTACCAATAACATTGCCTGGGACCACAGGATTCTAAGCTTTCAGGCTTAGGGATCACAAGATTTCTCAAATGTTAGCTCTGGGAGGTGATTGTTTAGTTAGACTATTACGTTCTGCAGATGAAAAAACAGCAGAGGTAGGTGATCTTTCAAAAGTCACAAGTCTGGGTGGATCACAGAAATGGCCTCTTTACTACTTACTTTGTTACTTCAGTGTTGCCTTTAATTGGAGTATTTTTAAGAAACACTTGGGCTGAGTCTATGAATGTAGCAGACTATTAGATGTGGCCCAGTTTGTGCTTATGTGTTATTCAATCTCAACTGAGCAACATAAACATGCCGCAAAGGCTGCAGGGTGCATAGAGTGATGGCTGTCAGTATTCAGCCTCATTGGTCTGACTTCTCTCAAACCCAAAGTATGAGTATGTGGGCAACAGATTTGGGAAGCATTTGAAATATTATTCTAATTGCTCAGTTACTGCAGAGCAATCATTATTTTTTTGTTGGCAGTTCCAACCCCAAAGTGCAGGCTTTGTGGCTGATGCAAGGTAGCAGTGAGAAGAAGAATGAAGAGTATAAGCTGAAACTTAGTGTTTGAAAATGAGCATAATCCTGAGGAATGCTTGTCATCAGAGTAATGGTTGATGATGTTAATGAAAATTGAATGTACTTCTCTGCTGCTATGTTGTTGTGAATTATACTTGCTTATTAGTAGAAAATACTGAGATTTGGTAGCCTAACACATTTTGGGAGAGTGTCAGTTAGAATGGAATCAAATGACTGTACTTTTAATGCCAGAAGCTGATCTGGTACTATATATAGGCCATAATTTTGCATCAGATCCAATGCAGCTTAGGATTTTTTCTTCTCAAGACATTCCCAGATAAACAAAAACTGAGGGAGTTTGTTACCCTTAGACCTGTCCTACAAGAAATCCAAAGGAACTTCTGAGGGCTGAAATGAAAAGATACTAGAGAATAACTCAAAGATGTACAAAGAAAAAAGTACTATCACTGTAGATAAATACATGGACAATTATAAAACCTAGCATTGTTGTAGCAATGGCTTGGAACTCTACTTTTTGTCTTCTACATGATTTAAGAGAATAATGGATTTTTTTTTAAAAAAAGGTATTGGTTTATGTTTTTGGATACATAATATACGAGGATATAATATTTCTCCTTAGCTTTACTGAGGTATGATTGACAAATAAAAATTGCATGTGTTTAAAGTGTAAAAAGAAAAAGAATTTTTTTCTCCAGTGTATATATGTGTCCCTGACAGTGGTTGTCAGTGGTCTAATTTGGCTATTAGCCCATTCCATTTACTGGGACTTCAAGCTAAGAAATTATTTGAGGTACTTCAAAATGGGACTTGTTGAAATGGCTGTCTTTCTCCAAGTGAGCCTGTCATTTGGTGCTCTTTTTACTACAATTAATAGCAAACCCAGTTCATACTGGCTCTAGCAAATAAGAGAATCTGTTGTTGGCTTATATACATACACAGGGGCTACTGATTTCTAGGATACCTTAGTCCAGGGACTCAGATAGCTTGGCTTTGCTTTTTATGGTGGCTTCCTTTTTAGACAATGATAAAAAAAAGTCTGTAGCATCTCTAAATTTAAGTCAAGCTGAAGAGTGAGCATGCCTCTCTATGTCTTTCCAGCTGATCCCAAGATTGACTCTCATTGGCTTTGACTGGGTCATGTGTCTATCTTTAAACCAATCTCTTTGACAGGGTGGATTGAATTACTCAACTGACCAGCTCTTAGTCATGTGTATCACTCCTGAAGCCAGATGATTTTCTTCACAGCTGAACTACAGAAAATGTTGGTTTTACTAGGTGCTCTCAGGCTCTTTAAATAAAAATACCAGGACTTTGAGGGGAAATAAGCAATAAAGGTTCTTTTCCTCAACTTGGACCATACAGTTTTGCTAATGTACATTGTAAGTTTTATATTATCTAAGTAGTCTTTCATTGGAAGTGTTGATTTATTTTTTCCTTACCAGGTTTGTCTGTTGGTGTCTTTGAATTATCTGTGAATACTTTAATCATGTTCTTCTAATATGCTGCATTCACCAGGACAGTATTTAAAATCCCAGTGAATGGAGGAATATAGTCACTTGCAGTGCCTAGTTATAGCCACGGCCCTCCTGAGAAAGGGCCAAGTTACAGAACGTTACTATCTGCAAGGTGATACATATAATCTGTCTATCTATAAATTATATATTTTTTGTCCCAGCAGTTCTAGGACTCATTTGGGTAACAGAGATAGCTCAGATACAGCCTGGGCTGGTAGGTGATCATCTTTAAGAAAAATTGCAACCTTTACATCTGAATTATTTTCCTGTTAACTAAGATGAATAATTTTCTAAATTGAGAAAGTCAGAATAAATTTGTTAATCCTTTGAAATTATAGTGAGCTCACCATTTAAAAATACCTACAACAGCAGCTTTCCGTCTACATGTTAAGAGACTAATGTAACCATATCAAGATAATCCGTTTTTATTCTCTGCTTTATGGGCCTTGGGTCCCCAGAAAGTGAAATTATGAGTATGTATTAATATGTTGCTGATACTCTGTAGCTGATGTATTTTACATGTTCATTCTAGGAGTTAGAGAAGCCCAGACTTCAATTAAAATATTTTTATACAGTAAGTGCCAGTTTTTTTTGTTTTGTTTTGTTTTGTTTTTAGACAGAGTCTCACTCTGTCACCAGGCTGGAGTGCAGTGGCACGATCTCGGCTCACTGCAACCTCCGACTCCCTGGTTCAAGCGATTCTCCTGCCTAAGCCTCCCGAGTGACAGGTTTTAAAAACAAAACAAAATTTGTGTTTCACAATTAATATGTTGCACAATTCTGCCACAAATATAACATTTTAATTTGGGGAGTTTAAGAGGACATTATTTGAACTTTATCCTTAGTTTTACTAATTGCAAAGTAGGTGAGAGGGGATATCAAAATAGCATAATTGAGTATGAAACTATGAGTCAGGCCTGAATATGCTATTTATATCTGGCAGTATTACCTGCTCTCCTATTGCTCCCCAATCCTAGCTGCTTTTAAGATTTTATATTTGATTTTCACAGTTTTACTGTGATGGCTTTTAGGTATATTTTATTTATATTTCTCCTAATTGTGGTTCATGGAGCTTGTTGGATCTCAGGCTTGATACCTTTCATCAGTTTTGGAAAACTCCTTGTAGCTATCTGTGTAGCCGTTGCTTCTTTCTCATTATTCTCTTTTCCTCTTGGAATAATAGTTACACGTACATTACTTTTTCCTGTCTTAAATGTGACTTAAGCTGTTTCTCATATTTTCAATTCTTTGTTTTTCTCTCTGTGCTTCTGATTAGATTTTCTTCTGCTGACACCTGTTTCACTCCAATAAAACTTTTCTGTGTCTATCCTTTTAAACCTATCTATTGAGTTTTTAATGTAATTATTGTATTTCAGTTTTCCTCTTTTTTATAGAAGCTAGGTATCTGGTAAGATTCTCTATCTTTAATATATTTTCTTGAACACAGTAATTGTAGTTATAGTAAAATGCTATTTTGATGAATAAAATATCTAGATTACCAGTGAGTCTGTGTATTACCAGTTTTGTATCTTGGTTTTGGTCATTTGATCTTGTTTTCTATCAGGCTTTGTAATTTTTTATTAAGTGCCTGATACTGTATGTGAACATTTTTAGGCTCTCTGGATGCTGTTCTATTCCTCCAAGGAAGATCTATTTCTTTTCTGTTGGCAGTAGGATAAAGCTATTCATCTAGATTAAATCAACCATTATGATAATTGGAGTGAAGTTTCAAGTTAGTCTGTTTTCATTTGGTTTGTTTCTAAGGTATAAGCCATTGAGAGTCTCAGCAGAAAGCCTGAAGTATTTACCAGGACTCTGTCCATACTAGGCCCTAAATGTCAACTCTTAAGTTGAGTGCCATGGTCATAAAGTCAGCTTAGCGTTTTAGCCTCTTAGCAGAAGCTTTCTGTTTATTTTCTCCTCCTTTTACAACTCACAGCTTTGGAGTGCAAAGGCTGGAAAGAATGTTGGGTTCATTTTTCTGAAGCTGTCTTTTCTCTCGGATCTTTGTGCCTCACATTCTGGCTGCATTGGAAGTCCTAGATTTCATTTTTCAGCTCCTCATCCCAGTAAGACTGCTCCAGGCTTTGGGCTGCAGCTGTCTGCTCGTCCAGTGCAACCTGGCCAGGAATTAGTGAATGCTCTGAAAAGAGCAAGCAGTAGAAAGGAGGGTCTCACTTCAGGGTGTTTTCCTTAACCCCTCAAGTTTTGTGTGCCTTTATTGAAGACCAAAGTCTGCAAACAGCAAACAGCAGCTATTTCTCCTCCTCTTCCTCCTCCTCCTTTCTGTCCTTTCCCTTCCTTCTTCTTCATCCAGCTTTTGTAATTGTTCTCAGCGGGAGACTTAGTGTGATATTACCATTACTTTTTGTAATTCTTGTGCAATCCAAGTTTTTCCATGACTGCAATACATATGGTAGTATTATCTATTTGTATCAAGGTTTTCCTATGGGAAAAGAGGGTAGGCAAATACCATAACTGTTTTTAGGTTAAAATCATGGTATATGCTATTAGCATTCATCCTTTAACTTTCTGTTTATTCAGTGTTGAACATGCTAGAACCTAAGGACAATGCTGTGAACTAAATAGGCATAATCCCTGCCCTTGGCTGAGGATCTTATAGTATGGTAGAGACAAATACCTATGTGTCCGTCTCTATCTCTACTTAAATCTACATTTTTATATAATTACATGTTATTGTAAGAGCTACAAAGGAAAAGTAAAATGAATTATGAAAGAGACTTAGAAGAGTGACTTAATTTACACCAGGGGAAAGGTTTTAGAGAATGTGCCCCTTTGGAAGTGTTGGCTGAGACCTGTAGTGAAAAGCAATTACCCAGAGCCTTCTAGAAGAAACAGCACATGTGCTGCAGACCCTGTCAGCCAAGAAGTTGGTTCATTTAAAGAACTGAAAAGATGCCAGTGAGGCTTTCAGCAGTGTAGAGGACATGGAGGGAGTGGGAACAGAGGAAAGTGACGTGAGCTGAATTTGGAGCTGGGGCCAGATCAAAGTGGGCCTTTTAGTCCATGCTGAGGATTTTGGAATTTCTCCTAAGTGACATGGGAAGCCGTCGCAGGATTTTGAGTATGGCACTTTCATGGTTGAAAGTTATCACTCTGGACTGGGTGTGGTGGATAGGCTCAAGTTCATTTTTACATAAATGTTTTGGTGTTAAAACTTCCTGAATGAGTCAGGGTGCTGTGACTCATTACTGGATTCCTAGCACTTAAGGATGTGAGGCAGGAGGATCACTTGAGGCTAGGAGTTTGAGACCAGCGTGGTCAACGTAGCAAGAACTCCAAGAGAAAGTATGATGTAAGGAAGGAGAGGGTGGTTTGCAGGGTCGACGTGGTCTTGATATCAGATAGGATGAAGACTCAAAAATGTTGGGATTTGGCAATATGGAAATCAGGGGTGACCTTGGGAAGGACAGTTTGAGTGGAGTGGTAGAGGCAGACGTCAGAAGGTCAGACTGAGTCAGACTGAGGAATCGGGAGAGAGAAAATAGAGACAGCTTGGGTCAGTGCCTTTTTAAGAAACTTGGTATAGGTCTAGAGGGAGGTGGGTAGCGCAGTTTAGAGTAGTATCTAACACACCCACAAATGTAAGTTCATAGCGAATACAGGGATGGTAGGATCTGCAGTAAAGCAGTTCAGAATCTAATCATTTTGCTTGTGTATTAAAGCACAGGCTAAGCTACCCCCAAATACAGTCACTTAAATAAAAGTTAATATTTTTCACTTAAAGTCAACAGAGGATGATTCACTCCACACGCAAGAGAGGCTATAGGAAAATAAATGTCTTCTTCCTCCAGGCAGCAGGATCACAGGTGGCTGATTCCTAAGTACAGGAAGGATGTACACAAAGTCCCAGAGCATGACAAATGGTCACTCCAGTGAGCCATCCTAAAGTCCTCTCACTTGACTTTGTGCTGGCCTAGCTCACATAATAGGGCTGGACTTTTGAGAGTGATAATGCTAGAAATGGTGATAAATATTTATTTTAAATGCAAATGGCATAGTGACTAGCTAGGGGGATAGAATTTGATGATGGCATCATTGGTAGCCCACATGTTACCTTATGCCTCAGGGACGACCTGCGGTGCCACCTGCGCCTGGACCACGAAGGTTGCAGCTGATCTGGAACATGTTCCAGCCCATCTGCTGAGTGAAAGCAAGCTGTGGTGCTGGAGTAATTTTTTCCATTGCTCCAGTCAGTGTGGCTACACCTATGGGATCCAGTTATTCCGCATGCCAACTATCTCTTTATTTTGCTTTTGAATTAACTGTGGCAGAGGGCTGGACTGATGTCTCATGTGATGTGATGCCAATAGTTTGGCTCAGCCATTGGCTGTGAGTGCTATAGGGGACCTGGGAGGCATCTCAGCCGCCTCTCTAACTTTACAGTTTTACAGTTAAAGACACAGTATTAACTCCAAAGTTGCTGCAGCTTCTTACTCAAGTCAGACGGCTGGAAAGCAGCAAGTCCTGGACCCAAACCCATGCCTTGTTATTTTAAACCCAATGGGAGTGTGTCTTATTTGCCCTTATATTTTCGTTGTCTGGCATGCTAACCTGATACCTACTAGATGCAACAGGATGGTTGGAGTTGCTAATTAAAATTTTCCTTTCTTGTCTATTTTTAATTTTTTTTTTTTTTGAGATAGGGTCTTGCTGTCACTGAGGCTGGAGTGCGGTAATGCAATTGCAGATCACTATAACCTTGAATTCCTAGGCTCAAGAAATCCTCTCACTTCAGCCTCCTGGGTAGCTGGGACTACAGATGTGCGCCACCATACTAGGCTTTTTTTTTTTTTGTAGAGGTGGGGTCGGGCTTCGTTGTCTAGGTGCTGCTCTCAAACCCCTGGCCTCAAGCCGTCCCCCTGCCTTGACCTCCCAAAGCGCTGGGATTACAGGCCTGAGCCACTATGCCTGGCTACTAATTGAGATTTTCTTATGCCACACGACTCATCCCCAGCAGTAGAGCTAGTATCGCGTGGAGAACAAAATTATGAATTCTCCAAGGCCAAGCACAACTCTCAGTCTATTTCTAGGTGCAAGAAGGGGCACTGGTTTGTCAGGCTTTGATGAACGACACATAAGAGGAGATCTTCTTTCTTTGTGAATAAATACATGTTACCCTCTCTCTCTTTCCCAAAGGGGAGCAGAGTCTAAGGGGGTTTGGATGTTTCCATGCTTTTGAGGTGGGTGTGGAGGGCGAGAGGGTTGCTCATGTAATTTGCGGGGTGTCTAAGAGGGGGGTAAGCGAGCTGTGTGTTTTCTTATTGGATGGCCAGTGATTGCACTTGCTGACCTGCCCCAGTGCTAATGGAGAGCAGTAAGGTGTGGCAGTATAACCAGTTGCACAGGAAACAAGTCAGCCTCCTCAAATTCATGATCTCTGAGAGATACACTAGTAGGACCCCACTCACAAGCGGGCCCAAGTATTGGCTCTGGCCTGCAGAGGTAAGACTGATGGGGCAATCAGCAGGTGGGTTAGAAAGGCTGTCATATCACAGCAGGGTAGCATGGGGCTGCCTGTCGGGGGTCTGCTGGATAATGTGGTGAGATCTAATGAGAGATCATTAGTGCCCAGAGGAGGGGACTGAGGTCCCTGCCAGCAAGACTCGTTGGGGGTCTCCATCCATATCATCTGTGATGACCACCGAGAAGGTGACAGCAATCTTATCACCACTGCAGCAGGTTCATGTGAAAGATTAGGAATAGGCCGGGTGCAATGGCTCAAGCTTGTAATCCTAGCACTCTGAGAGGCTGAGGCGACTGGATCATCTGAGGTCAGGACTTTGAGACCAGCCTGGCCAACATAATGAAACCCCGTCTCTACTAAAAATACAAAAATTAGCCAGGTGTGAAGGTGTGCCTGTAATCCCAGTATTGGGGAGGCTGAGGCAGGAGAATCTCATGAACCTGGGAGGTGGAGGTTGCACTGAGCTGAGATTACCCCACTGCACTCCAGCCTGGGCGATAGAGCAAGACTCTGTCTCAAGAAAACAAGACAACAAAAAAAGTGTAGGGATAGCAACAAAGAAATGACTGCTCACTACTGAGGGAAACATCCTCTCCAGCCTCTCTGGGCTCTATCATCAGAGGAGCCTGCACAGAGAACAGGGATGGGGTGTGGCTAGCAGACAGCACCCACTCCCGTCTCTCGGCCCACCTACCTCTTCCTGTCTGAGCCATTAGACCACCTGCTTGGCCTGCTCTGCAGAAAGGAAGGGGAACTTAGAATTGGGCATAAGATTGAAATGTGTACCTTTTTTAAAGAAGAAGTCTTTTTATTATTAAAATATCTCAAAAGATAGAAAAGTATGGTACAATGAACTCTCATGAACCTATCACTCAACTTCATTGATGATTAACATTTTTCCAATCTTACTTCATCTAAGCCTCCGCAACTTTTATTTTGTTTCTTGAAAAAAATCAGGGGAATATTTTAAAGTAAATCCAAGCCGTTCTGCTCTTTCACACGTAAATACTTTTGTTTATACTTCTAACAGATGAAAACATTTTTTGATAAGCCATTATACTATTACTACTTCTAACAAAATTTCTCAGTATCCTAGAATACCCAGTGAATATTCAAATTATTACAGTTGTTTCAAAGGTTTTGTTTTGTTTTGTTTTAACACTTGCTTTTCTGATGTTTGTTTGATGGAGGAGCAGGATTATTTTTCCTATTGAAAGTTTTACCTGCTTAACGATTACTTCCAAAAGATGTCTATTTAATGTGTTTCTCTATCTCTGGTATTACCTGCAAGCTAGTAGGTAGATTTAGAAACTTGATTAGATTCAGCTTCAGTTATTTTTAGGCAAGAATACTTAATAGGTGGTGCTGTATATACTGGACTATTTTCATAACCCAAAAAATTAAGTGTTCTGGGATGGACTGAGAATTAAGGTTGCTAACTTCCCAGGAGGAAAAGGCGACAACCAGAGTGCAGCTAGTGGTAGCAATTATTGGAAAAAATAAAACCACAATGTTCAGCCTCTTCAGATACCCTGGTTATAGAGGAGAGGTGTAATGGAATTTTAAAATTGCATTTTGCACTAGAGATCCAAATTCAATAACTGTGTGAGTTGGCAGACAAGGCAGTTTTGAGAACCAGTCCCACAGCTCTAAAACGGTCATATTATGGAGAGGAGAGAGGAATTTTTTTTTTTTTTGAGACGGAGTCTCGCTCTGTTGTCAGGCTGGAGTGCAGTGGCGCTATCTCACCTCACTGCAACCTCCACTTCCAGGGTTCAAGAGATTCTCCTGCCTCAGCCTCCCGAGTAGCTGAGACTACAGGTACCCGCTACCATGTCCAGCTAATTTTTGTGTTTTTAGTAGAGACGGGATTTCACCACATGGGCCAGGGTGGTCTTGATCTCCTCAGGAGACCTCGTGATCTGCCCGTTTCAGCCTCCCAAAGTGTTGGGATTACAGGTGTGAGCCACCACATCTGGCCGGAGAGAGGATTTTAAGAGATTTTAGACAGTCTGCCATCTTATCCCAAACCTTGTGGAATGGCAGTAGGGCTCCTTGAAGCACAGTTCCATGGTGTACAGGGCTGGAGGGCACTGCCAGGGTCGGACTCCTGAACCTCAGGCAGCACGAGGTGGGCTGGCTGTGGCTTTAGTGCCAGTTCCACACCATATGTGTGGCTGCCCTGTTACTGTCCACCTGCTCTGCCAGCATTTGTTGTGCAAAATGAGGCTATGTATTTATTGTTCCTGCATGATAGGTGAGCCTCTTGTGAAAGAGCAGCATAGCTTTTTGGTTCTGTCTGATAAACTGGGCTGCATGGAGGAACCCTATGAGCAAGAGGCTGGAAATGGATGGCAGATTCCAAGAGGCTGTGGAAGTTGTTGCAAGAGACCATTGGCACTAGGTTGCATTTGCTGGGTCTGGAGGACCTGCAGGAGAGATGGTTTCCAGGACTGAGAATCTCCAAGTCCCCAGTAGAGCAGCTCATACAAGAAAGAATGAACTTTAAACATCTGCCAGCTGGGTGCAGTGGCTTGTGCCTGTAATTCCAATAGTTTGGGAGGCCAGGGCTGGAGAATGTCTTAAGGCTAGGAGTTTAAAACCAACCAACCTGGATAGCATTGCAAGATGCCATCTCTACAAAACCAGCCAGGCATCATGGTGCACTTGTATTCCCAGCTTATCTGGAGGCTGTGGCGGGAGGATTGCTTGAGCTCAGGAATTTAAGGCTGCAGTGAGCCGTCATAGCATCACTGCAATCAAGCCTGAGTAACAGAGACTTTTTCTCTAAAAATTAAAATAAGTATCTGCCAGGCCCAAAGAATGGATTGCCAGCTTATGATGGAACCAGTCCTCTTAAGGACTCTTACTCCTTTTCTTCTACCTGCTTTATCCCCAGCACCTTGAGGGAGCTAGCAGTTGTAAAGAGAGAAGCCTTATACATCCCCTTCCTGAAACTAGCCTATCACTGGAAGGAGAGATGGAACTCTTAGGTTTGCAGTATTGATCATTAAGAGAGATTGGTATGGGAGGCCGAGGTGGGCAGAGCACTTGAGGTCAGAAGTTCGAGACCAGCCTGGCCAACATGGTGAAACCCTGTATCTACTAAAAATACAAAAATTACCTGGATGTGGTGATTCACACCTATAATACCAGCTACATGGGAAGCTGAGGTAGGAGAATGGCTTGAACCTGGGAGGCAGAGGTTACAGTGAGCAGAGATCGCACCACTACATTCCAGCCTGGGCAACGGAGTGAGACTTAGTGTCCAAAAAAAAAAAAAATTGGAATATTTCATGACTTAAGTGACTCTTAGTCAACTAAGAGTGAACAGAAAGGTCCTGGCACCTGCCAAGGTTTTCATCCAGTGCCGAGGAAGGCCACCCGCCCACTGCTGGATTTTTAAAGGGCCAGAGGGAGAATAAGATGATTCGTTTGATCACTTTCCAGCAGTTGTGCTTGTTCAACATTCTGGTTGCTATGACAGTCAGTTGATGTTTGAATGAAGAAGTGGGTAAGGGCTAATTTGCAGGGTACAGCTGGATGAGGAGAGGATGAACCAAGCTGACTTAATCTTTTTCATGTCTTGAGATCAAAGTAAAACCTCCGAATGCTACCGCCATGGGAGTGTATCCTTTTAAATGATCTGCTGGCAGGAGGTGAAAAACCCACTTCCAGTTCATTTCATCCTTTGTCCCCTGTGTATTTGTTATTTGGTATCATTTCCACCAGTTGTAACAAGTATAATTTTGATTCTGAATCCCTCGTACTGCCTTCTTGCTTTTCAAATACGATATTTAGGATTTTTGGGACTGCAGCAATTTTCTGGAGAAAGTACTCAATTATATCTCATTACGGATTATTTATCTTCACTGGAACAGAGTGAAAAATAGTCTCTTTTGTGTTTTGTGGATGTTCATGAAAAATCTTACTGTCAATTATCAGTGACCCCAGATAATACACATTAAATGTGTAAACATTTAATAGTGCTGTGAAATGCCATTAGCGTTTGCTATCCAATTTCCACCTTTAGCATGGGAATCGTGCCTTGCAACATTATCCAACCAAAGGAAAAAATAGTAATTTTATTTGCAGGTGGGTAGATAGAATTAGTTTGAACTACTAGAATAATTTATTGTAGTTGCTGAGTTAAAACTTCTTTGTGAGTAGTATGTACCCAGAAAGTGGTTTATTTGCTGGCCAAGGAAGCCTTTCCCTTCATTGGTACGTAAGCCTTGGCCATAGGTAAGGCTAGTTTATCTGAACAGACTCTTGAGTCCTGTTGCTTTTTGCTTTCTTGATTTCTCATGTTAACCTGTTCTGAAAATTACTGTAAGTTTTCTCTTAGAATCAGTGTTAAGCCTCCAATACTGCTGTTGTTTCACTGAATATCCATGAAGAATGACAAGGAAAGGTGAACATTAATGGCACAAATTTCAACATTTTCATTCTTTTCATCTAGGGAGATAGAGTTTGATAGGTAGATAAACATGTAAATCTTCTGGAGAAGTGGCTCTGGTGTTACAGGTTGAGGAGATGGAACTCTAAAAGTTTAAAAAGCATATGAAAACATGATTATTTTAGGGGAAGTATGTAAATATTTTTGTTGTTGTTGCCGATGTTTTTCTGGTTGACTGGCAGACTTTGCTGTTCTCAACATGAGAAAAACACTTGAAGGTGGCTGATGTTTTCTATCCATTGAAAATAGGAAATGATTGGCAAGTTCCATTGATGTGGGAACCCCTCAGAAAGAATGTAATGACTTATTTGATGAAAATGAGGCAGGCAGTTTTAATCCAAATAATTGGAAATAAATCCATCTTATCTTTGTAGGCCCTACAGAAAACTTACAGTAACTTCTTTTAGGAAATTCAGGCATGTCATACATTAGCTTTCCAGGCAGCCCTTGTCTGATAGCAAAGAGGGCAGAGGTTTCTGTTCCCATTTTGCTGAGGGACTGTAGGTTTGCTTTAAAGCTCTGAAAAGTCAGTGGCTGAAATAGCTGAGGCCATTTTTCAGTGGGCTTTGGCTGGGAAAGCTGAAACTAATGCCTTTCTCTGTGACTTTCCAATATAATTTTTTTCAGATATTGGTAACTTTCATCCAGAGTTACTTTCAAAAACCCCTTTCTGCTTTAGCCATTAACTTAAAATATGTGTAGATCCTTTTTAGTATAAATGCCGTATTAGCCATATTAGTTGGGGAGAAAGAGTGGCAGCTGACAGCGACTCTTTCCCTGGTTCTGTTTTTTTTTTTTGTTTTTGTTTTTGTTTTGGTGGGGGGCTACTCTTAATTGCTTTCTGGACTTTGGCCAGATAGGCACCAGGCTTAAGTCAGTAACAATTCTCAGGTGCCCCCCACTCTAGAATTCTAGGACTCCCTGAATCATAGGTGTTTAGGTAGGGACTAGCTCCTGTAGGATAGCAGGTTTGTCAGATGAGTGTCTTAGTTATATCGGATACGGAGTTTCAAAAATCAGAGACCTGTAATCCCAGTGCTTTGGGAGGTTGTGGCAGGCAGATTGCTTGAGCCCAGGAGTTTGAGACCAGCCTGGGCAACATAGCAAAACCTCATCTTTACAAAAAATACAAAAATAGCTAGGTGTGGTGACACACTTCTTTGGTTCCAGTTACTTGGGAGGCTGAGGTGGGAGATCACCTGAGCCTGGGAGGTTGAGGCTGCAGTGATTGTGCCACTGCACTTCTGCCTGGGTGACAAAGCAAGAACCTGTCTCAAAAATAAATAAATACATAAATCAGAGGCATCTCTGTACGTTTTGTTGTTGTTGTTTGTTGTTTTTGTTTGTTTGTTTGTTTTTTGAGATGGAGTCTTGCTCCATTGCCCAGGCTGGCTGCTATGCAATAGCGTGATCTCGGCTCACTGCAACCTGTGCCTCCTGGGTTCAAGCCTCAGCTTGATTCTTGTGCTTCAGCCTCCCAAGTAGCTGGGATTACAGGCACCTGCCACCACACTTGGCTAATTTTTGTGTTTTTAGTAGACATGGGGTTTCACCATGTTGGCCGAGCTGGTCTCGAACTCCTACCCTCGTGATCTGCCCACTTCGGCCTCCCAAAGTGCTGGCATTACAGGCTTGAGCCGCCAAACCCGGCCTGTACATGTCTTAAATTAGAACAACCCTCCCAGCGTGTGCCACTGTCCTGAATGCCTTGGAAACCCTGCAGCCATGGAGTCAGAGGTACCACTCCTTTCTGTCCCTGTCCTCATTACCTCTTGCTCTCTGTTTGTGTCCGGATTAGGTTATGGCTCCTTTTAGGTGTTAATGAGGAGTGTACTATTGAGACAGCTGGAATGGCTTCTGTACCTTTGTAGGGGGAGAATACAATTCTTTGTTGGATTGGTTAAATAATCCTTTCAAGTGTTCAAGCATTCAAATTATAGCCATCAGCAAAAATATGCTTAAAGAAAATTGGCTTCCCATAATTAAAATGATTAAAACGAATATTAAGCCTTGGGAAACAGCCAACACTTTTTGTTTCTTACCTTTCTAATGAGGTATAACTTACATAAAGTACAAAAATCTTAAGTATACAGTTCAGCAGAGTTTTACATATGAATATATCTGTTTAATCACCACACAAATCAAGATGTAGACCACTTCTAGAACCAAAAAAAAAAAATAGGCCCCCAATCTACCCTCCCTTCCATTTAACATCCCCTGCCCCAAAGCGTGCCACTATTTGGACCTCTAATCTAATCAGACATCTTGGATTACTTTTGCCTGCTCTTGAACTTCATACAAATAGCATCATAGAGTATATCTTCCTTTATGTGTGACTTCTTTAATTGTGTCTCTGAGATTGATCTGTATGGCTGCATGTAGCAGTAGTTTGTTCTATTTGGTTGCTGTGAAGTATTGTATGAATATAGTATAATTTATCCATTCTACTGTTGATGGATAATTTAGTTTATCCAGTTTTGGACTATTAGGGATAAAATTTCTAAATATCCTTGTTCGTGCTTTCTGGTGGACATGTCTGTTCTTGACTTACTGGGTCATAGCATAGGCCTAGGTTTATCTTTAGAACACACTGATAAACAGAGTTACAGATTGGTTATATCAATTTCGACTCTACCAGCAATGTATGTGAGCTCCAGTTGCTCCACATCCTTGAAAGCATTTGGTATTGTCAACAACCAACTCGTAATGCTAAAAAAAAGTGCTAGCTCTAATTTAAAAGTAGATTTTTTTTTTTCATCTCCAGAACTCAGATACTTCTTCTCAAGTGAAGTTTTAATTCACCAGGTGGCAATATTCAGTACTGGGTTCAAAAAGCTTTATTGTATCACAAGGTCTATAAAAGGACAAAGCATCACTCCTGCTTTGATGAGTTTACTGTATTTCACTAGGGTGTCAGAGAGAATAGTCCATCAGCAGTGTGAGTCAAGTTATGATCAAGTGCCATGATCAATAGCCTCTCAAACCTATCTTAACAGCAGGATCCAGTCCCCACCCTAAATAGTCAAGCACATTATGCTTGTCTGTAGCATCTTTTCAGTTTTCCTCTAGCACTGTGCTGTCATTAACTGTGTACTTTTCAGGATATTCCCACTACGCCCATCTGGCTAATGGTAGCACTGTGTACTCCATATCTGTCTCCTTAAAAGCTCTCTCATTTCTTTTCTACATTATCAGAATTGATTGCCCCATATCTTGCTTTTGACTCAGGTAAATGAAGTTGCAGTGTTAAAATTGCATCATGGTTCATTTATGTTACCTCCTCCTGGAAGTATTTTTATTTTAATAATGGATTCTGGGACACATAGTGTCTTAGCTACAAGGAATTAGCCTTGATGGTTGGATGTTTGATCTGTTGAGGCTAAGGGAGAATTTTGAAAGGAAGTCTTGATAAATATCCCCATATAAAAAGCTGTCTATTCTACCTACATTTAAAGGTAGCTCTAACAGGGAGCTATGGAAATGGCTAAAAATTGAGACAGAAATTTCAAATTACTGCAATGCGAGGTTGTATTGGCACCATATATCTGTTGGTTTGGACCATTTCATTCTGGATGTATTGACTGAATAGAATCTCATATTTTTTGAAGTTTTATATATATTGCCACTTTAGACTTTAGATTCCAGCAGATTTTTCTTTATATACACTATAAAATTAAAGAATTTAAAGTCCTTTTGTTTTTCACAGTTAATATAGTACTGAGTATGGAAATCCAAATGATTATTTGATGTTTATTTAAATTTGGGATAATCCTGATCCACCATCAGAGCCTATATTGCACCCATCTGATCAGAATTCTTATACAGCCATGCACCGCATAATGATGTCTGGGTCAATGATGAATCACATATATGATGGTGGTCCCATAAGATTATAATACCATATTTTCCCTATGCCTTTTCTATTTTTTGATATGTTTAGATACACAAATACTTACCCTTGTGTTACAATTGTATTCAATACAGTAACATGCTTTACAGGTTTACAGCCTAGGAGCAATAGGCTATACCATATAGCCTAGGTGTATAGTAGGCTCTACCATCTAGGTTTGTGTCAGTACAATATATGATGTTTGCATGATTAAATAACCTAAGAGTGTGTTTCTCAGAATGTATTCCCATTGTTAAGTGACTGTATAACAAATCAAGATATCTCTACATTGCAAAAACCAATGTTTGAATGAAAACATATGGTGGATGATTACATCCAATTTGATTTTTTTTCATTTGTTGAGACTAAAACATATATACATACCTGAGCTACTTTTAGAGAACTCAGTGAAGTTACATCATTTTCATAGTTATGTTTTATACATCTTTCATTAAATTCATTTCTAGGTACTTTATATTTTTGATGACATAGTAAATGGTATCTTTTTAACATTTCATTTTCTAACTCTTTGTGCTTATATTAAAATAGAATTGATTTTTCCACATTGTGTTTTACATCTAACAACGTTGTTAAACTCTTATTAATTCTGATATTTTATATGTGTTTTCATTTGGATTTTGGATTTTTCCTATTTTCTACGTATAGAAAATAGACACATCAGTAAATAATGACATTCTAATTTTGTCTTTTCTAATTCTTATATTTTCACATTTATTTTCCTTGCCTTATTGCATAGGCTTAGATCTTGAGTACAGAGTTTAAGAAAAGTGATGGTAGTGGGTATCCTTATAATCCAGATCGCAAAAGAAGAAGTTTTAACGTTTCCCCAATAAGTGTAATGTCTATGGTAGAGTTGTTGTAAATACCCTTCATCAGATTAAGGAAGTAGCCTTCTATTTCTGGTGGATGATGAGTTTTATCATACACTTTGTCTGTCACACTGCCTCTTAAATGTGGAAAATGGCAGTCCTGACTCACTCTCATTAACATAATATTTTGGATTGACTTTTATTACTTAGGTTGGGTTCTAGGCTGATCCTTCTACTCTTTTTCCTGGCTAACGACTGCTGGAAGAATTGACGTTTACAGTCACCTAAGTCTCCCTCTTTGTACTGGTGTACATGTGGTTCTGAGCAAGTACTGGCTCATGATCAGCTCAGGACATCTGGGGTTTTTGTTTTGCCATTTTTTACTCCATCAGGTCTAGGCTTGAGTCTTTTCAGTTGAACCAATCTGTGCCCTAAGCCTGTGTTTTGCCATTAGCCCTAAAGGTGACTGAGTGTTTGCATTGACCAGTGAAAACTCACGCATTAGGAGGGGAGGAAACCCGAGTATGAGTGAATTGGGGATATTATCTTATCCTTCTGCAGGCAGCACAGAGCTGTGCAGAGGGCTCTGAGCCAGGATCCACATACCTGGAGTCTCCTGGCTTTCTCATGGCAAGGGCCTCACCCTTGAGAACCTTTGCCTTTTCATCCTTAGAAAAAGGGGGGTTGGCTGTAAGTACTCATCAAGGGCTGCTTTTGCTCTAAGACTCCGTGAATCGTTGAGGGGTAGCCTGTTGTTATCCTCTTTTATGTTATCCCTTTAACCCTGAAGGAGTTGAGAATTTTAATCTTGTATTTTCAGATGGGGAACTCCCTTACAGAGACATCAAGCAAGGGGCTTCAAATCCTAACAAGAATGGAGCACCTTGTTTTAGATCTGACCTGCAAAATGGAGATTGAATATATTTAATTATACTTATTTAAAATGCAAAAACCTATTTTCTTAGAAACGGAAACATCTTTTTTGGTAACTAATATTTATTGTACCAGGTTTTTTATAATGTGTAGCACATATTAAGCAGTCCATTAAGTGTGCGTGTTGGTTTCCTGTGGCTGCTGTGACAAATGACCATAAACATAAGGCTTTTAAGCTTATTTAACCTTATGGTTTTAACAAAAAAATTTATTTTCTCATGGTTCTAAAGACTAGATATTCAAATGAAGTTGTCAGCAGGGCCACGCTTCCTCTGAAGACTCCAGGAGAGAACAAATTCTTTGTTTCTTTTAGCTCCTGGTGGCTCTAGATCACATCATTCCAGTCTCTGATCATGGTCACATTGCTCCTTCCTCTTCTGTGTCAAAACTCCCTCTGCCTCTCTCTTACAAGAATACATGTGATGACATTTAGGACCCATCCAGATAATCCAGGATAAATTCCTCCTCTCAAGGTAATGAACTCTATTATATCTTTTTGCCATGCAAGGTAATATTCACTCTTTTTGCCATAGAAGACAAAAGGTTTTATGGATTAGGAGACAGATACATCTTTTTCGAGGCCACCAGCCATCCTATTTACAACGTGGAAGCTGTTACTATATTTTGATGATGATGTAACTCAAGGTAACTAGAAATGGGCATTTAAAGACTAGATCAGCCTTGAAGTTTTTTGTTTTTGTTTTTGTTTGAGATGGAGCCTTGCTCTGTTGCCCAGGCTGGAGTGCAGTGGCACGATCTCGGCTCACTGCAACCTCTGCCTCCTGGGTTCAAGCGATTCTGCTGCCTCAGCCTCCCAAGTAGCTGGGATTACAGATGTGCACCAGGCTAATTTTTGCATTTTTAGTAGAGACAGCGTTTCACCGTGTTGGCCAGGCTGGTCTTGAACACCTGACCTCAGATGATCCACCCACCTTGGCCTCCCAAAGTGCTGGGATTACAGGTGTGAGCCACTGTGCCCGGCCTGAAGTTCTTTAATGTAAGAATAGAGGTGCTCTGTTTTCAGTAGTACAACCAATGAAGCTGGAGAGAATACTTGGCTATCTCTCAAATTTATCCTTTGAACTTCTTGTTTATTTTTATAAAATTGATCATCAGAGGATCTTGAGTTGGAAAGATATCTCTAACTACCTGAGATGAATGAATGTCATAAATATAGGTCAAGAGATTTAATTTTTAAAAATTACATGATAGTTGAGGACTTTATTAGTTTTGTAGTCTGCCAAGTAGGCAGTCCTGCTACACTGCCTGGAGAGGTGACAGTTTATGCCAGAGGAGACTGAGGGGAGTCCTTTATTTTACCTTTACTTACTCAATCTGGGAGTCAGATTAAAATTTTTTTCTATGGTGTTTTTTGACTTTTAGAACTTTTCCGAAAGTTGGATTTTGGAAAAAGGTGGAAAGTGTTTTATGAAAGTTGGATTTCAGAAACACTTCGAAAGTCTGTAAAGTGATACATAATCTGTTCTCTCTATATACAGTAGGAAAAGGATATTTTTCAGCAAGGATGCTTGTAACCTTCAAACTTCGGCCAAATTTGTAATATAGTGGGCACTTTCAGTCCCTGAAATGCAGTGGATTCATTGAGGTCCTTTTATATGCAAAGCACAGCACAGCATGATGGAGCATGATGGAAGTGACCTAGATATGTTCACTCACTTGTCACTCATTTATTCTACCAATATTTACTGAATCCCTGCTGTGTGCCTGGCACTGTTCTAGGAGCTTGAGAAACTGTGCTGAACAACCCAGATAAAGGTTTTGCTTTCATGGGGCTTACATTCTCATGGGGCAAGGTAGCCAATTAAAAAACCACAGAAATACTACAGAAAAAGTGCTATGCAGAGAATTAGAATGAAATGTGCTACAGAGTGAGCAAGGGCGTCTTTCGATTGGATGATCCAAGAAGGCCTCTTGAAGGAGGTGATTTTAAGATGAATTCTGATTGGACACAAAGGAGTGAGTGCTGTGGATGCACTGCACAGGTTGCATAAGCATATAGGGCCGCTCTTCCAGGTCCCCAAGGCAAGAATGAGTGTGGGCAGCTTCGAGGAGCCAAAATGTGGAACATTGTGGCTGAGGAACCTGTGGTGGGAAATTAGGTTACAAAGGACAGTTAGGACCTGTCACCTAGTTCTGTGGTTCCCAACCTGGGCTTCCCATTAGAAATATCTTGCAGGAACTTTAAAAAAAAAAAAAAAATACCTGAACCTCACCTGAGAAAAACGAAATTGAAATTTCTGAGGATGGGACTAGGCATCCATTTTTGTGGCTGTTTTTATTTTGTTTTGTTTTGTGCCCAGAGGGATTCTAATCTAACAGGAAACCAGCATGGGTAATTCAGGATATTGAAAAAGTAGAAAACGTAGATTTTGTTTGAAAATCAACGGGTTGTCTTTAAAGTCCTTTAAAGTAGGGAGTGATATGACCTGGTTTCCTCTTTTAAAAGTTTGCGAAATGTTCTGTGCGTTAAGTTCAGTGAAAGAAGCGTTTTAACTGAAGTTTTAAAGCAGTATCCTGTGGGAGCACCGACAGTGGAAGGATCAAGTCAGGACAGGGCAGTGCTCAGTGGTGGAAATCTGAAGGATTATCTGAAGGAGTAGGTGTGGTGTGGAGAGCCGTGGAGACAGAACGTCCAGCTTCAGAAACAGCCGCAGCGTGGTGTGTGAGTGTGCGTGGCTGAGGGAGGAGGCCAGTGTGGTGGGAGTCTAGGGTTGGGGAGGACATGCCTGGGGGAGGGGCTGAAGGGGAGGTTGGAGGCCTTTGAGTGTTACGCAAGGAAGGCTAGACTGTATGAGTCGCTGGGAGTTAGTGAAGACATTTGAGGCTTAGAGGGATCTGAGCAGACTTGTGTTAGGAGGCTGGATCCGCTGACTTTGAAGGGTGGATTAAAGATCTGAGTGGAGGTGGAGACTGCTTAGAAAGCTACCATGGTAGTCACAATGTAGTTTGTGAATGAGTAACTGAAGTAAGGCAGGGGCTGTGGGAATAGGAGGAAGCAGGCATATTCAAGAGCGGTGATGGTGACCATCAGAATGGGTTCTTTTGACACAGATGTGGAGGCAATGGGTGGGCACTGATAGAGTGGGAGTGGGTAAAGGCGACTCCAGGTCAGCCATGACTTGCCAGTTGTCTCTGCTGAAAATAATATTTTTCTATTTAAAAAATTTTTAAGTTCCAGGTTACACGTGCAGGATATACAGGTTTGTTACATAGGTCAATGTGTGTCATAGTGGTTTGCTGCACCTGTCAACCCATCACCTAAGTATTAATCCCAACATGCTTTAGCTATTGTTCCTGATGCTCTCCCTCCCCCTGACCCTCCTGACAGACCCGATTGTGTGTCGTTCCCCTCCCTGTGTCCATATGTTCTCATTGTTCAACTCCCACTTAGTAGTGAGAATATGCAGTGTTTGCCTTTCTGTTCCTGCATTAGTTTGCTAAGGTTAATGGCTTCTAGCTCCGTCCATGTCCCTGTAAAGGACATGATCTCCTTTCTTTTTATGGCTGCATAGTATTCCATGGTGTGTATGTACCACATTTTCTTTATCCAGTCTATCATTGATGGGCATTTGGGTTGATTCTATGTCTTTGCTATTGTGAATAGTACTGTAATGAACATACATGTGCATGTATCTTTATAATAGAATGATTTATATTCCTTGGGTATATACCCAGTAATGGGATTGCTTGGTCAAATGATATTTCTGGTTTTAGATCTTTGAGGAATCATCACACTGTCATCCACAATGGTTGAACTAATTTACATTCCTACCACCAGTGTAAGAGCGTTCCTGTTTCTCCAAAGCCTTGCCAGTATTTTTTGTTTCTTGACTGTAATAATCACCATTCTGACTGGCATGAGGTGGTATCTCATTGTGGTTTTGGTTTGCATTTCTCTAATGATAAGTGATGTTGAGCTTTTCTTCATATGTTTCTTGTCTTCTTTGAAAAGTGTCTGTGTCCTTTGCCTACTTTTTAATAGGGTTGTTTATTTTTTTGTTGTAAATTTGTTTAAGACTCTGGATATTAGACCTTTGTCAGATGGATAAGTTGCAGAATTTTTCCCCATTCTGTAGATTGTCTGTTTGCTCTGATGGTAGTTTTTTTTTTTTTTCTGTGCAGAAGCTGTTTAATTGAACCCCATTTGTCAGTTTTTGCTTTTGATGAAATTGCTTTTGACATTTTTGTTATGAAATAGTTGCCCATGCCTATATCCTGAATGGTATTGCCTAGCAAAAATAGTATTTTTTTGTTTCTAAGTCATTACTATTCTATGTAAAAGGGCACTTCAAAATGACTTCTTTGCCTTAGCCTGAAGAATTTTTATGAAATAAGCAAGTCAGCTTTCAATGACCATGAAGAGCCTTTTCAAGGTTGAAGATTCAAGATAATATCTTTAAGCCTGGGTTCTATTTGATATAGCCCATCAGGGCCCAAGCCTCTGGTTTGGCTGTGGGGGGTCTGTGGGGGTGGCAGGATGGTGGTGCTCAGAGTGGGACCACAGCAGCTTTCCTCCCCCAGGACCCATACTTGTCAGGTGATGCCTCAGTGCAGGCTTGGTAGGAGCTCCATCCAGAGGGAGTAGGAGAAGGTGGAAGCCACGGTGGAGGATAGGGGAAGGTCAAGGGCATTCTAGAGGTTCAAGGGTGAGAAATGCAGGCATGATCAGGCCGCATGCTGAAATAGCAATCCCTCCCCACCCATCTGGGCCTGGCTTGGGCTCAGGTGTTCCTCTTACCTCTTACCCTCCTGGCCCCACTGACTTCTCCTCTTCTCCCTGTAATCACTGCTGCTTCCACTGGCCTTCCTCACTATTGGTTCACTGCCAGTAGAATTAGCTTCACAGCATATTCCCTTTGTGCTTGTTCTTGTGCTAGTTTCTAGTAACAAGGTCAGAGGGGTAAAAGAATCATTCTCTGTATGCCCCCTGCCCCTTCTGCCATGTACTTGTTTTCCCCTTGTAAAGGGAGAGAAGGCCTGCACGTGGATCTTAATCATCACACCTGCTGCAGGACAGGCCAAGGCCGCCTTTAGCAGCAGGTATAAGCCACAGTTAGATTTGAATTTTTTCACAGGATCTGGGATAGAGCAGAGGGCTTGCAAGTGAAGAGCCTGGTGGGGCCTCGGAGAGGGACTCATACATAGGAAACAACCTCCACCATTATTTTTCATCTGTTTCTTATTCTCCTAGCTTCCTGTGCTTGTTGGTCATGAAGCACTTATCCAACCTATGTCCAAATCAAGCTCTGAAATTTACACGTTTGTTTTCTGTCATTTTCATTATAAGACCAAAAATATGTACAAAAATGTTCATAAACCATAAATGTAGAGGTTAATGAATAATTTGAAAGTAGATACCTATATAACACAGAAGATTGACAGATTGTCCATAACCTTCCATGAGTCCCTTCCTGATCACACTCCTTTCCTCTCCCACAGACACCTAGTCTTCTCATTTTTATGATAATTGCCTTGCTTTAAAAAAATCTCACCACTCTTTTGATAATTATTTATGGTTATCACTGAATTATATATAAATGAAGTCAGCCTTTGTATGTTCTTTTGAGTCTTGCTGCTTTGTTCTATATTAGGTTTGTAAGATGCATTTATTCTGCTGTGTGTAGCTGTGGCTTCTTAGATTTTGCTGCTGTATAGTGAAGTATTTGATTGAATGAAAATATGAGTGTGTTTATCCACCTTAGGGTTGTTAACAGTTTTGGGAATATAGATTTTGCAGCTGTGAATATTCCTATGCCTGCATTCCAGTGCATACCAGCATGCCTTTCTCTATCAACCCAGAAGTGGAATTGCTGGCTCCTGGAATACGCATCTCTGCATCTGTCCTGTGTTCCAAGTGGTGTTACATCTTTGTCAGCACTTAGTAGTGTCATACTTTGTTTTGTTGCAGAATGAAGGTGTGTATTCATATCTCTTTGTGGTTTTATTTTGCTTTTCTCTGTTTGCTCGTAAGGTTGATTCCTTTTTCCTGTTTGTGGTCACACGGATTTCCCCTTGTGTGTGTGAAGTGGGTCATTTTTCCATCGTGTTGTGTATCTATTGAATTGTTTGCAGAATTCTTATGCTTTCAGGATCGAAGTCTTCTGTTGGTTATACATGTGACTGATCTCTTTCCTACTCTGTGGCATGTCTTTTAACTCTCTTTATGGTGGTTCTTAATAAACAGAAAGTTTTTAATTTTGATGTAGTCATATTCGTCAGCCACTTCATAAGGTTGTTGCCTTTTGTGCCTTTTTAAAGAAGTCCTTTCCTAGCTCAAGGTCATGAATATATTTTATAAATTAAATTTTAAAAGCTTTAGAGTTTAATCTTGCAGTCTTTAAGCTTAAAGTCCATCTGAAATTATTATGTGTGGTGTGAGGTAAAGATTGAAATGAATTTTTTTATTTGGATACTCTAGTTCCATTTAGTGAAACCACTTCACCCTCTTTGTTCAGTCCCCCAAGGTCCGTGCAGGTTACATTCTACTTACTACCTATGCAACATACCAAAAATGTTTATAAGTGGGGGTCTATTTCCAAGTGTTCTAGTCAGTGCCGTTTGTCTATTCTATACCAGTAGCACACTGGTTTAATTACTGCGTCTTCTTAAGTGAGTCTTAATATCTGAGAGAACAGCCTGGTACTTCAAGAGAGTCTTAATTATAGTTGGCCCTTTGCATTTCCATATGCAATTTTACAATCAACTTAGTCAAGTTCCACACCACCTCACATAAAGTCTTGGGGTTTTTATTGGCATTGTATTGATTCTATAAGTTCATTTGGAGAGAACCAACATCTTTACAATGTTGTCTTTCTCTACTGAAGTTTTATTGTTTTCTTCCTCAGAGGTTTCTGCATGTCTTTTGTTAGATTTATTGCTAGGCACTTTTTGATACAGTTTCAGATGGTATCTTTTTTTTGGATTTCATTTTCGGTTTGCTTTTATATACATAGAAATTTAGTTTTTCTACATTGCTAATTGGTTTCCCTACATTGCTGAACTCTACTATTCTAACAGCTTATCTGTGAATGTATTTGGATATCATATCATTTCTGAATAACGACAGTTGTTTCTTCCTTTCCAATCCTTGTACCATTTATTTACTTATGCCTTAATACACTGGCTAGGTTTTAATTTGATGTTGAATGTTGAATAGAAGTGCGGATGGTAGGCATCTTTGTCTTGCTTCTGATTTCAAATGGAAATTGTCAGCATTTAAGTATGATGTTTGCGGTAGTATTTTTGTATGGTAGATAATCTAATGGGAAAGAAGTGACCTTCTCTTCTTACTTCTCTAAGAGTTTTAAATCATGGATGTTCAATTTTATCAGCTATATTTTCTGCATTTATTGAAAAAATTATAATCAACTTGGTCATGATATATATTACTGGATTTGGTTTGCTAAAATTGTGGGGCTTTGTATCCATGTTCATGAGAGACATTAGTTTGTAATTTCCATTTCAGATACCATCTTTGTTGTTAAAATAGAGCATTGAAATGTTTAATTTCATTCTGAAGTTCCCTGAGGAATAAAAATTAAGCTTTTTTGTTGTGAAAGCCACAGTTGCTTTGAAATAGAACTGTTTACCTATGCATGTAGTTCAAGGAACATCAAATATTTGGAAATGATCTTCCTTTGGGAAAGTTCAAATTATGTTCAGAATATTTCCAGTTTAGCTAATAATGAGAAAAATTCCTTTATATAAATTGTTTCATGGAAAAAATACCTCTTTGCAAAATATCTTCCCAAGAATGTTGATGACGTGTAGGTAATGGCCTCATCCCTGAAACCATTTTTTTAATAACTGGATTTAAAACTTGTTCAGTATTCTATTTAAATCTCTAAATTAAATGTCAGTGTGAAAAGAATTTTTCTCTCTTGGATAACCCATGACACTAATAGTTTAAGCGTTGAGTCAGTAGTTGAGTAGTGCATTTTCTAAGAATAGTTTTTACTTTTGGAAGCAAAAAATAAGTCTTTTAAGTTTAAAAAGTAAACATCTAGATTAAACCCACATGATATAAAATACAGGATATAATTTCGATTTATGTTAATTAGCTTTCCAAATCCATAGATACTTTTTCTGTATTAACATACCCTTTTCAAGAATGTTCAGAAATCTCCTGGAAACCCTAATAGTATAACTTTCTCAACTATAGGGACCCTTAAATCCCTAACTGTAAAGAAGAAGTTTCTAAAATAGTGTTAAGAAGGGCAAAGAGCCAAGTTCCAGCCATGAAGAGGGTTCCTACTTTGGAGGAATGGCTGAAATGTAAAACATGATACTGGCAATCAAATCACATTGGATATGTTAAAGAGCCATGAATCCACAAAAAAACCCAAAGTGAATGTAAAAGTGTGCCAAAAGGTAGCTTAAATGTATACTTGAGCTGTTAATAACACTTGTAGTAAACATGATAAACATTCATCAAATGGTAGCTTCACAACATTCTGTGGTGGTGATCAGCTGATTCAGGAAATAGTAGAATTTTAGAATGAGATGAGACAAAAGCAGCCATGCAGTACAATTTCCTTGTCCAAGAGATGAGATGAGTGACGTTACTAAAATCAGAAAGGCATTTATTATTAGAGTTGGGACTGTATTTGTTTACTTGTTTATGTTTTCATTTTTACATGTCTTTTGTTAGATTTATTGCTAGGCACCTTTTGATATGGTTTCAAACAGTATCACAAGTTTCTTGAAAAGCTACCACGTGTGAGATACTGTTGTATGTACTGAGAAGAATGGCGTGGTGAACAAACGAAGTTCCTTCCTCATGGGGTTTATGTTTCAGGATAGGAGATTGACAACAAACAAAGAGCTTTATAATAACATGATAGGTATGAAGAAGTGGCAAGAAGAAAAATAAAGCAAGGAAAGGAAACAGAGTTGACAGGGGGTGCTGTTTGGGTAGAATGGTCAAGAGGAAGTTAGTGAGATGACCTTTGAGCAAAGCCTGAATAAAATACAGGAATAGGCCTTGTGGATACTTAGGGGAAGAATGTCCCAGAAAAAGAGAAAGTACAAATGCTGGTGTGTCCCCAAAACAACGAATAGGCCTGTGTGGCTAACAAGGCAGCAGGGGAAGTGTGGGGGCTTTGAGGTGGGAAATGAGGCTGGGTGCAGGGTCTTTTAGGGGCCTGGAGGCCCTGGTCCAGGATTTGGGATGTATTGAATGGGAGACGTTGGAGAGTCTGGAGCTGGAACATAACAAAATCTGACTTTAGTTTTGCAAGGATCCCTCTGCTGCCATATAATAGTCTGAAGAGAGACAAATATAGAAAAGAGGAATAGTAGTGAGGAGGCAACTACAGTTTTAAGGCAAGAGATCAAGGACAAGGGAATTATGGGTAGACAGGGATTCCGGGTAGACCAGGAGATTCTGGGTAGGATGAGGTTGTGACAGCTCAGTGGTTTCCTGATGTGTCTAGAAGAGGCAACTAAATTTACAGAATTGGATCTGGGGTGCAAGGGAAATTCCAGGCACCTCAACAGTGATGCCAATCCCTTTTCACCTGAATAA